>NC_000002.12:94496015-94823082 GCF_000001405.40 Homo sapiens
CAACATACCAGAATCTCTGGGACGCATTCAAAGCAGTGTGTAGAGGGAAATTTATAGCAATAAATGCCCACAAGAGAAAGCAGGAAAGATCCAAAATTGACACCCTAGCATCACAATTAAAAGAACTAGAAAAGCAAGAGCAAACACATTCAAAAGCTAGCAGAAGGCAAGAAATAACTAAAATCAGAACAGAACTGAAGGAAATAGAGACACAAAAATCCCTTCAAAAAATTAGTGAATCCAGGAGCTGGTTTTTTCAAAGGATCAACAAAATTGATAGACCGCTAGCAAGACTAGTAAAGAAAAAAAGAGAGAAGAATCTAATAGACGCAATAAAAAATGATAAAGGGGATATCACCACCGATCCCACAGAAATACAAACTACCATCAGAGAATACTACAAACACCTCTACGCAAATAAACTAGAAAATCTAGAAGAAATGGATAAATTCCTCGACACATACACTCTCCCAAGACTAAACCAGGAAGAAGTTGAATCTCTGAATAGACCAATAACAGGATCTGAAATTGTGGCAATAATCAATAGCTTACCAACCAAAAAGAGTCCAGGACCAGATGGATTCACAGCTGAATTCTACCAGAGGTACAAGGAGGAACTGGTACCATTCCTTCTGAAACTATTCCAATCAATAGAAAAAGAGGGAATCCTCCCTAAGTCATTTTATGAGGCCAGCATCATTCTGATTCCAAAACCAGGCAGAGACACAACAAAAAAAGAGAATTTTAGACCAATATCTTGATGAGCATTGATGCAAAAATCCTCATAAAATACTGGCAAACTGAATCCAGCAGCACATCAAAAAGCTTATCCACCATGATCAAGTGGGCTTCATCCCTGGGATGCAAGGCTGGTTCAATATATGCAAATCAATAAATGTAATCCAGAATATAAACAGAGCCAAAGACAAAAACCACATGGTTATCTCAATAGATGCAGAAAAAGCCTTTGACAAAATTCAACAACCCTTCATGCTAAAAACTCTCAATAAATTAGGTATTGATGGGACGTATTTCAAAATAATAAGAGCTATCTATGACAAACCCACAGCCAATATCATACTGAATGGGCAAAAACTGGAAGCATTCCCTTTGAAAACTGGCACAAGACAGGGATGCCCTCTCTCACCACTCCTATTCAACATAGTGTTGGAAGTTCTGGTCAGGGCAATTAGGCAGGAGAAGGAAATAAAGGGTATTGAATTAGGAAAAGAGGAAGTCAAATTGTCCCTGTTTGCAGACGACATGATTGTATATCTAGAAAACCCCATTGTCTCAGCCCAAAATCTCCTTAAGCTGATAAGCAACTTCAGCAAAGTCTCAGGATACAAAATCAATGTACAAAAATCACAAGCATTCTTATACACCAGCAACAGACAAACAGAGAGCCAAATCATGAGTGAACTCCCATTCACAATTGCTTCAAAGAGAATAAAATACCTAGGAATCCAACTTACAAGGGATGTGAAGGACCTCTTCAAGGAGAACTACAAACCACTGCTCAAGGAAATAAAAGAGGATACAAACAAATGGAAGAACATTCCATGGTCATGGGTAGGAAGAAGATAATTTACAGATTCAATGCCATCCCCATCAAGCTACCAATGCCTTTCTTCACAGAATTGGGAAAAACTACTTTAAAATTCATATGGAACCAAAAAAGAGCCCGCATCGCCTAGTCAATTCTAAGCCAAAAGAACAAAGCTGGAGGCATCACGCTACCTGACTTCAAACTATACTACAAGGCTACAGTAACCAAAACAGCATGGTACTGGTACCAAAACAGAGATATAGATCAATGGAACAGAACAGAGCCCTCAGAAATAACGCCACATATCTACAACTATCTGATCTTTGACAAACCTGAGAAAAACCAGCAATGGGGAAAGGATTCCCTATTTAATAAATGGTGCTGGGAAAACTGGCTAGCCATATGTAGAAAGCTGAAACTGGATCCCTTCCTTACACCTTATTCAAAAACCAATTCAAGATGGACTAAAGACTTAAACGTTAGACCTAAAACCATAAAAACCCTAGAAGAAAACTGAGGCATTACCATTCAGGACATAGGCATGGGCAAGGACTTCATGTCTAAAACACCAAAAGCAATGGCAACAAAAGACAAAACTGACAAATGGGATCTAATTAAACTAAAGAGCTTCTGCACAGCAAAAGAAGCTACCATCGGAGTGAACAGGCAACCTACAAAATGGGAGAAAATTTTCACAACCTACTCATCTGACAAAGGGCTAATATCCAGAATCTACAATGAACTCAAACAAATTTACAAGAAAAAAACAAACCCATCAAAAAGTGGGCGAAGGACATGAACAGACACTTCTCAAAAGAAGACATTTAAGCAGCCAAAAACACATGAAAAAATGCTCCTCATCACTGGCCATCAGAGAAATGCAAATCAAAACCACAATGAGATACCATCTCACAACAGTTAGAATGGCAATCATTAAAAAGTCAGGAAACAGGTGCTGGAGAGGATGTGGAGAAATAGGAACACTTTTACGCTGTTGGTGGGACTGTAAACTAGTTCAATCATTGTGGAAGTCAGTGTGGCGATTCCTCAGGGATCTAGAACTGGAAATACCATTTGACCCAGCCATGCCATTACTGGGTGTATACCCAAAGGACTATACATCATGCTGCTATAAAGACACATGCACACGTACGTTTATTGCAGCATTATTCACAATAGCAAAGACCTGGAACCAACCCAAATGTCCAACAATGATAGACTGGATTAAGAAAATGTGGCACATATACACCATGGAATACTATGCAGCCATAAAAAATGATGAGTTCATGTCCTTTGTAGGGACATGGATGAAATTGTAAACCCTCTATAAACTATCGCAAGAACAGAAAACCAAACACCGCATATTCTCACTCATAGGTGGGAATTGAACAATGAGATCACATGGACACAGGAAGGGGAACATCACACTCTGGGGACTGTTGTGGGGTGGGGGGAGGGGGGAGGGATAGCATTGGGAGATACACCTAATGCTAGATGACGAGTTAGGGGGGGCAGTGCACCAGCATGGCACATGTAGACATATGTAATTAACCTGCACAATGTGCACATGTACCCAAAAACTTAAAGTATAATGAAAAAAAGAGTGTTTCAAAACTGCTCTATCAAAAGAAAGGTTCAACTCTGTTAGTTGAGTACACACATCATAAACAAGTTTATGAGAATGGTTCTATCTAGTTTTTATGGGAAGATATTTCTTTTTTCACCATAGGCCTCAAAGCGACCCAAATGTCCACTTCCAGATACCACAAAAAGAGTGTCTCAAACCTGCTCTATGAAAGAGAATGTTCAACTCTGTGACTTGAATGCAAACATCCCAAAGATGTTTCTGAGAATGCTTCTGTCTACATTTTATATGAAGATATTCCCGTTTCCAAGGAAATCCTGAAAGCTATCCAAATATCCACTTGCAGATTCTACAAAAAGAGTGCTTCAAAACTGCTCTATCAAAAGAAAGGTTCAACTCTGTTAGTTGAGTACAGACATCCGAAACATTTTTCTGAGAATGCTTCTGTCTAGTTTTTATGGGAAGATATTTCCTTTTTCACCATAGGCCTCAAAGCGCTCCAAATGTCCACTTCCAGGTACTACAAAAAGACTGTTTCAAACCTGATCTATGAAAGGGAATATTCAGCTCTGTGACTTGAATGCAAACATCACAGAGATGTTTCTGAGAATGATTCTGTCCACTTTTTACATGAAGATATTCCCGTTTCCAACGAAATCCTCAAAGCTATCCAAATATGCACTTGCAGATTCTACAAAAACAGTGCTTCAAAACTGCTCCATCAAAAGAAAGGTTCAACTCTGTTAGTTGAGTACACACATCACAAACTAGTTTCTGAGAATGCTTCTGTCTAGTTTCTATGGGAAGATATTTCCTATTTCAACATAGGCCACAAAGCGCTCGAAATGACCAGTTCCAGATACTACAAAATCAGGGTTTCAAACCTGCTCTATAAAAGGGAATGTTCAACTCTGTGACTTGAATGCAAAGATCACAGCGATGTTTCTGAGAATGCTTCTCTGTAGATTTTATATGAAGATATTCCTGTTTCCAGCGAAACCCTCAAAGCTATCCAAATAACCACTTGGAGATTCTACAAAAAGTGTGTCTCAAAGCTACTGTATCAAAAGAAAGTTTCACCTCTGTTAGTTGAGTTCACACATCAAAAACAAGTTTATGAGAATGCTTCTGTCTAGTTTTTATGCGAAGATATTTCCTTTTTCACCATAGGCCTCAAAGCGATCAAAATGTCCACTTCCAGATACTACAAAAAGAGTGTTTCAAACCTGCTCTATGAAAGGAAATGTTCAAGTTTGTGACTCGAATGCTGACATCCGAAAGATGTTTCTGAGAATGCTTGTGTCTCGATTTCATATTAAGATATTCCCGTTTCCAACGAAATCCTCAAAGCTATCCAAATATCGACATGCAGATTCTACAAAAGAGTGTTTCAAAACTGCTCCATCAAAAGAAAGCTTCAACTCTATTAGTTGGGCACACACATCACAAACTAGTTTAGGAGAATACTTCTGTCTAGTTTTTATGCGAAGATATTCCCTTTTTCACCATAGGCCTCAAAGCGATCCAAATGTCCACTTCCAGATTCCGGAAAAAGAGTGTTTCAAACCTGCTGTATGAAAGGGAATGTTCAACTCTGTGACTTGAATGCTAACACCCCAAAGATGTTTCTGAGAATGCTTCTGTCTAGATTTTATATTAACATATTCCCGTTTCCAATGAAATCTTCAAATCTATCCAAATATCCACCTGCATATTCTACAAAAAGAGTGTTTCAAAACTGCTTTATCAAAAGAAAGGTTCAGCTGTGTTAGTTGAGCACACACATCACAAAGTAGTTTATGAGAATGCTTCTGTCTAGTTTTTATTTGAAGATATTCCCTTTTTCACCATAGGCCTCATTGCGATCCAAATGTCCACTTCCAGATTCCACAAAAAGAGTGTTTCAAACCTGCTCTATGAAAGGGAATGTTCAACTCTGTGACTTGAATGCGAACATCCCAAAGATGTTTCTGAGAATGCTTCTATCTGGATTTAATATGAAGATATTCCTGTTTCCAACGAAACCCTCAAAGCTATCCAAATATCCCGTTGCAGATTCTACAAAAAGAGTGTTTCAAAACTACTCTATCAAAAGAAACGTTCAACTGTTGTAGTTGAGTAAACACATCACAAAGTAGTTTATGAGAATGCTTCTGTGTAGTTTTTATGGGAAGATATTTCCTTTTAAACAATAGGCCTCAAAGCGATCCAAATGTCCAGTTCCACATACTATAAAATCAGTGTTTGAAACCTGCTCTATGAAAGAGAATGTTCAACTCTGTGACTAGAATGCAAACATCACAGAGATGTTTCTGAGTATGCTTCTGTCTAGATTTTATATGAAGATATTCCCGTTTCCAAAGAAATCCTCAAAGCTATCCAAATATCCACTTGCATTTTCTACAAAAAGAGTGTTTCAAAACTGCTCTATCAAAAGAAAGGATCAACGCTGTTAGTTGAGTACACACATCACAAACTAGTTTCTGAGAATACTTCTCTCTAGTTTCTATGGGAAGATATTTCCTATTTCCACATAGGCCACAAAGAGCTCCAAATGACCAGTTCCAGATACTACAAAATCAGTGTTTCAAACCTGCTCTATGAAAGGGAATGTTCAATTCTGTGACATGAATGCAAAGATCACAGAGATGTTTCTGAGAATGCTTCTCTGTAGATTTTATGTGAAGATATTCCCATTTCCAACGAAACCCTCAAAGCTGTCCAAATAACCACTTGCAGATTCTACAAAAAGAGTGTTTCAAAACTGCTGTATCAAAAGAAAGTTTCACCTCTGTTAGTTGAGTTCACACATCACAAACAAGTTTATGAGAATGCTTCTGTCTAGTTTTTATGCAAAGATATTTCCTTTTTCACCATAGGCCCCAAAGCGATCAAAATGTCCACTTCCAGATACTACAAAAAGAGTGTTTCAAACCTGCTCTATGAAAGGCAATATTCAACTCTGTGACTCGAATGCTAACATCTGAAAGATGTTTCTGAGAATGCTTGTGTCTCGATTTCATATGAAGATATTTCCGTTTCCAACGAAATCCTCAAAGCTATCCAAATATCCACCTGCATATTCTACAAAAAGAGTGTTTCAAAACTGCTCTATCAAAAGAAAGGTTCAGCTCTGTTAGTTGAGCACACACATCACAAACTAGTTTATGAGAATGCTTCTGTCTAGTTTTTATGCGAAGATATTCCCTTTGTCACCATAGGCCTCAAAGCGATCCAAATGTCCACTTCCAGATTCCACAAAAAGAGTGTTTCAAACCTGCTCTGTGAAAGGGAATGTTCAACTCTGTGACTTGAATGCAAACATCCCAAAGATGTTTCTGAGAATGCTTCTGTCTAGATTTTATATGAAGATATTCCCGTTTCCAGCGAAATCCTCAAAGCTGTCCAAATATCCACATGCAAATTCTACAAAAAGAGTGTTTCAAAACTGCTCTATCAAAAGAAAGGTTCAACCCTGTTAGTTGAGTACACACATCACAAACTGGTTTTTGAGAATGCTTCTGCCTAGTTTTTATGGGAAGATATTTCCTTTTTCACAATAGGCCACAAAGCGCTCCGAATATCCAGTTCCACATACTACAAAATCATTGTTTCAAACCTGCTCTATGAAAGGGAATGTTCAACTCTGTGACTTGAATGCAATCCTCACAGAGATGTTTCTGAGAATGCTTCTGTCTAGATTTTATATGAACATATTCCCTATTCCAACGAAATCCTCAAAGCTATCCAAATATCCACTTGCAGATTCTACAAAAAGAGTGTTTCAAAACTGCTGTATCAAAAGAAAAGTTCACCCTTTTTAGTTGAGTACAAACATCACAAACTGGTTTCTCAGAATGCTTCTGCCTAGTTTTTATGGGAAGACATTTCCTTTTTCACAATAGTCCACAAAGCGCTCCAAATGTCCAGTTCCACATACTACAAAATCATTGTTTCAAACTTGCTCTGTGAACGGGAATGCTCAACTGTGTGACTTCAATGCAATCCTCACAGAGATGTTTCTGAGAATGCTTCTGTCCAGATTTTATATGAAGATATTCCCGTTTCCAATGAAATCCTCAAAGCTATCCAAATATCCCCTTGCATATTCTACAAAAAGAGTGTTTCAAAACTGCTCTATCAAAAGACAGGTGCAACTCTGTTAGCTGAGTACACACATTCCAAACAAGTTTAGGAGAATGCTTCCATCTAGTTTTTATGCGAAGATATTTCCTTTTTCACCATAGGCCTCAAAGCGATCTAAATGTCCATTTCCAGATACTACAAAAAGAGTGTCTCAAACCTGCTCTATGAAAGGGAATGTCCAACTCTCTGACTTGAATGCAAACATCCCAAAGATGTTTCTGCGAATACTTCTGTCTAGATTTTATATGAAGATATTACCGTTTACAACGAAATACTCAAAGCTATCCAAATATCCACTTTCAGATTTTACAAAAAGAGTGTTTCAAAACTGCTCTATCAAAAGAAAGGTTCAACTGTGTTAGTTGAGTAAACACATCACAAAGTAGATTCTGAGAATGCTTCTGTGTAGTTTTTATGGGAAGATATTTCCTTTTTCACGATAGTCCTCAAAGCGATCCAAATGTCCAGTTCCACATACTATAAAATCAGCGTTTCAAACCTGCTCTATGAAAGAGAATGTTCAACACTGTGACTAGAATGAAAACATGACAGAGATGTTTCTGAGTATGCTTCTGTCTAGATTTTACATGAAGATATTCCCGTTTCCAAGGAAATCCTCAAAGCTATCCAAATATCCACTTGCAGTTTCTACAAAAAGAGTGTTTCAAAACTACTCTATCAAAAGAAAGGTTCAACTCTGTTAGTTGAGTACACACATCACAAACTAGTTTCTGAGAATGCTTCTGTCTAGTATCTATGGGAAGATATTTCCTATTTCAACATAGTCCACAAAGCACTCCAAATGACCAGTTCCAGATACTACAAAATCAGTGTTTCAAACCTGTTCTATGAAAGGGAATGTTCAACTCTGTGACTTGAATGCAGAGATCACAGAGATATTTCTGAGAATGCTTCTCTGTAGATTTTATATGAAGATATTCACGTTTCCAACGAAATCCTCAAAGCTATCCAAATATCCACTTGCAGATTCTACAAAAAGAGTGTTTCAAAACTGCTCTATCAAAAGAATGGTTCAACTCTGTTACTTGAGTACACACATCACAAACTGGTTTCTGAGAATGCTTCTGTCTAGTTTTTATGCGAAGATATTTCCTTTTTCACCATAGGCCTCAAAGCGATCAAAACGTCCACTTCCAGATACTACAAAAAGACTGTTTCAAACCTGCTCTATGAAACGGAATGTTCAACTCTGTGACTCGAATGCTAACATCCCAAAGATGTTTATGAGATTGCTTGTGTGTTGATTGCATATGAAGATATTCCCGTTTCCAACGAAATCCTCAAAGCTATCCAAATATCCACATGCAGATTCTACAAAAAGAGTGCTTCAAAACTGCTCTATCAAAAGAAAGGTTCAGCTCTGTTAGTTGAGCACACACATCACAAACTGGTTTATGAGAATGCTTCTGTCTAATTTTTATGCGAAGATATTCCCTTTTTTACCATAGGCCTCAAAGCAATCCAAATGTCCACTTCCAGATTCCACAAAAAGAGTGTTTCAAACCTGCTCTATGAAAGGGAATGTTCAACTCTGTGACTTGAAAGCAAACATCCCAAAGATGTTTCTGACAATGCTTCTGTCTAGAATTTATATGAAGATATTCTCGTTTCCAATGAAATCCTCAAAGCTATCCAAATATCCACCTGCATATTCTACAAAAAGCGTGTTTCAAAACTGGTCTATCAAAGGAAACTTTGAACTCGGTGAGTTGAGTACACACATCACAAAGTAGTTTCTCAGAATGCTTCTGTCTAGTTTTTATGGGAAGATACTTACTTTTCCACCAGAGGCCATAAAGCGCTCCAAATGTCCAGTTCCAGATACTACAAAATCAGTGTTTCAGATCTCCTCTATGAAAGGGAATGTTCATCTCTGTGACTTGAATGCAAACATCACAAAGAAGTTTCTGATAATGCTTCTGTGTAGATTTTATAAGAAGATATTCCCGTTTCCAACGAAACCCTAAAAGCTAACCAGATATCCACTTGCAGATTCTACAAAAAGAGTGTTTCAAAACTGCTCTATCAAAAGAAAGGTTCAACTATGTTAGTTGAGTACACATACCACAAACTAGTTTCTGAGAATACTTCTGTCTACTTTTTATGGGAAGATATTGCCTTTTTCACCATAGGCCACAAAGCGCTCCAAATGTGCACTTCCAGATACTACAAAAAGAGTGTTTCAAACCTGCTCTATGAAAGGGAATGTTCAACTCTGTGACTTGAATGCAAACATCACAGAGATGTTTCTGAGAATGCTTCTGTCTAGATTTTATATGAAGATATTCCCGTTTCCAACGAAATCCTCAAAGCTATCCAAATATCCACTTGCAGATTCTACAAAAAGAGTGTTTCAAAACTGCTCTATCAAAAGAATGGTTCAACTCTGTTACTTGAGTACACACATCACAAACTGGTCTCTGAGAATGCTTCTGTCTGGTTTTTATGGGAAGATATTTCCTTTTTCACCATAGGCCACAAAGCGCTCCAAATGTCCACTTCCAGATACTACAAAAAGAGTGTTTCAAACCTGCTCTATGAAAGGGAATGTTCAACTCTGTGACCTGAATGCAAACATCACAAAGAAATTTCTGAGAATGCTTCTGTCTACTTTTTATATGAAGATATTCCCGTTTCCAATGAAATCCTCAAAGCTATGCAAATTTCCATTTGCAGAATCTACAAAAAGAGTGTGTCAAAACTACTCTGTCAAAAGAAAGTTTCAACTCTGTTAGTTGAGTACACGCATCCTCAACAGGCTTCTGAGAATACTTCTGTCTAGTTTTTATGGGAAGATATTTCCTTTTTCACCATAGGCCTCAGTGCGCTCCAAATGTGCCCTTCGAGATGCTAAAAAGGAGTGTTTCAACCCTGGTCTATGAAAGGGAATGTTCAATTCTGTGACTTGAGTGCAAACATCACAGAGATGTTTCTGAGAATGCTGCTGTCTAGATTTTATATGAAGATATTCCCGTTTCCAACGAAATCCTCAAAGCTATCCAAATATCCACTTGCAGATTCTACAAAAAGAGTGTTTTGAAACTGCTCTATCAAAAGAAAGGTTCAACTCTGTTAGTTGAGTACACACATCACAAACTAGTTCTGAGAATGCTTCTGTCGAGTTTTTATGGGAAGATGTTTCCTGTTTCACCGTAGGCCACAAAGTGCTCCAAATGTCCAGTTCCACATACTACAAAATCAGTGTTTGAAACCTGCTCTATGAAAGTGAATGTTCAACTCTGTGTCTTGAATGCAAACATCCCAAAGAAGTTTCTGATAATGCTTCTGTCTAGATTTTATATGAAGATATTCCCGTTTCCAGCGAAATCCACCAAGCTATCCAAATATCCACTTGTAGATTCTACAAAAAGAGTGTTTCAAAACTGCTCTCTCAAAACAAACGTTCAACTCTGTTAATTGAGTACACACATCCTAAACAAGTTTCTGAGAAAGCTTCTATCTAGTTTTTATGGTAATATATTTCCTTTTTCACCATAGGCCTCAAAGCGCTCCAAATGTGCACTTCGAGATACTACAAATAGAGTGTTTCACACCTGCTCTGTGAAAGGGAATTTTCACCTCTGTGACTTGAATGCAAACATCCCAAAGATTTTTCTGAGAATGCTTCTGTCTAGATTTTATATGAAGATATTCTCGTTTCCTACGAAATCCTCAAAGCTATCGAAATATCCACTTGCAGTTTCTACAAAAAGAGTGTTTCAAAACTGCTCTATGAAAAGGAATGTTCAACTCTGTGAGTTGAATGCAAACATCACAAAGTAGCTTCTGAGAATGCTTCTGTCTGGTTTTTATGTGAAGATAATCCTGTTTCCAGTGAAATCCTCACAGCTTTCCAAATATCCACTTGCAGATTCTACAAAAAGTGTGTTTCAAAACTGCTCTATCAAAAGAAAAGTTCTCCTCTGTGAGTTGAGTACACACATCACAAAGAAGTTTCTGAGAATTCTTTTGTCTAGTTTTTATGGGAAGATATTTCCTTTCTCACCATAGGCCTCAAAGCGCTCCAAGTTTCCACTACTGATTCTAGAAAAAGAGAGTTTCCAAACTGCTCTATGAAAAGGAATGTTCAACTCAGTGAGTTGAATGCAAGCATAACAAAGAAGTTTCTGAGAGTGCTTCTGTCTAGTTTTTATGTGAAGTTATTCCCGTGTCCAACAAAATACTCAAAACTGTCCAAATATCCACTTGTAAAGTCTACAACAACAGTTTTTCAAAACTGCTCTATCAAAGAAAAGGTTTACCTCTGTGAGTTGAGTACACACATCACAAAGTAGTTTCTGTGAATGCTTCTGTCCACTTTTTATGTGAAGATATCTCGTTTTTCACCATAGGTCTCAAATCGCTCCAAATGTCCACAGGCGGATTTCACAAAAAGAGTGTTTCAAAACTGCTCTATGAAAGGGAATGTTCAAGTCTGTGAGTTGAATGCAAATATAACAAAGAAATTTCTGAGAATGCTTCTTTCTAGTTTTTAGGTGAGGATATTATCTTTTTCAACTAAATCCTCAAAGCTATCCAGATATCCACTTGCAAATTCCACAAAAAGTGTGTTTCAAACCTGCTGTATCAAAAGAAAAGTTAAACTCTGTGAGTTGAGTTCACACATCACAAAGAAGTTTTCGAGAATGCTTCTGTCTTGTTTTTATGTGAGGCTATTTCGTTTTGCACCATAGGCCCCAAAGCATTCCAAATGTACACTTACAGATAATAGAAAAAGAGTGTTTCAAAACTTCTCTATGAAAAGGAATGTTCAACTCTGTGAGTTGAATGCAAACATCACAAAGTAGATTCTGAGAATGCTTTTGTCTGCTTCTTATGTGAAGATAATCCCGTTTCCAATGAAATCCTCAAAGCTATCCATATATCCACTTGCAGATTATACAAAAAGAGTGTTTCAAAACTGCTGTATCAAAAGAAAGGTTCAACTCTGTGAGTTCACACATCAGAAAGAAGTTTCTGAGAATGCTTCTGTCTAGTTTTTATGTGAGGATATTTCGTTTTTCACCATAGGCCTCAAAGCGCTCCAAGTGTCCACTACCAGATACAACAAAAAGAGTGTTTCCAAACTGCTCTATGAAAAGGAATGTTTAACTCAGTGAGTCGAATGCAAGCATCACAAAGAAGTTTCGGAGAATGCTTCTGTCTAGTTTTTATGTGACGTTATTCCCGTTTCCAACGAAATACTCAAAGCTGTCCTAATATCCACTTATAAAGTCTACAAGAACAGTGTTTCAAAACTGCTGTATCAAAGGAAATGTTTAACTCTGTGAGTTGAGTACACACATCACAAAGTAGTTTCTGAAAATGCTTCTATCCACTTTTTATGTGAAGATATTTCGTTTTTCACTAAAGGTCTCAAATCGCTCCAAATGTCCACATGCAGATTTCACAAAAAGAGTGTTTCAAAACTGCTCTATGAAAGGGAATGTTCAAGTCTCTGAGTTGAATGCAAACATAACAAAGAAGTTTCTGAGAATGCTTCTGTCTAGTTTTTACGTGAAGATATTGCCGTTTCTAATGAAATCCTGAAAGCTATCAAGATATCCACTTGCAGACTCTAGAAAAAGAGTGTTTCAAAACTGCTGTATCAAAAGAAAGGTGCAACCCTGTGAGTTCAGTACACACATCGCAAGGAAGTTTCTGAGAATTCTTCTGTCTAGTTTTTATGGGAAGATATTTCCTTTTTCACCATAAGCCTCAAAGTGCTCCAAATTTCCATTTGCAGATTCTACAAAAAGAGTGTTTCAAAACTACTCTATGAAAAGGAATATTCAACTCAGTGAGTTGATTGCAAGCACCACAAAGAAGTTTCTGAGAATGCTTCTGTCTAGTTTTTATGTGAAGATATTCCCGTGTCCAATGAGAGCTTCAAAGCTATCCAAATATCCACTTGCAGATTCTACAAAAAGAGTGTTTCAAAAGTGCTTTATCTAAAGAAAGGTTAAACTCTGTGAGTTGAGTACACACATCACAAAGAAGTTTCTGAGAATGCTTCTGTCTAGTTTTCATGTGAGGATATTTCGTTTTTCACCATAGGCCTCAAAGCGCTCCAAATGTCCACTACCAGATACAACAAAAAGAGTGTTTCAAAACTTCTCTATGAAAAGGAAGTTCAACTCTGTGAGTTGAATGCAAACATCACAAAGTAGTTTCTGAGAATGCTTCTGTCTGGATTTTATATGAAGATATTCCCGTTTCCAACGAAATCCTCAAAGCTATCCAAATATCCACTTGCAGATTCTACAAAAAGTGTGTTTCAAAACTGCTCTATCAAAAGAAAAGTTCAGCTGTGTGAACTGAGTACACCCATCACAAAGAATTTTCTGAAAATTCTTCCGTCTAGTTTTTATTTGAAGATATTTCCTTTTTCACCATAGGCCTCAAAGCACTCCAAGTTTCCACTTAAAATTCTACAAAAAGAGTGTTCCCTAACTGCTCAATAAAAAGGAATGTTCATCTCAATCAGTTGAATGCAAGCATCAGAAATAAGTTTCTGAGAATGGCTCTGTGTAGTTTTTATGTGGAGGTATTCCGTTTTCAACGAAATCCTCACAGCTATCAAAATATGCACTTGCACATTCCACAAAAACTGTGTTTGAAAACTGCTGTATCAAAAGAAAGGTTCCACTCTGTGAGTTGAGTACACACATCACAAAGAAGTTTCTGAGAATCCTGTCTAGTTTTTATGTGAAGATATTCCCGTTCCAACAAAATCCTCACAGCTATCCAAATATCCACTTGCAGACTCTACAAAAAGAGTGTTTCAAAACTGCTCTATCAAAAGAAAAGTTCAACTCTGTGAGTTGAGTACACACTTCACAAAGAAGTTTCTGAGAATGCTTCTGTCTAGTTTTTATGAGAAGATATACCTGTTTGCAGCAAAGGCCTCAAAAATGTCCAAATATCGATTTGCAAATTCTACAAAAAAAGTGTTTCCAATCTGCTCTATTAAAGGAAAGTTTCAAATCAGTGAGTTGAATGCATACATTCCAAAGCGTTTTCTGAGAATGCTTCTCCCCAAATATATGAGAAGATATTCCCGTTTGCAACGAAATCCACAATGCTGTCCGAATAGCCACTTGTTAATTCTGCAAGAAGAGTTTTTCAAAACTGCTGTAACAAAGGAAAGGTTTAACTCTCTGAGTTGAGTACACACATCAGAAATTAGTTTCTGAGAATGACTGTGTCTACTTTTTATGTGAAGATATTTCCTTTTTCACCATAGGTCTCAAATCGCACAAAATGTCCACTTGCAGATACTACAAAAAGAGTGTTTCAAAACTGCTCTATGTAAAGGAATGTTCAACTCTTTGATTTGAATGCAAACATCACCAAGAAGTTTCTGAGAATGCTTCTGTCTAGTTTTTATGGGAAGATATTCCCGTTTCCAACGAAAGCCTCTAAGCTTTCCAAATATCCACTTGCAGATTCTACAAAAAGAGTGTTTCAAAACTGCTGTATCGAAAGAAAGGTTCAACTCTGTGAGTTGAGTACACACATCACAAAATAGTTTCTGAGAATGCCTCTGTCTATATTTTATGTGAAGATATTTCCTCTTTCACCATAGGCCTCAAAGCGCTCCAAATGTCCCCTTCCAGACACTACAAAAAGAGTGTTACAAAACTGCTCTATGAAAGGGAATGTTCAACTCCGTGAGATGAATGCAAACAGCACAAAGAAGTTTCTGAGATAACTTCTGTCTAGTTTTTATGAGAAGATATTCCCGTTTCCAGTGAAATCCCCAATACTATCCAAATATCCAATTGCAGACTCTACAAAAAGAGTGTTTCCAAACTGCTCTATCAATAGTAAAGTTCAAATTTGTGAGTTGCGTACACACATCACAAAGAAGTTTCTGACAATGCTTCTGTCTAGTTTTTATGTGAAGAGATTTCCTTTTTCACCCTAGGCCTCAAAGCGCTCCAAACGTCCCCTTCCAGATACTACAAAAAGAGTGTTTTAAAATTGTTCTATCAAAGGGAGTGTTCAACTCTGTGAGTTGAATGCAAACATCACAGAGACGTTTCTGAGAATGCTTCCGTCTAGTGTTTATGTGAAGATATTCCCATTTCCAACGAAATCCTCATAGCTGTTATAATATCTAATTGTAAAATGTAGAAGAACAGTGTTTCAAAACTGCTGTATCTAAAGAAAGGTTCAATTGCGTGAGTTGAGTACACATATCAAAAAGAAGTTTCTGAGAATGCTTCTGTCTAGTTTTTATGTGAAGATATTGCCCTTTATAATGAAAGCTTCAAAGCTATCCAAATATCCACTTGCAGATTCAACAAAAAGTGTTTCAAAAGTGCTGTATCAAAAGAAAGGATAAACTCTGTGCGTTGAGTACACACATCACAAAGAAGTTTCTGAGAATGCTTCTGTCTAGTTTTTATGTGAGGATATTTCGTTTTTCACCATTGGCCTCAAAGCGCTCCAAATGTCCACTGCCAGAGACAACCAAAAGAGTGTTTCAAAACTTGTCTATGAAAAGGAATGTTCAACTCTGTGAGTTGAATGCAAACATCACCAAGTAGTTTCTGAGAATGCTTCTGTCTCGTTTTTATGTGAAGATATTACCGTTTCTAATGAAATCCTCAAAGCAATCCAAATATGCACTTCCAGACTCTACAAAAAGAAGGTTTCAAAACTGCTCTATTAAAAGAAATCTTCAACTCTGCGAGTTGAGTACACACATCACAAAGCAGTTTCTGAGAATTCTTCTGTCTAGTTTTTATGGGAAGATATTACCTTTTTCACCATAGGCCTCAAAGCGCTTCAAGTTTCCACTTACAGATTCTAAAAATGACTGTTTGAAAACTGCTCTATGAAAAGGAATGTTCATCTCTGTGAGTTGAATGCAAGCTTCATGAAGAAGTTTCTGAGAATGCTTTTGTCTAGTTTTTATGTGAATATATAACCGTTTCCAGCGAAGGCCTCAAAGCGGTCCAAATATCCACTTGCGAATTCTACAAAAAGAGTGTTTCCAATCTGCTCTATCAAAAGAAAGTTTGAACTCTGTGAGTTGAATGCACACATCACAAACTAGTTTCTGAGAATGCTTCTGTCTAGTTTTTATGTGAAGATATTTCTTTTTCCACCATAGGCCTCAAAGCGCTCCAAATGTCCACTTCCAGATACTACAAAAAGAGTGTTTCAAAACTGCTCTATCGAAAGAAAATTTCAACTCTGTGAGTTGAGTACTCACATCACAAAGGAGTTTCTGAGAATTCTTCTGTTTAGTTTCAATGGGAAGTTATTTCCTTTTTCAGCATAGGCCTCAAAGCCATCCATGTTTCCTCTTACAAATTCTACAAAAATAGTGTTTCAAAACTGCTGTATGAAAAGGAATGTTCAACTCAGTGAGCTGAATGCAAGCATCACAAAGAAGTTTCTGAGAATGCTTCTGTCTAGTTTTTATGTGAACATATTGCCGTTTCCATCGAAAGCCCCAAGGCTATCCAAATATCCAATTGCAGATTCTACAAAAAGAGTGTTCCAGAAATGCTGTATAAAAAGCAAGGTTCAACTCTATGAGTTTGGGTACACACATCACAAAGAAGTTTCTGAGAATGCTTCTGTCTAGTTTTTATGTGAAGATGTTTCCTTTTCCACCACAGGCCTCAAAGCACTCCAAATGTCCTCTTCCAGATCCTACAAAAAGAGTGTTTCAAAACTGCTATATGAAAGGGAATGTTCAACTCTGTCAGTTGAATGCAAACATAACAAAGAAGTTTCTGAAAATGCTTCTGTCTAGTTTTTATGTGAAGATATTCCCATTTCCAACGAAAGAATCAAAGCAATCCAAATATCCACTTTGAGATTCTACAAAAAGAGTGTTTCAAAACTACTGTATTAAAAGAAAAGTTCAACTTCATGAGTTGAGTACATCCATCACAAAGAAGTTTCTGAGAATACTTCTGTCCAGTTTTTATGTGAAGCTATTTCCTTTTTCACCATAGGCCTGGAAGCTCTCCAAATTTGCACATACAGATCCTTCAAAAAGAGTGTTTCAGAACTGCTCTATGAAAAGGAATGTACAACTCTGTGAGTTGAATGCAAGCATCAGTAAGAAGTTTCTGAGAATGCTTCTGTCTAGTTTTTATGTGAGGATATACCCGTTTCCAGCGATGGCCTCAAAGCTGTCCAAATATCCACTTGCAAATTCTACAAAAAGAGTGTTTCCAATCTGCTCTATCAAAAGAAAGTTTGAACTCCGTCAGGTGAATGCACACATCACAAACTAGTTTCTGAGAATGCTTCTGTCTAATTTTATGTGAAGATAGTCCCGTTTCTAACGAAATCCTCAGTGCTGTCCATAAGATATTTCCTTTTTCATCATAGGCCTCAAAGAACAACAAATGTCCACTTGCAGATTACACAAAAAGAGTGTGTCAAAACTGCTCTATAAAAGAAGGGTTCAAATCTGTGAGTTAAATGCACACATCACAAAGAAGTTTCTGAGAATGCTTCTGTTATTTTTTATGTGAAGATATTCCCGTTTTGAATGAAGGCCTCAAAGCACTCAGGATGACCACTTGCAGATTCTACAATAAGAGTTTTTCAAAACTGCTCTATGAAAAGGAATGTTCAACTCTTTGAGTTGAATGCAAACATCACAAAGATGTTTCTGAGAATGCTTCTGTCTAGTTTTTATGTGAAGTTATTTCCATTTTCTCTATAGGCCTCAAAGCTGTCCAAATGTCCACTTGCAGATACTACAAAAAGAGTGTTTCAAAAGTGCTCAATGAAAAGGAATGTTCAACTCTGTGAGTTTAATGCAAACATCACAAATATGTTTCTGAGAACGCTTCTGTCTAGTTTTTATGGGAAGATACTCCCGTGTCCAGCGAAGGCTTCAAAGCTTTCGAAATATCCACTTGCAAATTCTACAAAAAGAGTGTTTCAAAGCTGCTTTATCAAAAGAAAGTTTCAACTCTGTGAGTTGAATGCGCACATCACAAAGAAGTTTCTGAGAATGCCTTCAGTCTGGTTTTTATGTGAAGATATTCCCGTTTCCATCGAAAGCTTCACACGTGGTCCTAATATCCACTTTTATATTCTACAAGAAGAGGGTTTCAAAACTGATGTATCAAAAGAAATGTTTAACTCTGTGAGTTGAATACACATATCACAAAGAAGTTTCTGCTAATGCTTCTGTCTAGTTTTTATGTGAAGATATTTCCTTTTTCACCATAGGCCTCAAAGCGCTCCAAATGTCCACTTGCAGTTAATATAAAAAGAGTTTTTCAAAACTGCTCTATGAAAAGGAATGTTCAACTTTGTGAATTGAATGAAAACATCACAAAGAAGTTTCTGAGAATTCTTCTGTCTAGATTTTATGTGAAGATATTCCCGTTTCCAATGAATGCCTCAAAGCTGTCCAAATATCAACTTGCAGATTCTACAAAGAGAGTGTTTCAAAACTGCTCTATCAAAAGAAGGGTTCAACTCTGTGAGTTAAATGCACACATCACAAAGAAGTTTCTGACAATGCTTCTGTATAGTTTTCATGTGAAGATACTCCCATTTCCAAAGAAGGTCACAAAGCGCTCCAAGTGTCCACTTGCAGATTCCACTTAAAGAGTGTTTGACAACTGCTCTATCAAAAGAAATGTTCAACTCTGTGAGTTGAGTGCACACATCACAAAGAAGTTTCTGAGAATGATCCTGTCTAGTTTTTATGTGAAGATATTTCCTTTTTCACCATAAACCTCAAACACACCAAATGTCCACTTGCAGATTCTACAAAGAGAGTGTTTCAAAACTGCTCTATCAAAAGAAGAATTCAAATCTGTGAGTTGAAAGGACACATCAGAAAGAAGTTTCTGATAATGCTTCTGTCTAGTTTTATGTGAAGATATTCCCGTTTCGAGCAAAGGCCTCAGAGCGCTCCAAAGGTCCACTTGGAGATTCTACAAAAGGAGTGTTTCAAATCTGCTCTATGAAAAGGAATTTTCAACTCTGTGAGTTGAATGTACACATCACAGAGAAGTTTCTGAGAATGCTTCTGTCTCATTTTTATTTGAAGATATTTTCTTTATCACCATAGGACTCAAAGCGCTCCAAATGTCAACTTGCAGATACTATAAAAAGAATGTTTCAAAACTACTCTATAGAAACGAATGTTCAACTCTTTGAGTTCAATGCAAACATCAAAAAGATGTTTCCGAGAAAGCTTCTGTCTAGTTTTTATGTGAAGATACTCCCGATTCAAGCGAAAGCCTCAAAGTTGTTGAAATATCCACTTGCAAATTCCACAAAAGCAGTGTTTCAAATCTACTCTATCAAAATAAAAGTTTCAACTCTGTGAGTTGAATGCAAACATCACAAAGAAGTTTCTGAGAATGCTTCTGTCTAGTTTTTTGTGAAGTTATTCCCGTTTCCAATGAAGGCCACACAGCGCTCCAAATGACCACTTGCAGATTCCACAAAAAGAGTGTTTCAAAACTGCTCTGTGAAAAGAAAGGTTCAACTCTGTGAGTTGAGTGCACACATCACAAACAAGTTTCTGAGAATGCTTCTGTCTAGTTTTTATGTGAAGTTATTACCGTTTCCAATGAAAGCCTCAAACCTGTCCAAATATTCATTTGCAGTTTCCACAAAGACAGTGTTTCAAAACTGCTTTATCAAAAGAAAGGTTCAACTCTGTGAGTTGAGTACACACATCACAAAGAAGTTTCTGAGAATGATTCTGTAAAGTTTTTATGTGAAGATATTTCCGTTTCCAACGAAGGCTTCAAAGCGTTCCAAATGTCCACTTGCAGATTCTACAAAAAGACTGTTTAAAAACGCTCCATCAAAGGAAATTTTCAACTCTTTTTGTTGAGTGCGCACATCACAAAGATGTTTCTGATAATGATTCTGCCTAGTTTTTATGTGAAGACATTTCCTTTTTATCCAGAGGCCTAAAAGCACTCCAAATATCCACTAGCAGATACTACAGAGTGTTTCAATACTGCTCTATTGAAAGGAATGTTCAACTATGTGAGTTGAATGTAAACATCACAAAGATGTTTCTGAGAATACTTCTGTCTAGTTTTTATGTGAAGATATCCCCGTTTCCAGTGAAGGCGACAAAGCTGTCCAAATATCCACTTGCAAATTCTACAAAAAGAGTGTTTCAAATCTGCTCTATCAAAAGAAAGTTTCAACTCTTTGAGTTGAATACACACATCACAAAGAAGTTCCTGAAAATGCTTCGGTCTAGTTTTTATGTGAAGATATTCCCTTTTCCAAGGAAAGCCTCAAAGCTGTCCAAATATCCACTTGTAAATGCTGCAAAAAGAGTGTTTCAAAACTGCTACAGCAAAAGAAAGGTTCATCTCTGTGAGTTGAGTACACACATCAAGAAGAAATTTCTGAGAATGCTTCTGTCTAGTTTTTATGTGAAGATATTTCCTTTGTCACCATAGGCCTCCAAGCGCTCCGAATGTCCACTTGCAGATGCTACAAAAAGAGTGTTTCAAAACTGCTCTATGAAAAGGAATGTGCAAATCTGTGAGATAAATGCAAACATCACAAAGAAGTCTTTGAGAATGCTTCTGTCTAGTTTGTATGTTAAGATATTTCCCATTTCACCATACGTCTTAACGCACACCAAATGTCCACTTGTAGATGCTACAAAGAGAGTGTTTCAAAACTTCTAGATCAAAAGAAGTGTTCAACTCTGTGAGTTGAGGACACACATCAGAAAGAAGTTTCTGAGAATGCTTCTGTCTAGTTTTTATGTGAAGATATTTCCTTTTTCACCATAGGCCTCAAAGCGCTTCAAATGTCCATTGCAGATTCTACAAAAAGAGTGTTTCAAAACTGCTCTATGAAAAGGAATGTTCAACTCTGTGAGTTGAATGCAAACGTCACAAGTTTCTGAGAATGCTTCTGTCTAGTTTTTATGGGAGGATATTTCCTTTTTCAACATAGGCCTCAAAGTGCTCCAAATGTCCACTTGCAGAATCTACAAAAAGAGTTTTTCAAAACTCCTCTAAGAAAAGGAATGTTCAACTCCATGAATTTAATGCAAAGATCACAAAGAAGTTTCTGAGAATGCTTCTGTCTAGTTTTTACCTGAAGATACTTCCGTTTCCAGTGAAGGCTTGAAAGCTGTCCAAATATCCACTTGCAAATTCTCAAAAAGAGTGTTTAAAAGCTGCTCTATCAGTAGAAAGTTTCACCTCTGTGAGTTGAATGCGCACATCACACAGAAGTTTCTGAGAATGCTTCTGTCTGGTTTTTATGTGAAGATATTCCCGTTTCCAACCAAAGCCTCAAAGCTGTCCAAATATCCATTTGCAGATTCTACAAGGAGAGTGTTTAAAAACTGCCCTATAAAAAGAAAGGTTCTACTCTGTGAGTGGAGTACACACATCACAAAGAAGTTTCTGAGAATGCTTCTGTCTAGTTTTTATGTGAAAATATTTCGTTTTCCAAAATAGGCCTCAAAGCGCTCCAAATGTCCACTTGCAGATTCTACAAAAAGAGTGTTTCAAAACTGCTCTATGAAAAGGAATGTTCAACTCTGTGAGTTGAAGGCAAACTTCACAAAGAAGTTTCTGAGGAATGCTTCTCTCTAGTTTTTATGTGAAGATATTCCCGTTTCCGACGGAAGCCTCAAAGCTATCCAAATATCCACTTGCAGATTATACAAAAAAGGGTTTCAAACTGCTCTGTCAAAACAAAGATTCAACTCTGTGTGTTGAGTACACACATCACAAAGAAGTTTCTGAGAATGCTTCTATCTAGTTTTAATGTGAACATCTTTCCTTATTCACTATGGGTCCCAAAACGCTGCAAATGTCCACTTGCAGATTCTACAAAAAGCGTTTTTCAAAACTGCTCTATGAAAAGGAATGTTCAACTCTGTGAGTTAAACCAAACATCACAAAGAAGTTTCTGAGAATGATTCTGTCTAGTTTTTATGTGAAGATAAACTCATTTCCTGGGAAGGCTTCAAAGCTGTCCAAATATCCACTTGCAAATTCTACAAAAAGAGTGTTTCAAAACTGCTCTATCAAAGGAAAGTTCCAACAGCACACATCACAAAGATGTTTCTGAGAATGCTTCTGTCTACAATTTATGTGAAGATATTCCAGCGAATATCTTCAGGATTTCCAATGGAAGCCTGAAAGCTGTCTTAATATCCACTTGTAAATTCTACAAGAAGTGTGTTTCAAGACTGCTCTATCAAAGAAAGGTTTAACTCTGTGAGTTGAGTACACACTTCACAAAGAAGTTTCTGAGAATGCTTCTGTCTAGTTTTTATGTGAAGATATTTCCTTTTTCACCTTAGGCCTCAAAGCACTCCGAATGTCCTCAGGCAGATTCCACAAAAAGAGCATATCAAAACTGCTCTATGAAAAGGAATCTTCAACTCTGTGAGTTGAATGCAAACATCGCAAAGAAGTTTCTGAGAATGCTTCTGTCTAGTTTTTATGTGAAGATAGTCCCGTTTCCAACGAAAACCTCAAAGCTGTCCAAATATCCATTAACAGATTCTACAGAGTGTGTTTCAAAACTGCTTTATCAAAAGAAAAGTTCAACTCTGTGAGTTGAATGCAAACCTCACAAAGAAGTTTCTGAGAATGCTTCCTTCTAGTTTTTATGTGAAGATATTCCCGTTTCCAAAGAATACCTCAAAGTGCTCCAAATGTCCACTTGCAGGATTCACAAAAATAGTGTTTCAAAACTGCTCTATCAAATGAAAAGTTCAACTCTGTGAGTTTAGTGTACACATCACAAATAAGTTTCTTAGAATGCTCCTGTCTAGTTTTCATGTGAAGATATTTCCTTTTTTACCACAGGCCTCAAAGTGCTCCAAATGTCCGCTTGCAGATTCTACAAAAAGAGTGTTTCAAAACTGCTCTATGAAAAAGAATGATCAACTCTGAGAGTTGAAGGCAAACATCACAGAGAAGTTTCTGAGAGTGCTTCTGTCTAGTTTTTATGAGAAGATATTCCCGTTTCCAATGAAAGACTCAAAGCTGTCCAAATATACACCTGCAGATTCTACAAGGGAGTGTTTCAAAACTGTTCTATCAAAAGAAATGTTCAACTCTGTGAGTGGAGTACACACATCACAAAGAAGTTTCTGAGAATGATTCTGTCTAGTTTTTATGCGAAGGTATTTCATTTTTCACCACAGGCCTCAAGTTGCTCCAAATGTCCACTAGCAGATTCTACAAAAAGAGTGTTTCAAAACAGCTCTATGAAAAGGAATGTTCAACTCTTTGAGTTGAATGCAAACCTCCCAAGGAAGTGTCTGAGAATCCTTCCATCTAGTTTTTATGTGAAGATACTCCCGTTTCCAGCAAAGGCTTCAAAGCTGTCCAAATATCCACTTGCAAATTTTACAGAAAGTTTGTTTCAAAGCTGCTCTATCAAAAGAAAGTTTCAAGTCTGTGAGATGAATGCGCGTAAAACAAAGATGTTCCTGAGAATGCTTCTGTCTGGTTTTTATGTGAAGACATTCCCGTTTCCAACAAAAGCCTCAAAGCTTTCCTAATATCCACTTATAAATTCTGCAAGAAGAGTGTTTCAAAACTGCTCTATCAAAAGAAAGGTGTAACTGAGTCAGTTGAGTACACACATCAAAAATAAGTTTCTGAGAATGCTTCTGTCTAGTTTTTATGTGAAGATATTTCCTTTTTCTCCATAGGCCTCAAAGCACACCAGATGTCCACTTGCAGATTCTACAATGAGAGTGTTTCAAAACTGCTCTATCAAAAGAAGGGTTCAACTATGTGAGTTGAAAGCACATATCCCAAAGTAGTTTCTGATAAAGCTTCTGTCCAGTTTTTATGGGAAGATATTCCCGTTTCGAGCGAAGGCCCCAAAGTGCTCCAAATGTCCATTGGAGATTCTACAAAAAGAGAGATTCAAAACTGCTGTATGAAAAGGATTGTTCAACTCTGTGAGTTGAATGCACACATCACAAAGAAGTTTCTGAGAATGCTTCTGTCTAGTTTTTATGTGAAGATATTTCCTTTTTCACCATAGGCCTCAAAGCGCTCCAAATGTCCACTTGCAGATACTACAAAGAGTGTTTCAAAACTGCTGTATGAAGAGGAATGTTCAAATCTGTGAGTTGAATGCAAACATCACAAAGAAGTTTCTGAGAATGCTTCTGTCTAGTTTTTATGTGAAGATATTCCCATTTCCAACAAAAGCCTCAAAGGTGTCCAAATATCCATTAGCAGATTCTACAAAGAGAGTGTTTCAAAACTTCTCTATCAAAAGAAAAGTTCAACTCTGTGAGTTGAGTACACACATCAAAAAGAAGTTTTTAAGAATGCTTCTGTCTAGTTTTTATGTGAAGATATTCCCGTTTCTAACGAAGGCCTCAAGCACTCCAAGTCTCCACTTGCAGATTTTACAAAAAGAGTGTTGCAAAACTGCTCTATGAAAAGGAACGTTCAACTCTATGAGTTGAATGCAAACATCAAAAAGAAGTTTCCTAGAATGCTTTTGTCTAGTTTTATGTGAAGATACTCCCGTTTCCAGCGAAAGCTTCAAAGCTGTCCAAATATCCACTTGAAAATTCTACAAAAAGAGTGTTTCGAACCTGCTCTATCAAAGGAAAGTTTCAACTCCGTGAGTTGAATGCACAAATCACAAAGAAGTTTCTGTGAAAGCTTCTGTCTGGTTTTTATTTGAAGATATTCCCATTTCCAACGAAAGCCACAAAGCTGTCCAAATATCCACTTATAAATTCTACAAGAAGAGTGTTTCAAAACTGCTCTATCAAAAGAAAGGTTTCACACTGTGAGTGGAGTACACACATCACAAAGAAGTTTCTGAGAATGCTTCTGTCTAGTTTTTATGTGAAAATATTTCCTTTTTCACCATAGGCCTCAAGCACTCCAAATGTCTACTTGCAGATACTACAAAAAGATTTTTTCAAACTGCTCTATGAAAAGGAATATTCAACCCTGTTGAATGCAAACATCACAAAGAAGTTTCTGAGAATGCTTTGTCTAGTTTTTATGTGAAGATACCCCCGTTTCCAGCGAAGGCTTCAAAGCTGTCCAAATATCCGCTTGCAAATTCTAAAACAAGAGTGTTTCAAAGCTGCTTTATCAAAGGAAATTTCAACTCTGTGAGTTGAATGCGCACATCACAAAGAAGTTTCTGAGAATGCTTCTGTCTGGTTTTAATGTGAAGATATTCCCGTTTCCAACGAAAGCCTCAAAGCTGTCTTAATATCCACCTGTAAATTCTACAAGAATAGTGTTTCAAAACTGCTGTATCAAAAGAAAGGTTTACCTTTCTGAGTTGAGTACACACATTACAAACAAGTTCCTGAGAATGTTTCTTTCTGGTTTTTATGTGGAGATAATCCCGTTTCCAGTGAAGGCCTCAAAGCTCTTCAAATATCCACTTGCAAATTCTACAAAAAGAGTGTTTCCAATCTGCTATATCAAAATAAAGTTTCAACACTATGGGTTGAATGCACACATCACAAAGAAGATTCTGAGAATGCTTCTGTCTATTTTTCATGTGAAGATATTCCCGTTTCCAATGAAAGCCTCAAAGCTGTCTTATATCCACTTGCAAATTCTACAAAAATAGTGTTTCAAAACTGCTCTATCAAATGAATGGTTCAACTCTGGGAGTTGAGTACACTCATCACAAAGAAGTTTCTGAGAATGCTTCTCTCTTGTTTTTATGTGAAGATATTTCCTTTTTCACCATAGGCCTCAAAGAGCTCCAAATATCCAGTTGCAGATTCTACAAACGGTGTGTTTCAAAACTGCTCTATGAAAAGGAATGTTCAACTCTGTGAGTTGAATGGAAACATCACAAAGAAATTTCTGAGAATGCTTCTATCTAGTTTTTATGTGAAGCTACTCGCGTTTCCAGCGAAGGCTTCAAAGCTGTCCAAATATCCACTTGCAAATTCTGCAAAAAGAGTGTTTCAAAGCTGCTCTATCAAAGGAAAGATTCAACTCTGAGTTGATTGCGGAAATCACAAAGAAGTTTCTGTGAATGCTTCTGTCTGGTTTTTATGTGAGGATATTCGCATTTCCAGCGAAAGCCTCAAAAGCTGTCCAAATATCCAGCTTGAAAATTCTACAAGAAGAGTGTTTCAAAACTGCTCTATCAAAAGAAAGGTTAACTCTGTGAGTTGAGTACGCATATCAAAAAGAAGTTTCTGAGAATGCTTCTGTCTAGTTTTTATGTGTAGATATTTCATTTTTCACCATAGGCCTCAAGCGCTCCAAATGTCTACTTGCAGATACTACAAAAAGAGTATTTCAAACTACTCTATGAAAACGAATGTTCAACTCTGCGAGTTGATTGCAAACATCACAAAGAAGTTTCTGAGTATGCTTCTGTCTAGTTTTTATGTGAAGATAGTCCCATTTCCAACAAAGGCCTCAAAGCTCTCCAAATGTCCACTTACAGATTCCACAGAGAGTTTCAAAACTGCTCTATCAAAAGAAAGGTTCAACTCTGTGAGTTGAGTGCACACATCACAAAGAAATTTCTGAGAATGCTTCCGTCTAGTTTTTATGTTAAGATATTTCGTTTTTCACCATAGGCCACAAAGTACACAAAATGACCACTTGCAGATTCTACAAAGAGAGTGTTTCAAAACTGCGCTATTAAAATAAGGGTTCAACTCTGTGAGTTGAATGCAAACATCACAAAGAAGTTTCTGATAATGCTTCTCTCGAGTTTTCATGTGAAGGTATTCCTGTTTCGATCGAAGGCCTCAAAGTGCTCCAAATATCCACTTGCAGATTCTACAAAGAGTGTTTCAAAACTGCTCTAGGAAAAGGAATGTTCAACTCTGTGAGTTGAATGCAAACATCGGAAAGAAGTTTCTGAGAATGCTTCTGTCTAGTTTTTATGTGAAGATATTCCGTTCCCAGCGAAAGCCCCAAACCTGTCCAAATATCCATTAGCAGAATCTACAAAGAGAGTGTTTCAAAACTGCTCTATCAAAAGAAAGGTTCAACTGTGTGAGTTGAGTACACACATCACAAAGATGTTTCTGAGTATGCTTCTATCTAGTTTTTATGTGTAGTTATTTCCTTTTCCACCATAGGCTTCAAAGCGCTCCAAATGTCCACTTGCAGGATCTACAAAAAGAGTGTTTCAAAAATGCTCTATGAAAAGGAATGTTTAACTTTGTGAGTTGAATGCAAACATCAAAAAGAACTTTCCTAGAATGCTTCTGTCTAGTTTTTTTAAGAAAATAGTCCCTTTTCCAGCAAAGGCTTCAAAACTGTCCAAATATCCAGTTGCAGATTCTACAAAGAGAGTGTTTCAAAACTGCTCTATCAAAAGAAATGTTCAAATCTGTGAGTTGAGTATACACATCACAAAGTAGTTTCTGAGAATGTTTCTGTCTAGTTTTTATGTGAAGATACTCCTGTTCCCAGCAAAGGCCTTAAAGCTGTCCAAATATCCACTTGCAAATTCTGCAAAAAGAGTGTTTCCAATCTGCTCTATCAAAAGAAAGTTTCAACACTGTGAATTGAATGCACACATCACAAAGGAGTGTCTGAGAATGCTTCTGTCTAGTTTTTTTGTGAAGATATTCCCGTTTCCAATGAAAGCCTCAAAGCTGTCCAAATATCCACTTGTAAATGCTACAAAAAGAGGGATTCAAATCTGCTCTATTAAAAGATAGGTTCACCTCTGTGAGTTGAGTACACACATCACAAAGAAGTTTCTGAGAATGCTTCTGTCTAGTTTTTATGTGAAGATATTTCCTTTTTCACCATAGGCCTCAAAGCGCTTCAAATGTCCATTGCAGATTCTACAAAAAGAGTGTTTCAAAACTGCTCTATGAAAAGGAATGTTCAACTCTGTGAGTTGAATGCAAACATTGCAAAGAAGTTTCTGAGAATGCTTCTGTCTAGTTTTTATGTGAAGATATTTCCGTTTCCAATGAAAGCCTCAAAGCTGTCCAAATATCCACTTGTAAATGCTGTAAAAAGAGTGTTTCAAAA
Source organism: Homo sapiens (assembly GCF_000001405.40). Lineage (NCBI taxonomy): Eukaryota > Metazoa > Chordata > Mammalia > Primates > Hominidae > Homo > Homo sapiens. The sequence continues at coordinate 94,524,295 of NC_000002.12, forward strand.
CTGCTCTAGCAAAGGAAAAGTTCATCTCTGTGTGTTTAGTACACACATCAAAAAGAAGTTCCTGAGAATGCCTCTGTCTAGTTTTTATGTGAAGATATTCCCGTTTCCAACCAAAGCCTCAAAGCTGTCCAAATATCCCCTTGTAAATGCTGCAAAAAGAGTGTTTCAAAACTGCTCTAGAAAAAGAAAGGTTCATCTCTGTGAGTTGAATACACACATCACAAAGAAGTTTGTGAGAATGCCTCTGTCTAGTTTTTATGTGAAGATATTTCCTTTTTCACCATAGGCCTCAATGCACTCCGAATGTCCACTTGCAGATTCTACAAAAAGAGTCTTTCAAAACTGCTCTGTCAAAAGGAATGTTCAACTCTGAGTGAAATGCAAACATCACAAAGAGGTTTCTGAGAACGCTTCTGTCTAGTTTTTATGTGAATATATTCCTGTTTCCAACGAAGGCCACAAAGCGCTCCAAATGTCCACATACAGATTCTACGAAAGGAGTGTTTAAATACGCTCTATCAAAAGGAAGGTTCAATTCTGTGTGTTGAGTGGACACATCACAAAGAAGTTTCTGAGACTGCTTCTGTCTAGTTTTTATGTGAAGATATGCCCGTTACGAACGAAGGTGTCAAAGCGCTTCAAATGTCCACTTGCAGATACTACAAAGGAGTGTTTCAAAACTACTCTCTGAAAAGGAGTGTTCAACTCTGTGAGTTGAATGTAAACATCACGGGGAAGTTTCTGAGAATGCCACTGTCTAGTTTTTTGTGAACATATTCCCGTTTCCAACAAGACCCTCAAAGCTCCCAAATATTCACTTGCAGATTCCACAAAAAGAGTGCTTCAAAACTGCTCTATCAAAAGAAAGGTTTAACTCTGTGAGTTGAGTGCACACATCACAAAGAAGTTTATGAGAATTCTTCTGTCTAGTTTTTGTCTTAAGATATTTCGTTTTTCACCATATGCCTCAAGCACTCCAAATGTCCACTTGCACGTTCTACAAAGAGAGTGTTTCAAAAGTGCTCTATAAAAAGGAATGTTCAACTCTGTGAGTGAATGCAAGCATGACAAAGAAGTTTCTGAGAATGCCTCTGTCTAGTTTTTATTTGAAGATAATACTGTTTCCAACGAAAGGCTCAAAGCTTTCCAAATATCCAGTTGGAGATTCTACAAAAAGAGTGTTTGAAACCTGCTCTATGAAAAGGAATGTTCAACTCTGTGAATTAAATGCACACATAACAAAGAAGTTTCTCAGAATCCTTCTGTCTAATATTTATGTGAATATATTCCCGTTTCCAACGAAGGCCACAAAGCACTCTAAATGTCCACTTGCAGATTGTACGGAAAGAGTGTTTAAAAACGCTCTATCAAATAAAGGTTCAACTCTGTGTGTTGAGTGCACACATCACAAAGAAGTTTCTGAGAATGCTTCTGTCTAGTTTTTATGCTAAGATATTTCCTTTTTCACCATAGTCTTCAAAGCACACAAAATGTCAACTTGCAGATTCTACAAAGAGAGTGTTTCAAAACTGCTCTATCAAAAGAAGGGTACAACTCTGTGAGTTGAATGCACACATCACAAAGAAGTTTCAGAGAATGCCTCTGTCTAGTTTTTATGTGAAGATATGCCTGTTTCGAATGAAGTCTTCAACACGCTCCAAATGTCCAATTCCAGATACTACAAAAAGAGTGTTTCAAAACTGCTCTATGAAAAGGAATGTTCAACTCTATGAGTTGAATGCAAACATCACATAGAAGTTTCTGAGAATGCTTCTGTCTAGTTTTTATGTGAACATATTCCCGTTTCCAACGAAGGCCACAAAGTGCTCCGAATGTCCACTTGCAGATACTACAAAAAGAGTGTTTCAAAACTGCTCTATGAAAAGGACTGTTCATCTCTGTGAGTTGAATGCACACATCACAAAGAAATTTCGGAGAATGCTTCTGTCTAGTTTTTATGTGAAGATATTTCCTTTTTCACCATAGACCTCAAAGCACTCCAAATGTCCACTTGCAGATACAACAAAAAGAGTGTTTGAAATCTCCTCTATGAAAAGGAATGTTCAACAATGTTAGTTGAATGCAGTCATCACAAAGAAGTTTCTGAGAATGCTTCTTTCTAGTTTTTATGTGAAGATATTCCCGTTTGCAACGAAAGCCTGAAACATGTCCAAATATCCATTTTGTAGTTTCTACAAAGAGAGTGTTTCAAAACTGTTTCAAAAGTGTTTCAAAGTGTTAAAAGAAAGGTTTAACTCTGTGAGTTGAGTACACACATCACAAGGAAGTTTCTGAGAGTGATTCTGTCTAGTTTTTATGTGAAGATATTTCCTTTTCCACCATAGGCCTCAAAGTGCTCCAAATGTCCACTTGCAGATTCTACAAAAAGAGTGTTTCAAAACTGCTCTCTGAAAAGTAACGTTCAACTCTGTGAGTTGAATGCAAATATCAAAAAGATGTTTCCTAGAGTGCTTCTATCTAGTTTTTCTGTGAAGATATTCCCGTTTCCAAAGATAGCTTCAAAGCTGTCCTAATATCCACTTGTAAATTCTACAAGAATAGTGTTTCAAAACTGCTCTATCAAAAGAAAGGTTTAACTCTGTGAGTTGAGTACATACATCACAAAAAAGTTTCTGAGAATGCTTCTGTCTAGTGTTTATGTTAAGATATTTTGTGTTTCACCATAGGCCTCAAAGCATACCAAATGTCCACTTTCAGATTCTACAAAGAGAGTGCTTCAAAACTGCTCTCTCAAAAGCAGTGTTTAACTCTGTGAGCTGAATGTACACATCATAAAGAAGTTTCTGAGATTGCTTCTGTCTAGTTATTATGTGAAGATATTCCCCTTTCGAATGAAGGCCTCAAAGCACTCCAAATGTCCACTTGCAGATTCTACAAAAAGAGTGTTTCAAAACTGCCCTATGGAAAGGAAGATTCAACTCTGTGAGTTGAATGCACACATCACAAAGTAGTTTCTGCGAATGCTTCTGTCTACTTTTTATGTGGAGATATTTCTTTTTTCACCATAGGCCTCAAAGAACTCAAAATGTCCACCTGCAGATACTACAAAAAGATTGTTTCAAAACTTCTCTATCAAAAGGAATGTTCAACTCTGTGAGTTGAATGCAAACATCACAAAGCAGTTTCTGAGAATGCTTCTGTCTAGTTTTTATATAAAGATACTCCCGCTTCCAGCAAAGGCCTCAAATCTGTCCAAATATCCCTTGCAAATTCTACAAAAAGAGTGTTTCAAATCTGCTCTATCTAAAGAAAGTTTCAACTCTGTGAGTTGAATGCACACATCATAAAGAAGTTTCTGAGAATGCTTCTGTCTAGTTTTTTTGTGAAGATATTCCCGTTTCCAACGAAAGCCTCAAAGCTGTCCTAATATCCGTTTGTGAATTTTACAAGCAGAGTGTTTCAAAACTGCTCTGTCAAAAGAAAGGTTTAACTCTGTGTGTTGAGTGCACACATCACAAAGAAGTTTCTGAGAATGCTTCTGTCTATTTTTTATGTTAAGATATTTCCTTTTTCACCATAGGTCTCAAAGCACGCCAAATGTCCACTTGCATATTCTGCAAAGAGTGTTTCAAAACTGCGCTATCAAAAGAAGCGTTCAACACTTTGAGTTGAAGGCACACATCACAAAGAAGTTTCTGAGCATGATTCTGTATAGTTTTTATGTGAAGATATTCCCGTATCCGACGAAGGCCTCCAGGCGGTCTAAATATCTATTTGCACATTCTACTAAAAGAGAGTTTAAAAGCTGTTGTATGATAAAGTGTGTTCAAATCTGTGAGTTGAATGCACACATCACAAAGAAGTTTCTGAGAATGCTTCTCTCTAATATTTATGTGAAGATATTACGGTTTCCAATGAAGTCCTCAAAACCGTCCAAATATCCACTTGCAGATTTTATAAAAAGAGTGTTTCAAAACTGCTCTATCAAAAGACAGCTTCAACACTGTGAGTGGAATGCACACATCACAAAGTAGTTTCTGAAAATGCTGCTGTCTAGTTTTTATGTGAAGATATTCCCGTTTCCAATGAAGGCCACAAAGCCGTCCAAATACCCACTTGCAGATTCTACTAAAAGAGTGTTTCAAAACTGCTCTATGATAAGGAATGTTCAACTCTGTTAATTGAAGGCAAACATCGCAAAGAAGTTTCTGAGAATGCTTCTGTCTAGTTTTTGTATGAAGATGTATCCTTTTCCATCATAGGCCTCTAAGCTCTCCAAATGTCCACTTGCAGATTCTACAAAAAGAGTGTTTCAAAACTGCTCCTCAAAAGTAAGGTTCAACTTTTTGAGTTTAATACACACATCACATAGAAGCTTCTGAGAATGCTTCCGTCTAGTGTTTATGTTAAGATATTCCTGTTTCCAACGAAGGCTTCAAAGCGGTCGAAATATCCTCTTGCAGATACTACAAAAAGCGTGTTTCAAAACTGCTCCATGAAAAGGTATGTTCAACCCTGTGAGTTGAATGTAAACATCACAAAGAAGTTTCTGAGAACGCTTCTGTCTGGTTTTCGTGTGAAGATGTATCATTTTCTACCGTAGTCCTCAAAGCTCTCCAAATGTGCACTTGCAGATTCTACAAAAAGTGTGTTTCAAAACTGCTGTATCAAAAGAAAGGTTCAACTCTGTGAGTTGAATGCCCACATCACAAACAAGTTTCTTAGGATGCTTCTGTCTAGTGTTTATGTGAAGATATTCCCGTTTCCAACTAAGGCCTCAAAGAAGTCCAAATATCCAATTGCAGATTCTACAAAAAGAGCGTTTCAAAACCGCTCTATGAAAATTTATGTTCAACTCTTTGAGCTGAATGCAAAGATCACAAAGAAGTTTCTGAGAATTCTTCTGTCTCATTTTTATATAAAGATATTTCCTTTTCCACCATTGGCCTCAAACCTCTCCAAATGTCCACATACAGATTCTACAAAAAGAGTGTTTAAAACCTGCTGTATCAAAAGAAGGGATCAACTCTGTGAGATGAATGAACACATCACAAAGAAGTTTCTGAGAATGAGTCTGTCTAGCTTTTATGTGAAAATATTCCCGTTTCCAACAAAGGCCTCAAAGTGGTCCAAATATCCACTTGCAGACCCTAAAAAAAGAGTGATTCAAAACTGCTCTGTCAAAAGAAAGGTTCAACTCTGTGAGATGAATTTACACATCACAAAGAAGTTTCTGAGAATGCTGCTATCTACTCTTTATGTGAAGATAGTCCCATTTCCAACGAAGACCTCAAACAGTTCGAAATATCCACTTGCAGATTGTACTAAAAGATTGTTTCAAAACTGCTCTCATAAGGAATGTCCAACTCTGTGAGTTGAAAGCAAACATCACCAAGAAGTTTCTGAGAATGCTTCTGTCTAGTTTTTATGGGAAGATATTTCCTTTTCCACCGTAGGCCTTAAAGTGCTCCAAATGTCCACTTGCAGATCCTACAAAAAGAGTGTCTCAAACCTGCTCTCTCAAAAGAAAGGTTCAACTCTGTGAGTTGAATACACACAGCACAAATAAGTTTCTGAGAAAGATTCTGTCTAGCGATTATGTGAAGATATTCCCGTTTCCAACAAAGGCTTGTAAGTGGTCCAAATATCCACTTGCAGATTCTACTAAAAGAGTGTTTCTAAACAGCTCTATGATAAGGTATGCTCAACTCTGTGAGTTGAGAACAAACATCACAAAGAAGTTTCTGAGAATGCTTCTGTCTAGTTTTTATGTGAAGATATTTCCTTTCCCACCGTAGGCTTCAAAGCGCTCCAAATGTCCACTTGGAGATTCTGCAAAAAGAGTGTTTCAAAACTGCTCTATCAAAAGAAAGGTTCAACTCTGTGAGATGAAAGCACACATCACAAAGAAGTTTCTGAGAATTCTTCTGTCTGGTTTTTATATAAAGATATTACCTTTTCCACCATAGGCCTCAAAGTTCTCCAAATGTCCGCTTGCAGATTCTACAAAAACAGGGTTTTAAAAATGCTCTATGATAAGGTATGTTCAACTCTGTGAGTTGAATGCACACATCACAAAGAAGTTTCTGAGAATGCTGCTGTCTAGTTTTTATGTGAAGATATTCCCTTTTCCAACGAATGCCTCAAAGCTGTCCAAACAACCACTTGCAGATTCTACTAAAAGGGTGTTTCAAAGCTGCTCTATGATAAAGTATGTCCAACTCCATGAGTTGAATATAAACATCAGAGAAAAGTTTCTGAGAATTCTTCTGTCTAGTTTTTATGTGAAGATATTTCCTTTTCCACCATAGGCCTTAAAGCGCTCAAAGTGTCCACTGGCAGATTCTGAAAAAAGAGTGATTCAAACCTGCTCTATCAAAAGAAAGGTTCAACTCTGCGAGTTCAATGCACAAAGCACAAAGAAGTTTCTGAGAATGCTTCTGTCTAGTGTTTATGTGAAGATATTCCCGTTTCCAATGAAGGCCTTAAAGCTCTCCAAATATCCACTTGCAGATTCTACAAAAAGAGTGTTTTAAAACTGCACTATCAAAAGAAAGGTTCAACTCTGTGAGTTGAATGTACACATCACAAAGAAGTTTCTGAGAATGCTTCTGTCTAGTATTTATGTGAAGATATTCCCGTTTCCAACGAAGGCCCCAAAGCGTTCCAAGTCTCCACTTGCAGATTCTACTAAAAGAGTGTTTCCAAATTGCTTTATGATAAGGTAGGTTCAACTCCGTGAGTTGAAGGCAAGCATCACAAAGAAGTTTCTGAGAATGCTTCTGTCTAGTTTTTATCTGAAGATATTTTCTTTTCCACCATATTCCTTAAATCGCTCCAAATGTCCAATTGCAGAATCCACAAAAAGAGTGTTTCAAACCTGCTCTATCAAAAAAAGGTTCAACTCTCTGAGTTTAATGCACACAGCATGAAGAAGTTTCTGAGAATGCTTTGTCTAGATTTTATGTGAAGATATTTCCTTTTCCACCATAGGCTTCAAAGCTCTCCAAATGTACACTTGCAGATTCTACAAAAAGAGTGTTTCAAAACTGCTCTATCAAAAGAAAGGTTCAACTCTGTGGGTTGAATGCACACATCACATAGAAGTTTCTGGGAATGCATCTGTCTAGTTTTTATGTGAAGATATTCCCGTATCCAACGAAGGCCTCAAAGCAGTCCACATATCCACTTGCAGATTCTGCAAAAAGAGTGTTTCAAAACTGCTCTATCAAAAGAAATGTTCAACTCTGTGAGTTGAATGTACACATCACAAGGAAGTTTCTGGGAATGCTGCTGTCTAGTATTTATGTGAAGATATTCCCGTTTCCAATGAAGGCCTCTAGGCGTTCCAAATATCCACTTGCAGATTCTCCTGAAGGAGTTTTTCAAAAATGCCCTGTGATAAAAGTATATCCAACTCTGTGAGTTGAATGCAAACATCAGAAAGAAGTTTCTGAGAATACTTCTGTCTAGTTTTTATGTGAAGATATTTCCTTTTCCACCATAGGCCTCAAAGCTCTCCAAATGTCCACATGCAGATTCTGCACAAAGAGTGTTGCAAACCTGCTCTATCAAAAGAAAGGTTCAGCTCTGTGAGTTGAATGCAAACATCACGAAGTTTCTGAGAAGGCTTCTATCTAGTATTTCTGTGAAGATACACCCTTTTCCAATGAAGGCCTCAAAGCGGTCGAAATATCCAGTTGCAGATTCTCCAAAAAGAGTGTTTCAAACCTGCTCTATCAAAAGCAAGGTTCAACTCTGTGAGGTGAATGCACACATCACAAAGAAGTTTCTGAGAATGCTTCTGTTTAGTTTTTATGCGAAGATATTTCCTTTTCTACCAGAGGCCTCAAGCTCTTCAAATGTCCAAAAGCAGATTTTACAAAAAGAGTGTTTCAAAACTGCTCTGTCAAAAGGAAGGTTCAACTCTGTGAGTTGGATGGACACATCACAAAGAAGTTTTTGAGAATGCTTCTGTCTACTCTTTATGTGATGATATTCCCGTTTCCAACGAAGGCCTCAAAGCCGTCCAAATATCCACAGGCAAATTCTATGAAAAGAGTGTTTCAAAACTGCTCTATGAAAAGGAAGGTTCAACTCTGTGAGTTGAATGCAAACATCACAAAGAAGTTTCTGAAAATGCTTCTGTCTAGTGTTTATGTGAAGATATACCCGTTTCTAACAAAGGCCTCAAAGCGGTCCAAATATCCACTAGCAGAATCTACAAAAAGAGTGTTTCAAACCTGCTCTATCAAAAGAAAGGTTCAACTCTGTCAATGGAATGCACACATCACTAAGGAGTTTTTGAGAATGCTTCTGTCTAGTGTTTATGTGAAGATATTCACGTTTCCACGAAGGCCTCAAAGCGGTCCAAATATCCACTTGCAAATTCTACTGAAAGAGTGTTTCAACACTGCTCTATGATAAGGTATGTTCAACTCTGTGAGTTGAATGCAAACATCACAAAGAAGTTTCTGAGAATGCTTCCGTCTAGTTTTTATATGAAGACATTTCCTTTTCCAACATAGGCCTCAAACCGCTCCAAATGTCCACTTGCAGATTCTACAAAAAGAGGGTTTTAAACCCGCTCTATCAAAAGAAAGGTTCAACTCTGTGAGTTGAATCCACACAGCGCAAAGAAGTTTCTGAGAAAGCTTCTGTCTAGTGATTATGTGAAGATATTCCCGTTTCCATCGAAGGCCTCAAAGCAGTCCAAATATCCATTTGCAGATTCTACTAAAAGACTGTTTCAAAACTGCTCTATGATAAAGTATGTTCAACTCTGTGAGTTGAATGCAAACATCACAAAATAGTTTTCGAGAATGCTCCTGTCTAGTTTTTATGTGAAGATATTTCCTTTTCCACCCTAGGCCTCAAAGCGCTCCAAATGTACACTTGCTGATTCTGCAAAAAGAGTGTTTCAACCCTGCTCTATGAAAAGGAAGGTTCAACTCTGTGAGTTGAATGCACACATCACTAAGAAGTTTCTGAGAATTCTTCTGTCTAGTGTTTATGTGATGATATTCCCGTTTGCAACGATGGCCTCAAAGTTGTCCAAATATCCCCTTGCAGATTCCTCTATAAGAGTGCTTCAAAACTACTCTATGATAAGGTATGTTCAACTCTGTGAGTTGAATGCACACATCACAAAGTAGTTTCTGAGAATGCTTCTGTCTAGTATTTATGTGAAGCTATTCCCTTTTCCAACGAAGGCCTCAAAGAGGTCCAAATTTCCACTTGCAGATTCTACTAAAAGAGTATTTCAAAACTGCTCTATGATAAAGTCTCTTCAACTCCGTGAGTTGAATGCACACATCACAAAGCAGTTTCTCAGAATGCTTCTGTCTAATTTTTATGTTAAGGTATTTTCTTTCCAACTTTAGGCCTCAAAACGATCCAAATGTCCACTTGTAATTTCTGCAAAAGAGTGTTTCAAACCTGCTCTATCAAAATAAAGGTTAAACTCTGTGAATTTAATGCACACATCACAAAGAAGTTTCTGAGAATGCTTTGGTCTAGTTTTTATGTGAAGATACTCTCCTTTCCAACAAAGGCATGAAAGCGGTTCAATTACCCACATGCAGATACTACTAAAAGAGTGTTTCAAAACTGCTCTGTGATAAAGTTTGTTCAACTCTGAGAGTTGAATGCAAACGTCACAAAGAAGTTTCTGAGAATGCTTCTGTGTAGTTTTTATGAGAAGATATTTCGTTTTCCACCATTGGAATAGAAGCGCTCCAAATGTCCACTTGCAGATCCTGCAAAAAGTGTGTTTCAAACCTGCTCTATGAAAAGGAAGGTTCAACTCGGTGAGTTAAATGCACGCATCACAAAGAAGTTTCTGAGAATGCTTCTGTCTAGTTTTTGTGTGAAGATATTTCCTTTCCCACCATACACCTCAAAGCTCTCCAAATGCACACATGCAGATTCTGCAAAAAGAGTGTTTCAAACGTGCACTATCAAAACAAAAGTTCAACTCTGTGAGTTGAATGCACACATCACAAAGAAGTTTCTGAGAATGCTGCTGTCTAGTTTTTATGTGAAGGTATTCCTGTTTCTAAGGAAGTCCGAAAATCGGTCCAAATATCCACTTGCAGATTCTTCAAAAAGAGTGTTTCAAAACTGCTCTATCATAAGGAATGTTCAACTCTGTGAGTTGAATGCAAACATCACAAAGAAGTTTCATAGAATGCTTCTGTCTAGTTTTTATGAGAAGATATTTCATTTTCCACCATAGGCCTCAAAGCACCCCAAATGTCCAGTTTCAGATTCTACAAAAAGAGTGTTTCAAACCTGCTCTATTAAAAGAAAGGTTCAACTCTGTGAGTTGAAGGCAAACATCACAAAGAAGTTTCTGAGAATGCTTCTGTCTATTTTTTATGGGAAGATATTTCCTTTTCCACCACAGGCCTCAAAGTGCTTTAAATGTCCACGTGCAGATTCTACAAAAAGCGTGTTTGAAACGTGCTCTATCAAAAGAAAGTTTCAACCCTGTGAGTTGAATGCACACATCAGAAAAATTTTCTGAGAATTCTTCTGTCTAGTTTCTATGTGAAGATATTCTCGTTTATAAAGAAGGCCTCAAAGCATTCCAAATATCCACTTGCAGATTCTGCGAAAAGAGTGTTTCAAAACTGCTCTATGGAAAGGAAGTTTCAACTCTGTGAGTTGAATGCACAAATCACAAAGAAGTTTCTGAGAATGCTTCTCTCTAGTTTTTATGTGAAGATATTTCCTTTCCCACCATAGTCCTCAAATTTCTCCAAATGTCCACTTGCAGGTTCTACCAAATGAGTGTTTCAAACCCGCTCTATCAAAAGAAAGGTTCAACTCTGTGAGTTGAATGCACACATCACTAAGAAGTTTCTGAGAATGCTTCTGTCTAGTGTTTATGTGAAGATATTCCCGTTTCCAACGAAGGCCTCACAGAGTTCCAAATATCAACTTGCACATTCCACAAAAAGAGAGTTTCTAAATTGCGCTATGAAGAGGTATGTTCTACTCTGTGAGTTGAATGCAAACATCACAAAGAAGTTTCTGAGAAAGCTACAGTCTAGTCTTTATGTGATGATATTACCTTTTCCACGATAGGAATCAAAGTGCTCCAAATGTCCACTTGCAGATTCTACAAAAAGAGTGTTTCAAACCTGCTCTATATAAAGTTTCAACTCTGTGAGTTTAATGCACACATTACAAAGAAGTTTCTGAGAATGCTTCTGTCTAGTTTTTATGTGAAGATATTTCCGTTTCCCACGTAAGCCTCAAAGCATTCCAAATATCCACTTGCAGATTCTACGAAAAGAGTGTTTCAAAACTGCTCTATGAAAAGATATATTCAACTCTGTGAATTGAATGCAAAGATCACAAAGATGTTTCAGAGAGTTCTTCTGTCTAGTTTTTATATGAAGATATTTCCTTTTCCACCACAGGCCTCAAATCTCTCCAAATGTCCACTTGCAGAATCTACAAAAAGAGTGTTTCAAACCTGCTCTGTCAAAAGAAAAGATCAATTCTGTGAGTTGAATGCACACATCAATAAGAAATTTCTGAGAATGCTTCTGTCTAGTGTTTATGTGAAGATATTCCTGTTTCCAATGAAGACCTCAAAGCGGTCCAAATATCCACTTGCAGGTTCCACTAAAAGAGAGTTTCAAAACTGCTCCATGATAAGGTACGTTCAAATTTGTGAGTTGAATGCACACATCAGAAAGAAGTTTCTGAGAATGCTTCTGTCTAGTGTTTATGTCAAGATATTACCGTTTCCAAAGAAGGTCGCAAAGTGGTCCAAATATCCACATGCAGATTCTTCAAAAAGAGTGTTTCAAAACTGCTCTATCAAAAGAAGGGTACAACTCTGTGAGTTGAATGCACACATCACAAAGAAGTTTCAGAGAATGCTTCTGTCTAGGGTTTATGTGAAGATATTCCCGTTTCCAAAGAAGGCCTTAAAGCGGTCCAAATATCCACTTGCAGATTCTACTAAAAGAGTGTTTCAAAACTGCTCTATAATAAAGCATGTTCAACTCTGTGAATTGAATGCACCCATCAAAAACAGGATTCTGAGAATGATTCTGTCTAGTTTTTATGTGAAGATATTTCCTTTTCCACCATAGGCCTCAAAGCGCACCAAATATCCACTTTTATATTCTGCAAAAACAGTGTTTAACACCTTCTCCAACAAAAGAAAGGTACAACTCTGTGAGTTGAATGCACACATCACAAAGAAGTTTCTGAAATGCTTCTGTGTAGTTTTTATGTGAAGATATTCCCGTTTCTAACGAAGGCCTCAAAGCGGTCCAAATATCCACTTGCAGAATCTACGAAAAGTGTGTTTAAAAAATGCTCTATGAAAAGGAAGGTACACCTCTGTGAGTTGAATGCACACATCTCAAAGACGTTTCTGAGAATGCCTCTGTCTAGTTTTTATGTGATGACATTTCCTTTCCCACTGTAGGCCTCAAATTTCTTCAAATGTCCACTTCCGGATTCTACAAAATGAGTGTTTCAAACGTGCTTTGTCTAAAGGAAGGTTCAACTCTGTGAGTTGAATGCACATATCACAAATTAGTTTCTGAGAATGCTTCTGTCTAGTGTTTAAGTGAAAATACTCCCGTTTCCAACGAAGCCCTCAAAGCGGTCCAAATATCCACATGCAGATTCCATAAAAACAGTGTTTCAAATCTGCTCCATCAAAAGAAAGGTTCTACTCGCTGAGCTGAATGCACACAGCACAAAGAAGTTTCTGAGAAACTTCTGTCTAGTGATTATGTGAAGATATTCCCGTTTCCAATGAAGGCCTCAAAGTGGTCCAAATATCCACTTGCAGATTCCACAAAAAGAGTGTTTCAAACCTGCTCTATCAAAAGCAAGGTTAAATTCTGTGAGTTGAAAGCACACATCACAAAGAAGTTTCTGAGAATGCTTCTCTGTAGCTTTTATGTGAAGATATTTCCTTTTCGACCATAGGCCTCAAAGCTCTCCAAATATCCAATTGCAGATTTTACAAAAAGAGTGTGTCAAAACTGCTCTATCAAAAGCAACGTTCAACTCTGTGAGTTGAATGCACACATCACAAAGAACTTTCTGAGAATGCTTCTGTCTAGTGTTTATGTGAAGATATTCCCGTTTCCAACGGAGGCCTCAAAGCACTCCAAATATCCCCTTGCAAATTCTAGTAAAAGACTCTTTCAAAACTGTTCTATGATAAGGTATGTTCAACTCTGTGAGTTGAATGCAAAGATCATGAACAAGTCTCTGAGAATGCTTCTGTCTAGTTTTTATTTGATGATATTTCCTTTTCCACCATAGGCCACAAAGCTCTCCAAATGTCCACTTGCAAATTCTACAAAAAGAGTGTTTCAAACCTGGTCTATCAAAAGAAATGTTCAACTCTGTGAGTTGAATGCACACATCACAAAGAAGTTCCTGAGAATGCTTCTGTCTAGTTTTTATGTGAAGATATTCCCGTTTCCAACGAAGGCCTCAAAGGGGTCCAAATATCCACTTGCAGATTCTACTCAAAGAGTGTTTCAAAACTGCTCTATGATAAAGTGTGTTCAACTCTGTAAGGGGAACGCAAATATCACAAAGAAGTTTCTGAGAATCCTTCTATTTTTTATTGGAAGATATTTCCTTTTCCACCATAGGCCTCAAAGCTCTCCAAATGTCCACTTGCAGATTCTACAAAAAGAGTGTTTCAAACCTGCTCTATCAAAAGAAACGTTCAACTCTGTGAGTTGAATGCACACATCACAAAGAAGTTTCTCAGAATGCTTCTGTCTAGTGTTTATGTGAAGATACTCCCATTTTCAAAGAAGACCTCAGTGTGGTCCAAATATCCACTTGCAGATTCCACTAAAAGAGGGTTTCAGAACTACTCTATGATAAGTTATGTTCAACTGTGTGACTTGAATGCACACATCACAAAGAAGTTTCTGAGAATGCTTCTGTCTAGTGTTTATGTGAAGTTATACCCATTTCCCACGAACTCCTCAAAGCGGTCCAATTATCCACTTGCAGATACTGTGAAAAGAGTGTTTCAAAACTGGTCTATGAAAATGAAAGTTCAACTCTGTGAGTTTAATGTAAACATCATAAAGAAGTTTCTGAGTATGCTTCTGTCTAGTTTTGATGTGAATATATTTCCTTTCCCACCATAGTCCTCAAAGCTCTCCAAATGTCCACTTGCAGATTCTACAAAATGAGTGTTTCAAACGTGCTCTATCCAATAAACGTTCAACTCTGTGAGTAGAATGCACACATCACAAAGAAGTTTCTGAGAATGCTTCTGTCTAGTGTTTATGTGAAGATATTCCGGTTTCCAACGAAGGCCTCAAAGCGGTACAAATATCCACTTGCAAATTCTACAAAAAGAGTGTTTCAAAATTGCTCTATGAAAAGGTATGTTCAACTCTGTGAGTTGAATGGAAACATCACAACGTAGTTTCTGAGAATTCTTCTGTCTGGTTTTTACATAAAGATTTTTCCGTTTCCACCATGGTCCTTAAAGCTCTCTAAATGACCACTTGTTGATTCTACAAAAACAGTGTTTCAAACATGCTCTATGAAAAGAAAGGCTCAATTCTGTGAGTGGAATGCAGACATCACCAAGAAGTTTCTGAGAATACTTCTGTCTAGTTTTTATATGAATATATTCCCGTTTCCAAAGAAGGCCTCAAAGTGGTCCAAATATCCACTGGGAAATTCTACTAAAACACTGTTTCAAAACTGCTCTATGATAAGGTGTGTTAAACTCTGTGAGTTGAATGCAAACATCACAAAGGAGTTCCTGAGAATGCTTCTGTCTAGAATTTATGTGAAGATATTTGTTTTTCAACCATAGCACTCAAAGTGCTCCAATTGTCCACTTGCATATTATTCAAAAAGAGTGTTTCAAACCTGCTCTATCAAAAGAAAGGTTCAACTCTGTGTGTTGAATGCACACATCAAAAAGAAGTTTCTGAGAATGTTTCTGTCTAGTGTTTATGTGAAGATGTTCCCGTTTCCAACCAAGGCCTCAAAGCATTCCAAATATCCACTTGCAGATTCTACTAAAAGAGTGTTTCAAAACTGCTCTATGATAAGGTACGTTGAACTCTGTGAGTTGAAGGCAAATATCACAAAGAAGTTTCTGGGAATGTTTCTGTCTAGTTTTTAAGGGAAGATACTTCCTTTTCCACCATAGGCCTCAAAGCGGTCCAAATATCCACTTGCAGATTCTACAAAAACTGTGTGTGAAACCTGCTTTATGAAAAGAAAGGTTCAACTCTGTGAGTTGAATGCACACATCACAAAGAAGTTTCTGAGAATGCTTCTGTCTGGTTTTTATATAAAGATATTTCCTTTTCCACCATAGGCCTCAAAGCTCTCCAAATGTCCACTTGCGGATTCTATAAAAAGAGTGTTTCGAACCTGCTCTATCAAAAGAAATTTTCAACTCTGTGAGTTGAATGCCCACATCACAAAGGAATTTCTGAGAATGCTTCTGTCTAGTTTTTAGGTGAAGACATTTCCTTTTCTACCATAGGCCTCAAAGCTCTCCAAATGTGCAGTTGCAGATTTTACAAAAAGAGTGTTTCAAAACTGCTCTTTCAAAAGAAAGGTTTAACTCTGTGAGTTAAATGCAGACATCACAAAGAAGTTTCTGAGAATGTTTCTGTCTAGTTTTTATGTGACGATATTTTCTTTTCCACCAGAGGCCCCAAAGCGCTCCAAATGTCCACTTGCAGATACTACAAAGAGAGTGTTTCAAACCTGCTCTATCAAAGGAAAGGTTCAACTCTGTGAGTTGAATGCATGCATCAGAAAGTAGTTTCTGAGAATGCTTCTCTCTAGTGTTTATGTGAGGATATTCCCATTTCCAACGAAGGCCTCAAAGCGGTCGAAATATCCACTTGCAGATTCTACAAAAAGAGTGTTTCTAAACTGCTCCATGAAAAGGTATGTTCAACTCTGAGAGTTGAATGCAAACATCACAAAGAAGTTTCTGAGAATTCTTCTGTCTATTTTTTGTGTGAAGATATTTCTTTTCCACCATAGTCCTCAAAGCTCTCCAAATGTCCACTTTCAGATTCTACAAAAAGAGTGTTTCAAACCTGCTCTATCAAAAGAAAGTTTCAACTCTGTGAGTTGAATACACCCATCACAAAGAAGTTTCTCAGAATGCTTCCATGTAGTTTTTATGTGGAGATATTTTTTTTCTGCCATAGGCCTCAAAGCTCTCCAAATGTCCACTTGTATATTCTACCAAAAGTGTGTTTGAAAACTGCTCTATGAAAAGAAAGATTCAACTCTGTTAGTTGAATGCAAACATCACAAAGAAGTTTCTGAGAAAGTTTCTGTCTAGTTTTTATGTGAAGATATTTCGTTTTCCACCATAAGCCTCAAAGCGCTCCGAATGTCCACTTGCAGATTCTACAAAAAGAGTGTTTCAAACCTGCTCTATCAAAAGAAAGGTTCAACTCTGTGAGTTGAATGCACACAGCACAAAGAAGTTTCTGAGAATGCTTCTGTCTAGTTTTTATGTAAAGACATTTCCTTTTCTACCATAGGCCTCAAAGCTCTCCAAATGTCCAATTGCAGATTTTACAAAAAGTGTGTTTCAAAGCTGTTCTATCAAAAAAAAGTTTCAACTCTGTGAGTTAAATGCACACATTACAAAGGGGTTTCTGAGAATGCTTCTTTCCACGTTTTATATGAAGATATTTCCTTTTCCACCATAGACCTCAAAGCGCTCCAAATGTCCACTTGCAGATTCTACAAAAAGAGTGTGTCAAAGCTGCTCTATCAAAAGAAAGTTTCAAATCTGTATGTTCAATCCACACAGCACAAAGATGTTTCTGAGAAAGCATCTGTCTAGTGATTATGTGAAGATACTCCAGTTTCCAAGGAAGGCCTCAAAGCTGTCCAAATCTCCACCTGCAGATTCTACTAAAAGAGTGTTTCAAAACTCTTCTAAGATAAAGTCTGTTCAACTCCATGAGTTGAATGCACACATCACAAAGTAGTCTTAGAGAATGCTTCTGTATACTTTTTATGTGAAGATATTTCCTTTTCCACCATAGGCCTCAAAGCACTCCAAATGTTCACTTCCAGATTTTAAAGACAGAGTGTTTCCAAACCGGTCAATCAAAAAAAAAGGTTGAACTCTGTGAGATGAACACATGCATCAAAAAGAAGTTTCTCAGAATTCTTCTGTCTAGTTTTTATGTGAAGATATTTCCTTTTCTACCACAGGCCACAAAGCGCTCCAAGTGTCCAATTGCAGATTCTACAAAAAGAGATTTTCAAAACTCCTCAACCAAAGAACATTTTAACTCTGTGAGACAAATGCACACATCACAAAGAAGTTTCTCAGATTACTTCTGTCTAGATTTTATGTGAAGATATTTCCTTTTCTACCGCAGGCCGCAAAGCTCTCCAAATGTCCACTTGCAGATTCAACAAAAAGAATGTTTCCAAACTGCTCAAACAATTGAAATTATCAACTCTGTGAGATGAACGCATGCATCACAAAGAGGTTTCTCAGAATTCTTCTGTCTAGTTTTTATGTGAAGATATTTCCTTTTCCACCATAGGCCTCAAAGTGCTCCAAGTGTCCACTTCCAGATTCTACAAAAAGTGTTTCCAAACTGCTCAATCAAAAGAGGTTTAAATCTGTGAGATGAATGCACACATCACAAAGAAGTTTCTTAGATTGCTTCTGTCTAGATTTTTTGTGAGGATATTCCTTTTCTACCATAGGCTGCAAAGCGCTTCAAATGTCCACTTGCAGATACTACAAAAATAGTGTTTCCAAACAGCTCAATCAAATGAAAATATCAACTCTGTGAGATGAACCCACACATCACAAACTGCTTTCTCAGAATTCTTCTGTCTAGTTTTTATGGGAAGATAGTTCCTTTTCCACCATAGGCCTCAAAGCTCTCCAAATGTCCACTTGCAGATCCTACTAAAAGAGAATTTCAAAACTGCTAAATCAAAAGAAAGTTTTAACTCTGTGAGAAGAATGCACACATCACAAAGTAGTTTCTCAGATTGCTCCTGTCTAGATTTTACATGAAGATATTACCTTCTCTACCATAGTCCACAAAGCGCTACAAATGTCCACATTCAGATTCTACTAAAAGTGTTTTTGCAACTGCTCTATAAAAAGAAAGGTTCAACTCTGTGAGATGAAGGCACACATCACAAAGGAGTTTCTCAGAATTCTTCTGTCTATTTTTTATGTGAAGATATTTCCTTTTCCACCATAGGCCTCAAAGTGCTCCAAATGTCCACTTCCAGATTCTACAAAAAGAGTGTTTCCAAACTGCTCAATCAAAAGAAAGGTTTAAATCTGTGAGATGAATGCACACATCACAAAGAAGTTTCTCAGATTGCTTCTTTCTAGATTTTAAGTGAAGATGTTTCCTTTTCTACCATACCCGCAAGGCGCTCCAAATGTCCACTTGCAGATTCTACAAAAAGAGAGTTTCAAAACTGCTCAATAAAAGAAATCTTTAACTCTGTGAAATGAATGAACACATCACAAAGAACTTTCTCAGGTTGCTTCTTTCTAGATTTTAAGTGAAGATATTTCCTTTCCTACCACAGCCCGCAAAGCACTCCAAACGTTCACTTGTAGATACTACAAAAAGAGTGTTTCCAATCTGCTGAATCAAAAGAAAGTTTCAACTCTGTGAGATGAACGCACGCATCACAAAGAAGTTTCTCAGTATTCTTCTGTCTAGTTTTTCTGTGAAGATATTTCCTTTTCCACCATATGCCTCAAAGCGCTCCAAATGTCCACTTGCAGATTATACAAAAAGAGAGTTTCAAAACTGCTCAGTCGAAAGAATGATTAACTCTGTGAGATGAATGCACACATCACAAAGAAATTTCTCAGATTCCTTCTGTCTAGATTTTATGTGAAGATATTTCCTTTTGTACCATAGGCCACAAAGAACTCCAAATGTCCACTTGCAGAATCTACAAAAAGAGTTGTTTCCAAACTGCGCAATCAAAAGAAAGGTTCAACTCTGTGAGTTGAACACTCACATCACAAAGAGGTTTCTAATAATTCTTCTGTCTAGTTTTTATGTGAAGATATTTCCTTTTCCACCATAGGTTGCAAAGCGCTCCAAATGTCCACTTGCAGATTCTACAGAAAGAATGTTTCCAACAGCTCAATGAAAAGAAACGTTCAACTCTGTGAGATGAATGCACACATCACAAAGAAGTTTCTCAGAATTCTGTCTAGTTTTTATGTGAAGATATTTCCTTTTCCACCATTGAACTCAAAGCACTGCAAATGTCCACTTGCAGATCCTACAAAAAAAGAGTTTCCAAACTGCTCAATCAAAAGAAAATTTTAACTCTGTGAGATGAAAGCACACAACACACAGAAGTTTCTGAGATTGATTCTGTCTAGATTTTATGTGAAGATATTTCCTGTTCTTCCATAGGCCACAAAGCCCTCCAAATGTCCACTTGCAGATTCGACAAAAAGAGTGGTTGCAAACTGCTTAATCAAAAGAAAGTTTCAACTCTGTGAGATTAATGCACGCATCACAAAGAAGTTTCTCAGAATTCTTCTCTCTGGTTTTTATGGGAAGATATTTCCTTTTCCACCATTGGACTCAAAGGGCTCCAAATGTCCACTTGCAGATTTTACAAAAACAGAGTTTCAATACTCTTCAATCAAAAGAAAGTTTTAACTCTCTGGGATGAATGCACATATCACAAAGATGCTTCTCAGATTGCTTCTGTCAAGATTTTATATGAAGATATTTCCTTTTCTACCATAGGGCGCAAAGCACTCCAAATGTCCAGTTGCAGATTCTACAAAAAGAGTTTCAAAACTGCTAAATCAAAAGAAACTTTTAATTCTGTGGGATCAATGCACACATCACAAAGAAGTTTCTCAGATTGCTTCTGTCTAGATTTTATGTGAAGATATTTCCTTTTCTACCATTGGCTGCAAAGCTCTCCAAATGTCCACTTGCAGATTCTACAAAAAGAGTGTTTCCAAACTGCTCAATCTAAGGAAAGTTTCAACTCTGTGAGATGAACGCAGACATCTCAAAGAAGTTTCTCAGAATTCTTCTGTCTAGTTTTTATATGAAGATATTAACTTTTCCACCACATGCATCAAATCACTCCAAATGTCCACTTGCAGATTCTACAAAAAGAGAATTTCAAATCTGCTCTATCAAAAGAAAGCTTTACCTCTTTGAGATGAATGCACACATCACAAAGAAGTTTCTCAGATTGCTTCTGTCTACAATTTATGTGAAGATATTTCCTGTTCTAACATAGGCCTCAGAGCGCACCAAATGTCCACTTGCAGATTCTACCAAAAGAGTGTTTCCAAACCGCTCATTCAAAGAAATGTTCAACTTTCTAGATGGATGCACACATCATAAAGAACTTTCTCAGAATTCTTCTTTCTAGTTTTTATGTGAAGATATTTCCTTTTGTACCGTAGACTCGAAGGCACTCGAAAGGTCCACTTGCAGATTCTACAAAAGGAGTATTTCAAAACTGGTCCTTCAAAGGAATGTTCAAATCTGGGGGTTGAATGCACACATCACAAAGTAGTTTCTCAGAATGCTTCTATGTACTTTTTATGGGAAGATATTTCATTTTTCACCATAGGCCTGAACGCCCTTCAAATGTCCACTTAGAGATTATACAAAAAGGGAGTTTTAAAACTGCTCTATCAAAAGAAAGGTTTCAATCCGTTAGATGAATGCACACATCACAAAGATGTTTCTAAAAATGCTTCTATCTATTTTTTATGTGAAGATATTTCCTTTTCCACCGTAGGCCTCAAAGCGCTCCAAATGTCCACTTGTAGATTCTACAAAAAGAGAGTTTCAAGACTGCTCAATCAAAAGAAACGTTTAACTCTGTGAGATGAATGCACACATCATAAAGAAGGTTTTCAGATTACTTCTGTCTACGTCTTATGTGAAGATATTTCCTTTTCCACCATAGGCTGCAAAGAGCTCCAAATGTCCACTTGCAGAGTCTTCAAAAAGAGTGTTTCCAAACTGCTCCATCAAAAGAAATGTTCAACTTCATGAGCTGAATGCACACATCACAAAGAAGTTTGTCAGAATTCTTCTGTCTAGTTTTTATGTGAAGATAATTCCTTTTCCACCATAGGCCTCAAAGCCTTCAAAATGTCCACTTGCAGATTCTACAAAAAGAGAGTTTCCAAAGTGCTCAGTCAAAAGAAAGGTTTACTCTGTGAGATGAATGCACACACCACAAAGAAGTTTGTCATATTGCTTTTATCTAGATTTTATGTGAAGATATTTTCTTTTCTACCATAGGCCACAACGCGCTCCAAATGTCCAGTTGCAAATTCTACAAAAAGAGTCTTCCCAAACTGCTCAATCAAAAGTAAAGTTCAACTCTGTGATATGAACACACACATCACAAAGTAGTTTCTCAGAATTCTGCTGTCTAGTTTTTATGTGAAGATATTTCCTTTTCCATCATAGGCCTCATAGCGCTCCAAATGTCCACTTGCAGATTTTACCAAAAGGGAGTTTCAAGACAGCTCCATCAAAAGAAAGTTTTAATTCTGTGAGATGCATGCACACATCACAAAGAAGTTTCTCAGATTGCTTCTGTCTAGATTTTATTTTAATATATATCCTTTTCTAACGTAGGCCGCAAAGTGCTCCAAATGTCCACTTGCAGATTCTACAAAAAGAGTGATTCCAAACTGCTTAATCAAAAGAAAGGTTCAACTCTGAGAGATGAATGCACACATCACAAAGAAGTTTCTCAGAATTATTCTGTCTAGTTTTTATCTGAAGATGTTTCCTTTTCCACCACAGGCCTCAAAGCGCTCCAAATGTACACTTGCAAATTCTACAAAAAGAGGGTTTCAAAACTGCTTAATCAAAAGAAATGTTTAACTCTCTGAGATGAATGCACACATCATAAAGTAGTTTGTCAGACTGCTTTTATCTAGATTTTCTGTGAAGATATTTCCTTTTCTACCAGAGGTCACAAAGTGCTCCAAATGTCCGCTTGCAGATTCTACAAAAAGAGTACTTCCAAACTGCTCAATCAAAAGAAAGGTTCAACTCTGTGAGATGTAAGCACACATCACAAAGAAGTTTCTCAGAATTTTTCTGTCTAGTTTCTATGTAAAAATATTTACTTTTCCACCGTAGGCCTCAAAGGGCTCCAAATGTCCACTTGCAGATTTTACAAAAAGAGAGTTTCAAGACAGCTCAATCAAAAGAAAGTTTTAACTCTGTGAGATGAATGCACACATCACAAAGAAGTTTCTCAGATTCATTCTATCTAGATTTTATGGGAATATATTTCCTTTTCTAACATAGGCTGCAAAGCGCTCCAAATGTCCACTTGCAGATTCCACAAAAAGAGTGTTTCCAAACTGCTTAATCAAAAGAAAGGTTCAACTCTGTGAGATAAACGCATGCATCACAAAGAAGCTTCTCCGAATTCTTCTATGTAGTTTTGATGTGAAAATATTTCCTTTCCCTCCACAGGCCTCAAAGGGCTCCAAATGTTAACTTGCAGATTCTACAAAAAGAGAGATTCAAAACTGCTCAATCAAAACAAAGGCTTAACTCTGTGAGATCAGTGCACACATCACAAAGAAGTTTCTAAGAAAGCTTCTGTCTAGTTTCTATGTGAAGATATTTCCTTTTCCACCATAAGCCTCAAAGCGCTCCAAATGTCCACTTCCACATTCAACAAAAAGAGAGTTTCAAAACTGCTCAATCAAAAGTAAGAGTTAACCCTGTGAGATGAATGCACACATCCCAAGGAAGTTTCTCACATTGCTTCTGTGTAGGTTTTATGTGAGGATATTTCCTTTTCTAACTTAGGCTGCAAAGTGCTTCAAATGCCCACTTACAGAATCTACAAAAAGAGTGCTTCCATAATTCTTAATCAAAAGAAAGGTTCAACTCTGTGAGATGAACGCACACATCACAAAGAAGTTTCTCAGAATTCTTCTGTCTAGTTTTTATGTGAAGATATTTCCTTTTCCACCATAGGCCTCAAAGCACTCCAAATGTTCACTTGCAGATTCTACAAAAAAAGAGTTTCAAAACTGCTCAATCAAAAGAATGCTTTAACTCTGTGAGATGAATGCACACATCACAAAGAGGTTTCTCACATTGGTTCTGTCTATATTTCATGTGAAGATATTTCCTTTTATAACATAGGCAACAAAGCACTCCAATAGTCCACTTGCAGATTCTACAAACAGAGTGTCTGCAAACTGCTCAATCAAAAGGAAGTTTTAACTCTGTGAGAAGAACGCACACATCACAAAGAAGTTTCTCAGAATTCTTCTGTCTAGTTTTTATGTGAAGATATTTCCTTTCCCACTGTAGGCCTCAAAGCACTCAAAATGTCCACTTGCAGATTCTACAAAAAGAGAGCTTCAAAACTACTCAACCAAAAGAAAGGTTTAACTCTCTGAGATGAATGCACACATCACAAAGAAGTTTCTGAGATTGCTTCTGTCTAGATTTTATGTGAAGATATTTCCTTTTCTACCATAGGCAATAAAGCACTCCAATAGTCCACTTGCAGATTCTACAAAAAGAATGTTTCTAAACTGCTCAATCAAAAGGAAGGTTCAACTTTGTGAGATAAACGCATACGTCACAAAGGAGATTCTCAGAACTCTTCTGTCAAGTTTTTATGTGAAGATATTTCCTTTTCCACCATAGGCCTCAAAATGATCCAAATGTCCACTTGCAAATTCTACAAAAACAGAGTTTCAAAACTGCTCAGTCAAAAGAAAGTTTGAACTCTGTGAGATGAATGCACACATGCCAAAGAAGTTTCTCAGATTCCTTCTGTCTAGATTTTTGTGAAGATATTACCTTTTCTACCATAGTCCGCATAGCACTGCAAATGTCCACTTGCAGAATCTCCAACAAGAGTGTTTCCAAACTGCTGAATCAAAAGAAAGTTTCAACTATTTGAGTTGAAGGCACACATCACAAAGAAGATTCTGAGAATTCTTCTGTCTAGTTTTTATGTGAAGATATTTCCTTTTCCGCTATAGGCCCAAAAGCGCTACAAATGTCCACTAGCGGATTCTACAAAAAGAGTGTCTCAGAACTTCTCAATCAAAAGAAAGGTTTAACTCTGTGAGTTGAATGTACAGATCACAAAGAAGTTTCTGAGAATGCTGCTGTCTAGATTTTATGTGAAGATATTCCCGTTTCCAAGGAGGGCCTCAAGGGGTACCTAATATCCACTTGCAGATTCTACTAAAGGAGTGTTTCAAAACGACTCTATGATAAGGTATGTTCCACTCTGTGAGTTGAAGGCAAACATCAAAAAGAAGTTCCTGAGAATGCTTCTCTCTAGTTTAGATGGGAAGATATTTCCTTTTCCACTATAGGCCTCAAAGTGTTCCAAGTGTCCACTTGCAGATTCTACAAAAAGAGTGTTTCAAAACTGCTCTATCAAAAGAAAGTTTCAACTCTGTGAAGTGAATGCACAGATTACAAACAAGTTTCTGAGAATGCTTCTGTCTAGTTTTTATGTGAAGATATTCCTGTTTCCAACGAAGGCCTCAAAGCAGTCCAAATATCCACTAGCATATTCTGCAAAAAGAGTGTTTCAAAACTGCCCCATGAAAATGAATATTCAACTCTGTGAGTAGAATGCAAACATCACAAAGAAGTTTCTGAGAATGCTTCTGCCTAGTTTTTATGTGAAGATATTTTCTTTCCCACCATAGGCCTCAAAGCACTCCAAATGTCCACTTACAGATTCTACAAAAAGAGTGCTTCAAACCTGCTCTATCAAAAGAAAGGTTCAACTCTGTGAGTTGAATGCAAACATCACAAAGAAGTTTCTGAGAATGCTTCTGTCTAGATTTTATGTGAAGATATTTCCTTTTCTAACTTAGGCTGCAAAGCGCTTCAAATGTCCACTTACAGAATCTACAAAAAGAGCTTTTCCATAATTCTCAATCAAAAGAAAGGTTCAACTCTGTGAGATGAATGCACACATCACAAAGAAGTTTCTCAGAATTCTTCTCTCTAGTTTTTATGTGAAGATATTTCCTTTTCCACCATAAGCCTCAAAGCACTCCAAATATCCACTTGTAGATTCTACAAAAAAAGAGGTTCAAAACTCCTCGATCAAAAGAAAGGTTTAACTCTGTGAGATGAATACACACATCACAAAGAGGTTTCTCACATTGGTTCTGTCTAGATTTTATGTGAAGATATTTCCTTTTATAACATAGGTCGCAAAGCGCTCCTAATGCCCACTTGCAGATTCTACAAAAAGAGTGTCTGTAAACTGCTCAATCAAAAGGAAGTTTCAACTCTGTGAGAAGAACGCACACATCACAAAGAAGTTTCTCAGAATTCCTCTGTCTAGTTTTTGTGTGAAGATATTTCCTTTCCCACCATAGGCCTCAAAGCGCTCCAAATGTCCACTTGCAGATTCTACAAAAAGAGTGTTTCAAACCTGCTCTGTCAAAAGAAAGGTTCAACTCAGTGAGTTGAATGCACACAGCACAAAGAAGTTTCTGAGAAATCTTCCGTCTAGTGATTATGTGAAGATATTCCCGTTTCCAACGAAGGCCTCTAACCGGTCGAATTAAACACGTGCAGATTCTACTAAAAGAGTGTTTCAAAACTGCTCTATGATAACGTTTGTTCAACTCTGTGAGTTGAAGGCAAACATCACAAAGAAGTTTCTGAGAATGCTTCTGTCGTTTTCATGGGAAGATATTTTCTTTTCCACTATAGGTATCAAATCGCTCAAATGTCCACTTGCAGAGTCTACAAAAAGACGGTTTTAAACCTGTTCTGTGAAAAGAAAGTTTCAACTCTGTGAGTTGAATGCACACAGCACAAAGAAGTTTCTGAGAAAGCTTCTATCTAGTGTTTATGTGAAGATATTCCCGTTTCCAAGGAATACCTCAAAGCGGTCCAAATATCCACTTGCAGATTCTACTAAAAGAGTGACTCAAAACTGCTCTATGGTAAAGTATTTTCAACTCTGTGAGTTGAATGCAAACATCACAAAGACGTTTCTGAGAATGCTTCTGTCTAGTTTTTCCGTGAAGATATTTCCTTTTCCACTATAGGCCTCAAAGCGTTCCAAATGTCCACTTGCAGATTCTGCAAAAAGAGTGTTTCAAACCTGCTCTATCAAAAGAAAGGTTCAACTCTGTGAGTTGAATGCACACATCACAAAGAAGTTTCTGAGAATTCTTCTGTCTAGTTTTTCTGCGAAGATACTTCCTTTTACACCCATTGGCCTCAAAGTTCCCCAAATGTCCCCTTGCAGATTATACAAAAAGAATGTTTCAAAACAGCTCTATCAAAAGAAACGTTCAACGATGTGAGTTGAATGCACACATCACAAAGAAGCTTCTGAGAATGCCTCTGTCTGGTTCTTATGTGAAGATATTTCTTTTTCACAATAGGCATCAAAGCTCTCCAAATGTCCAGTTGCAGATTCTACAAAAAGAGTGTTTCAAAACTGATCTATCAAAAGAAAGGGTCAACTCTGTGAGTTGAATGCACACATCACAAAGAAGTTTCTGAGAATGCATCTGTCTAGTTTTTATGTGAAGACATTCCCGTTTCCAACGAAGGCCTCAAAGCAGTCCAAATATCCACTAGGAGATTCTACAACAACAATCTGTCCAAACTGCTGCATGAAAACGTGTGTTCAACTCTGTGAGTTGAATGCAAACATCACAAAGAAGTTTCTGAGAATGCTTCTGTCTAGTTTTTATGTGAAGATATTTCCTCTTCCACCATAGGCCTCAAAGCCTTCCAAAGGTTCACTTGCAGATTCTACAAAAAGAGTCTTTCAAACTTGGTCTATCAAAAGAAAGGTTCAACTCTGTGAATTGAATGCACACGTCAGAAAGAAGTTTCTGAGAATGCTTCTGTCTAGTGTTTATGTGAAGATATTCCCTTTTCCTACGAAGGCTTCAAATCGGTCCAAATATCTACTTGCAGTTTATACAAAAAGAGTGTTTCAAAACTGCTCTATGAAAAGGAAGGTTCAACTCTGTGAGTTGAATGCAAACATCACAAAGAAGTTTCTGAGAATGCTTCTATCTAGTTTTTATGTGAAGATATATCCGTTTCCACCGTAGGCCTCAAAGCTCTGCAAATGTCCACATGCAGATACTGCAAAAAGAGTGTTTCAAATCTGCTCTATCAAAACAAAGGTTCAAGTATGTGAGTTGAATGCACACATCACAAAGAAGTTTCTGAGAATGCTTCTGTCTAGATTTTATGTGAAGATATTTCCTTTACCACCATAGGCCTCAAAGCTCTCCAAATGTCCACTTGCAGATTCAACAAAAAGAGTGTTTCAAAACTGCCCTATCAAACGAAAGGTTCAACTCTGTGAGATGAATGCACACACCACAAAGAAGTTTCTGAGAATCCTTCTGTCTAGTTTTTATGTGAAGTTATTCCCGTTTCCAATGAAGGCCTCAATGCGGTCCAAATATCCACTTGCAGATTGTACAAAAACAGTGCTTCAAAACTGCTCCATGAAAAGCCATGTTCAACTCTGTGAGCTGAATGCAAACATCACAAAGAAGTTTCTGAGAATGCTTTCTCTAGTTTTTATGTGAAGATATTTCCTTTTCCACCATAGGCCTCAAAGCGCTCCAAGAGTCCACTTGCAGATTCTACAAAAAGAGTGTTTCAAACCTATTCTATCAAAAGAAAGGTTCAACTCTGTGAATTGAATGCACACATCACAAAGAAGTTAAAGAAAATGCTTCTGTCTAGTTTTTATGAGAAGATATTCCCATTTCCAATGAAGGACTCTAAGCGGTCCAAATATCCACTTGCAGATTCCACTAAAAGAGTGTTTCATAACTGCTCTATGATAAAGTATGTCCAACTCTGTGAGTTGAATGCAGACATCACAAATAAGTTTCTGAAAATGCTTCTGTCTAGTTTTTATGTGAAGATACTTCCTTTTCCAACATAGGCCTCAAAGGGCTCCAAATGTCCACTTGCAGATTCTGCAAAAAGAGTGTTTCAAACCTGCTCTATCAAAAGAAAGGTTCAACTCTGTGAGTTGAATGCACACATCACCATCACAAAGAAGTTTCTGAGAATGCTATTGTCTAGTTTTTATGCGAAGATATTTCCTTTTCCACCATACGCCTCAAAGCGCTCCAACTGTCCACTTGCAGATTCTACAAAAAGAGTGTTTGAAACCTGTTCTATCAAAAGAAAGGTTCAACTCTGTGAGTTGAATGCACACAGCCAAAGAAGTTTCGGAGAAAACTTCTGTCTAGTGTTTATGTGAAGATGTTCCCGTTTCCAACGAAGGCCTCAACGCGTTCCAAATATCCACTTGTAGACTCTACAAAAAGAGTGTTTCAAAACTGTTCTATCAAAAGAAAGTTTCAACTCTATGAGTTGAATGTACACATCACAAGAAGTTTCTGAGGATGCTGCTGTCTAGTTTTTATGTGAAGATATTCCCATTTCCAACAAAGCCTTCAAAGCGATCCAAATATCCACTTGCAGATTCTACTAAAAGAGTGTTTCAAAACTGCTCTATCATAAGGTATGTTCAACTCCGTGAGTTGAAGGCAAACATCACAAAGAAGTTTCTGAGAATTCTTCTCTCTAGTTTTTATGGGAAGATATTTGTTTTTCCACCATAGGCCTCAAAGCGCTCCAAATGTCCACTTGCAGATTCTACAAAAAAGTGTTTCAAACCTGCTCTATCAAAAGAAAGGATCAACTCTGTGAGTTGAATGCACACAGAACAAAGAAGTTTCGGAGAAAGCTTCTGTCTAGTGATTATGTGAAGATATCCCCGTTTCCAACGAAGGCCTCAAAGCGGTCCAAATATCCACTTGCAGAGTCTACTAAAAGAGTATTTCAAAACTGCTCTATTATTAAGTATGTTCAAGTCTCTGAGTTGAATGCAAACAGCACATAGAAGTTTCTAAGAATGCTTCTGTCTAGTTTTTATGTGAAGATATTTCCTTTTCCACCATAGGCTTCAAAGCACTCCAAATGTCCACTTCCAGATTCTGCAAAGAGTGTTTCAAACCTGCTCTATCAAAAGAAAGGTTTAACTCTGTGAGTGGAATGCACACATCACAAAGATGTTTCTGAGAATTCTTCTGTCTACTTTTTATGTGACGATATTTCCCTTTCCACCATTGACCTCAAAGCACTTTAAATGTCCAGTTACAGATTCTACAAAAGTGTGTTTCAAACCTGCTCTATGAAAAGTAAGGTTCAATTCTGTGATTTTAATGCACACAAGACAAAGAAGTTTCAGAGAAAGCTTCTGTCTAGTGATTATGTGAAGATATTCCCGTTTCCATAGAATGCCTCAAAGCGGTCCAAATATCCATTGCAGATTCTACAAAAAAAGTGTTTCAAAAGTGCTCTATGAAAAGGAAGTTTCAGCTCTGTGAGTTGAATGCAAACATCACTAAGAAGTTTCTGAGAATGCTTCTGTCTAGTTTTTATGTGAAGATATTTCTTTTTGCACCACAGGCCTCAAAGCTCTCCAAATGTCCATTTGTACATTCTATAAAGTGAGTGTTTCAAACCTGCTCTTTGAAAAGAAAGTTTCAACTCTGTGAGTTGAATGCACGCATCAAGAAGAAGATTATGAGAATGCTTCTGTTGAATGTTTATGTGAAGATATTCCCATTTCCAACGAAGACCTCTAAGAGGTCCAAATATCCACTTGCAGATTCTACTAAAAGAGTGTTTCAAAACTGCTCAATGATAAAGTATGTCCAATTCTGTGAGTTAATGCAAATATCGCAAATAATTTCTGAGAATGCTTCTGTCTAGTTTTTATGTGAAGATATTTCCTTTTCAACCATAGGCCTCAAAGCGCTTCAAATGTCCACTTGTAGATTCTGCAAAAAGTGTGTTTCAAAACTGCTCTACCAAAAGAAAGGTTCATCTCTGTGAGTTGAATGCACACATCATACAGAAGTTTCTGAGAATGCTGCCGTCTAGTTTTTATGTGAAGATATTCCCGTTTGCAACGAAGGCCTCAAAGCGTTCCAAATTATCCACTTGCAGACTCTACTAAAAGAGTGTTTCAAAACTGCTCTATAAGATATCTCCCACTCTGTGAGTTGAAGGCAAACATCACAAAGAAGTTTCTGAATGCTTCTCTCTAGTTTTTATGGGAAGATATTTCTTTTTCCACCATAGGCCTCAAAGTGCTCCAAATGTCCATTGCAGATGCTACAGAAAGAGTGTCTCAAACCTGCTCTTTCAAAAGAAAGCTTCAACTCTGTCAGTTGAATGCACACATCAGAAAGAAGATTCTGAGAATGCTTCTGACTAGTTTTTATGTGAAGATATTTCCTTTTCCACCATAGGCCCCAAAGGGTTCCAAATGTCCACTAGCATATTCTGCAAAAAGAGTGTTTCAAACCTGCTCTATCAAAAGAAAGGTTCAACTCTGTGAGTTGAATGCACACATCACACAGAAGTTTCTGAGAATTCTTCTGTCTAGTGCTTATGTAAATATCTTCCCGCTTCCAACGAAGGCCTCAAAGCGGTCCAAATATCCTCTTGCCGATTCTAAAAAAAGAGTGTTTCAAACATGCCCTATCAAAAGAAAGGTTCAACTCTGTGCATTGAATGTACACATCACAAAGAAGTTTCTGAGAATGCTCCTGTCTAGTTTTTATGTGAAGATATTCTCGTTTCCAACGAAGGCCTCAAAGTGTTCCAAATATCCACTTGCAGATTCTACTAAAGAGTGTTTCAAAACTGCTCTATGATAAAGTATTTTCAACTCTGTGAGTTGAAGGCAAACATCGCAAATGACTTTCTGAGAATGCTTCCGTCTAGTTTTTATGGGAAGATATTTCCTTTTCCACCGTAGGCCTGAAAGCGCTCCGAATGTCCACTTGCAGATTCTGCAAAAAGAGTGTTTCAAACCTGCTCTATCAAAAGAAAGCTTCAAGTCTGTGAGTTGAATGTACACATCACAAGGAAGTTTCTGAGAATGCTTCTGTCTAGTGTTTATGTGAAGATATAACCGATTCCAACGAAGGCCTCAAAGCTCTCCAAATTTCCACTTGCAGTTTCTGCAAAAAGAGTGTTTCAAAACTGCTCTGTGAAATGGTATGTTCAACTCTGTGAGTTGAATACAAACATCACAAAGAAGTTTCTGAGAATCCTTCTGTCTAGTTTCTATGGGAAGATATTTCCTTTTCCACCTTAGGCCTCAAAGCGCTCCAAATGTCCACTTGCAGATTCTACAAAGAGTGTTTCAAACCTGCTCTCTCAAAAGAAAGTTTCAACTCTGTGAGTTGAAGGCACACATCACAAAGAAGTTTGTGAGAATGCTTCTGTCTAGTGTTTATGTGAATATATTTCCGTTTCAAATGAAGGCCTCAAAGCAGTAGAAATATCCACTTGCAAATTCTCCAAACGACTGTTTCAAAACTGCTCTATCAAAAGAAAGGTTCAACTCTGTGAGTTGAATGTACACATCGCAAAGAAGTTAATGAGAATGCTGCTGTCTAGTTTTTATGTAAAGATATTCCCGTTTCCAACGAAGGCCTCAAAGCAGTCCAAATATCCACTTACAGTTTCTAATAAAAGAGTGTTTCAAAACTGCTTTATCATAAGGTATGTTCAACTCTGTGAGTTGAATGCAAACATCACAAAGAAGTTTCCGAGAATACTTCTGTCTAGTTTTTATGTGAACATATTTCCTTTTCCACCATAGGCCTCAAAGTGCTCCAAAGGTTCACTTACGGATTCTACAAAAACAGTGTTTCAAACCTGCTCTGTCAAAAGAAAGGTTCAACACTGTGAGTTGAATGCACACAACACAAAGAAGTTTCTGAGAATGCTTCTGTCTAATTTTTATATAAGGATATTCCCATTTGCAATGAAGGCCACTAAACGGTCAAAATATCCACTTGTAGATTCTAGTAAAAGAGTGTATCAAAACTGCTCTATGATAAAGTATGTCCAACTCTGTGAGTTCAATGTAAACATCACAAAGAAGTTTCTGAGAACGCTTCTGTCTAGTTTTTATGTGAAGATATTTCCTTTTCCACCATAGGCCTCAAGGCGCTCCAAATGTCCACTTGCAGATTCTGCAAAAAGAGTGTTTCAAAACTCCTGTAACAAAAGAGAGGTTCAACTCTGTGAGTTGAATGCACAGATTACAAAGAAGTTTCTGAGAATAATTCTGTCTAGTGTTTATGTGACGATATTCCAGTTTCCAATGAAGTCCTCAAAGAGCTTCAAATATCCACTTGCAGATTCTATGAAAAGAGTGTTTCAAAACTGCTCTATCAAAAAAAAGGTTCAACTCTGTCAGTTGAATGCAACCATCACAAAGAAGCTTCTGAGAATGCTTCTGTCTAGTTTTTATGTGAAGATATTTCCTTTCCCAGCTTAGGCCTCAAAGCTCTCCAAATTTCCACTTGAAGATTCTACAAAATGATGGTTTCAAAACTGCTCTATGATAAGGTATGTTCAACTCCGTCAGTTGAAGGCAAACATCACAAAGATGTTTCTCAGAATTATTCTCTCTAGTTTTTATGGGAAGATATTTCCTTTTCCACCACAGGCCTCAAAGCGCTCCAAATGTCCACTTGCAGATTCTACAAAAAGAGTGTTTCAAATCTGCTCTATCAAAAGAAAGGTTCATCTCTGTGAGTTGAATGCACACATCACAAAGAAGTTTCTGAGAATGCTTCTGTTTAGTGTTTATGTGAGATATTCCTGTTTCCAATGAAGGACTTAAAGGGGTCCAAATATCCTCTTGCAGATACTACGAAAAGAGTGTTTAATGTCTGCTTTATCAAAAGAAAGGTTCAACTCTGTGAGTTGAATGCACACATCACAAAGAAGTTTCTGAGAATGCTTCTGTCTAGTTTTTATGTGAAGATATTTCGTTTTCCACCATAGGCCACAAAGCTCTCCAAAAGTCCACTGACAGATTCTACAAAAAGAGTGTTTCAAAGCTGCCCTATCAAAAGAAAGTTTCAACTCTGTGAGTTGAATGTACACATCACAAAGAAGTTTCTGAGAATGCTGCTAATTTGTATGTGAAGATACTCCTGTTTCTAATGAAGGCCTCAAAAAGTTCCAAATATCCACTTCCAGATTCAACTAATAGATTGTTTCAAAACTGCTCTATCATAAGGTATGTTCAACTCTGTGAGTTGAAGGCAAACATAATTAAGAAGTTTCTGAGAATGTTTCTGTCTAGTTTTTATTGGAAGATATTTCCTTTTCCACCGTAGAGCTTAAAGCGCTCCAAATGTCCACTTGCAGATTATACCAAAAGAGTGTTTCAAACCTGCTCTATCAAAAGAAATTTTCAACTCTGTGAGTTGAATGCATACATCACAAAGAAGTTACTGAGAATTTTTCTGTCTGGTTTTTATATAAAGATATTACCTTTTCCACCATAGGCCTCAAAGCTCTCTAAATATCCGCTCGCAGATTCTACAAAAAGAGTGTTTGAAAGCTGCTCTATGATAAGGTATGTTCAACTCTGTGAGTTGAATGCACACCTCACAAAGAAGTTTCTGGGAATGATTCTGTCTAGTGTTTATATAAAGATATTCCCGTTTCCAAAGAAGGCCTCAAAGCAGACCAAATATCCAATTGCAAATTCTACAAAAAGAGTGTTTCAAAGCTTCTCTATCAAAAGAAATGTTCAACTCTGTGAGTTGAATGCACACATCACAAAAAAGTTTCTGAGAATGCTTCTGTCTAGAGTTTATGTGAAGATATACCCATTTCCAACGAAGACCTCAAACTGGTCGAAATATCCACATGCAGATTCTACAAAAAGGGGTTTCTTAAACTGCTCTATAAAAAGAAAGGTTCAACTCTGTGACATGAATGTACACTTCACAAAGTAGTTTCTGAGAAAGCTTCTATCTAGTGATTATCTGAAGATATTCCCATTTCCAACAAATGCCTCAAAGCGGTCCAAATATCCACTTGCAGATTCTACTAAAAGAGTGTGTCAAAACTGCTCTATGATAAAGTATCTTCAACTCTGTGAGTTGAATGCAAACATCACAAAGAAGTTTCTGAGAATGATTCTGTCTATATTTTATGTGAGGATATTTCCTTTTTGACCATAGGTCTCAAAGCTCTCCTAATGTCCACTTGCAGATTCTACAAAAACAGTGTTTCAAAACTGCTCTATCAAAAGAAAGGTTCAATTCTGTGAGTTGAATGCACACAGCACAAAGAAGTTTCTGAGAAAACTTCTCTCTAGAGATTATGTGAAGATATTCCCGTTTCCAACGAAAACCTCAAAGCGGTCCAAATATCCACTCACAGATTCTACTAAAAGAGTGTTTCAAAACTGCTCTATGATAAAGTGTGTCCAACTCTGTGAGTGGAATGCTAACATCACAAAAAAGTTTCTGAGAATGCTTCTGTCTAGTTTTTATGTGAAGATATTTCCTTTTCCACCATAGGCCTCAAAGCGCTTCAAATGTCCACTTGCAGATTAGGCAAAAAGAGTGTTTCAAACCTGCCCTATCAAAAGAAAGGTTCAACTCTGTGAGTTGAATTCGCACGTCACAAAGAAGTTTCTGAGAATGCTTCTGTCTAGTGATTATGTGAAGATATCCCATTTCCAACGAATGCCTCGAAGCAGTCCAAATATGCAGTTGCAGATTCTACAAGAAGAGAGTTTCAAAACTGCTCTATCAAAAGAAAGGTTCAACTCTGTGAGTTGAATGTACACCTCACAAAGAAGTTTCTGAGAATGCTTCTCTCTAGTTTTTATGTGAAGATATTCCCGTTTCCAACGAAGGCCTCAAGGCTTTCCATATATCCACTTGCAGATTCTACTAAAAGAGTGTTTCAAAACTGCTCTATGATAAGGTATGTTCAACTCTGTGCGTTGAAGGCAAACATCACAAAGAAGTTTCTGAGAATGCTTCTTTCTATTTTTTATGGGAAGATATTTATTTTTCCACCATAGGCCTCAAAGCGCTTCAAATGTCCACTTGCAGATTCTGCAAAAAGTGTGTTTCAAACCTGCCCTATCAAAAGACAGGTTCAACTCTGTGAGTTGAATTCGCACGTCACAAAGAAATTTCTCAGAATTCTTCTGTCTAGTTTTTATCTGAAGATATTTCCTTTTCCACCATAGACCTCAAACTGCTCCAAATGTACACTTGCAGATTCTACAAAAAGAGAGTTTCAAAACTGCTCAATCAAAAGAAATGTTTAACTCTGTGAGATGAATGCACACATCATAAAGTACTTTGTCAGACTGCTTTTATCTAGATTTTCTGTGAAGATATTTCCTTTTCTACCAGAGGTCACAAAGCGCTCCAAATGTCCACTTGCATATTCTACAAAAAGAGTGCTTCCAAACTGCTCAATCAAAAGAAAGGTTCAACTCTTTGAGATGTACGCACAAATCACAAAGAAGTTTCTCAGAATTTTTCTGTCTAGTTTCTATGTGAAAATATTTACTTTTCCACTGTAGGCCTCAAAGCGCTCCAAATGTCCACTTGCAGATTTTACAAAAAGAGAGTTTCAAGACAGCTCAATCAAAAGAAAGTTTTAACTCTGTGAGATGAATGCACACATCACAAAGAAGTTTCTCAGATTCATTCTATCTAGATTTTATGGGAATATATTTCCTTTTCTAACATAGGCTGCAAAGCGCTCCAAATGTCCACTTGCAGATTCCACAAAAAGAGTGTTTCCAAACTGCTTAATCAAAAGAAAGGTTCAACTCTGTGAGATAAACGCATGCATCACAAAGAAGTTTCTCCAAATTCTTCTGTGTAGTTTTGATGTGAAAATATTTCCTTTTCCTCCACAGGCCTCAAAGCGCTCCAAATGTTAACATGCAGATTCTACAAAAAGAGAGATTCAAAACTGCTCAATCAAAGCAAACGCTTAACTCTTTGAGATCAGTGCACACATCACAAAGAAGTTTCTAAAAATGCTTCTGTCTAGTTTTTATGTGAAGATATTTCGTTTTCCACCGTAGGCCTCAAAGCACTCCAAATGTCCACTTGCACATTCAACAAAAAGAGAGTTTCAAAACTGCTCAATCAAAAGTAAGAGTTAACCCTGTGAGATGAATACACACATCCCAAAGAAGTTTCTCAGATTGCTTCTGTCTAGATTTTATGTGGAGCTATTTCCTTTTCTAACATAGGCTGCAAAGTGCTCCAAATGCTCACTTAGAGAATCTACAAAAAGAGTGTTTCAAAAATTCTCAATCAAAAGAAATGTTCAACTCTGTGAGATGAATGCACACATCACAAAGAAGTTTCTCAGAGTTCTTCTGTCTAGTTTTTATGTGAAGATATTTCTTTTTCCACCATAGGCCTCAAAGCACTCCAAATGTCCATCTGCAGATTCTACAAAAAAAGAGTTTCAAAACTGCTCAATCAAAAGAATGCTTTAACTCTGTGAGATGAATGCACACATCACAAAGAAGTTTCTCACATTGGTTCTGTCTAGATTTTATGTGAAGATATTTCCTTTTCTACCAAAGGCCGCAAAGCGATCAAAATGTCCCCTTGCAGATTCTACAAAAAGATTGTTTCCAAACTGCTCAATCAAAACAAAATTTAAACTTGGTAAGATGAACGTGTGCATCACAAAGAAGTTTCTTAGAATTCTTCTGTCTAGTTTTTATGTGAAAATATTTCCTTTCCTACTGTAGGCCTCAAAGCACTCAAAATATCCACTTGCAGATTCTACAAAAAGAGAACTTCAAAACTACTCAACCAAAAGAAAGGTTTAACTCTGTGAGATGAATGCACATATCACAAAGAAGTTTCTGAGATTGCTTCTGTCTAGATTTTATGTGACGGTATTTCCTTTTCTACCAGAGGCACCAAAGCACTCCAAAAGTCCACTTGCAGATTCTACAAAAAGAACGTTTCTAAATTGCTCAATCAAAAGGAAGGTTCAACTTTGTGAGATAAACGCATACATCACAAAGGAGATTCTCAGAATTCTTCTGTCTAGTGTTTATGTGAAGATATTTCCTTTTCCACCATAGGCCTCAAAAAGATCCAAATGTCCACTTGCAAATTCTACAAAAAGAGTGTTTCAAAACTGCTCAGTCAAAAGAAAGGTTGAAATCTGTGAGATGAATGCACACATGCCAAAGAAGTTTCTCAGATTCCTTCTGTCTAGATTTTTTGTGAAGATATTACCTTTTCTACCATAGTCTGCATAGCGCTGCAAATGTCCACTTGCAGAATCTCCAAAAAGAGTGTTTCCAAACTGATGTATCAAAAGAAAGTTTCAACTCTTTGAGATGAAGGCACACATCACAAAGAAGTTTCTCAGAATTCTTCTGTCTAGTTTTTCTGTGCAGATATTTCAACTATAGGCCCAAAAGCGCTACAAATGTCCACTTGCAGATTCTACAAAAAGAAAGTTTCAAAACTTCTCAATCAAAAGAAAGTTTTAACTCTGTGAGATGAATACACACATCACAAAGAAGTTTCTTAGATTGCTTCTGAGTAGATTTTATGTGAAGATATTTCCTTTTCTACCATTGGCCGCAAAGCGCTCCAAATGTCCATTTGAAGATTCTACAAAAAGAGTGTTTCTAAACTGCTGAAGCAAAAGAAAGGTTCAAATCTGTGAGATAAACACACACATCACGAAGAAGTTTCTCAGAATTCTTGTCTAGTTTTTATGTGGAGTTATTTCCTTTTCCACCATAAGCCTCTAAGCGCTCCAAATTTCCACTACCACATTCTACAAAAAGAGAGTTTGAAAACTGATCAATCAAAAGAAAGGTTTAACTCTGTGAGATGAATGCACGAAACACAAAGAAGTTTCTCAAATTGCTTCTGTCTAGATTTTATGTGAAGATGTTTCCTTTTCTACCAAAGGCCGCAAAGTGCTCAAAATGTCCCCTTGCAGATTCTACAAAAAGATTGTTTCCAAACTGCTCAATCAAAACAAAGGTTCAACTCGGTGAGATGAACACGTGCATCACAAAGAAGTTTCTCAGAATTCTTCTGTCTAGTTATTATGTGAACGTATTTCCTTTTCCACCATAGGCCGCTAAGGCGCTCCAAATGTCTACTTGCAGATTCTACAAAAAGAGTGTTTCCTAACTGCTCAATCAAAAGAAAGGTTCAACTCTGTGAGATGAACGCACACATCACAAAGAAGTTTCTCAGAATTCTTCCGTCTACTTTTTATGTGAAGATATTTCCTTTTCCACTGTAGGCCTCAAAGCGCTCCAAATGTCCACTTACAGATTCTCCAAAAAGAGTGTTTCAAAACTCCTCAATCAAAAGAAAGGTGTAACTCTTTGAGGTGAATGCACACATCACAAAGGAGTTTCTGAAGATTGCTTCTGTCTAGATTTTATGTGAAGATATTTCCTTTCCTGCCATAGGCCACAAAGCACTCCAAATGTCCATTTGCAGATTCTACAAAAAGTGTTTCCATAATGCTCAATCAAAAGATAGTTTCAATTTTGTGAGATGAATACACACATCAGAAAGAAGTTGCTCAAAGTTCTTCTGTCTAGTTTTTATGTGAAGTTATTTCATTTTCCAGCATAGGCCTCAAGGCACTCGAAATGTCCACTTCCAGATTCTACAAAAACGACATTTCAAAACTGGTCCATCAAAAGAAAATTTCAACTTTGTGAGATGAATGCATACATCACAGAGAAGTTTCTCAGAGTGCTTCTATCTAGTTTTTATGTGCAGATATTTCTTTTTCCACCATTGGCCTCAAGGCGCTTGAAATGACCACTTGCAGATTCTACAAAAAGAGTATTTCAAAACTGGTCCATCAAAAGAAAGCCTCAACTCTTGAGATGAATGCATACATCACAAAGAAGTTTCTAAGAATGCTTCTATCTAGTTTTTATGTGAAGATATTTCCTTTTCCACCATAGGCCCCAAAGTGCTCCAAAAGTCCACTTGAAGATGCTACAAAAAGAGAGTTTCAAAACTGCTCAATCAAAAGAAAGGTTCAACACTGCGAGATGAATGCACACATCACAAAGATGATTCTCAGATTGCTTCTGTCTAGATTTTATGTGAAGGTATTTCCTTTCCTAGCATTGGCAGCAAAGCGATCCAAATGTCCACTTGAAGATTCTACAAAAAGATTGTTTCAAAACTGCTCAATCAAAAGAAAGTTTCAGCTCTGTGAGATGTATGCCCGCATCACAATGAAGTTTCTCAAAATTTTTCGGTCTAGTTTTTATACGAAGATATTTCCTTTTCCACCTTAGGCCTCATGGCACTCGAAATGTCCACTTGTAGATTCTACAAAAAGCGTATTTCAAAACTGATCCTTCAAAAGAAACATTCAACTCTAGGAGATGAATGCGCACATCACACAGAACATTCTGAGATTGTTTCTGTCTAGATTTTATGTGAAGATATTTCCTTTTCTACCATAGGCTGCAAAGGGCTCCAAATGTCCACTTGCAGATTCTACAAAAAGAGTGGTTTCAAATTATTCAATCAAAAGAAAGATTTAACTCTGTGAGATGATCCCATGCATAAAAAAGAAGTTTCTCAGAATTCTTCTGTCTAGTTTTTATGTGAATATATTTCCTTTTCCAACACAGGCCTCAAAGTGCTGCAAATGTCCACTTGCAGATTTTACAAAAAGAGAGTTTCAAAACTGCTCATTCAAAAGAAAGGTTTAACTCTGTGAGATGAATGCACATATCACAAAGAAGTTTCACAGATTGCTTCTGTGTAGATTTTATGTGAAGATATTTCCTTTTCTACCATAGGCCGCAAAGCACTCCAAATGTCCACTTGTAGTTTCTACAAAAAGAGTGTTTCCAAACTGCTGAATTAAAAGAAAGGTTCAACTCTGTGAGATGAACGCAAGCATCACAAAGAAGTTTCTCAGAATACTTCTGTCTAATTTTTATGTGAAGATATTTCATTTTCCATCATTGGCCTCAAGGAACTTGAAATGTCCACTTGAAGATTCTATGAAAAGAGGATTTCAAAACTGCTCCAACAAAAGAATGGTTTATCTCTGGGAGATGAATGCACACACAACAAAGAAGTTTCTCAGAATGCTTCTATCTAGTTTTTATGTGAAGATATTTCCTTTTCCACCATAGGAGTCAAAGCGCTACAAATGTCCACCTGCAGATTATATAAAAAGAGAGTTTCAAAACTGCACAATCAGAAGGAAGGTTTAACTCTGTGAGTTGAATGCACACATCACAAGGAAGTTTCTCTGATTGCTTCTGTCTAGATTTTTTGTGAATATATTTCCTTTTCAACCGTAAGCCGCAAAGCACTACAAATGTCCCCTTGCAGATTCTACAAAAACAGTGTTTTCATACTGCTCAATCAAAAGAAAGGTTCAACTCTGTGAGATGAAAGAAGTTTCTCAGAATTCTTCTGTCTAGTTTTCATGTGAAGATATTTCCTTTTCCACCATAGTCCTCAAAGTGCTCCAAATGTCCACTTGCAGATTCTACAAAAAGAGAGTTTCAAAACTGCTCAATGAAAAGAAAAATTTAACTCTGTGAGATGAATGCATACATCACAAAGAAGTTTATCAGATTGCTTCATCTAGATTTAATGTGAAGATATTTCCTTTTCTACCATAGACAACAAAGTGCTCCAAATGTCCACTTGCAGATTCTACAAAAAGAGTGTTTCTAAACTGCTGAATCAAAAGAAATGTTAAACTCTGTGAGATGAACGCACACATCACAATAGCTTTTCAGAATTTCTCTGTCTAGTTTTTATCTGAAGATATTACCTTTTCCACAGTAGGCCTCAAAGCACTCCAAATGTCCACTTGCATATTCCACAAAAAGAGAGTTTCTAAACTGCTCTATCAAAAGAAACGTT
Organism: Homo sapiens; assembly: GCF_000001405.40. Taxonomy (NCBI): domain Eukaryota; kingdom Metazoa; phylum Chordata; class Mammalia; order Primates; family Hominidae; genus Homo; species Homo sapiens. Next base: position 94,565,099 of record NC_000002.12, read on the forward strand.
TAACTCTGTGAGATGAATGTACACATCACAAAGAAGTATCTCAGACTGCTTCTGTCTAGATATTATGTAAAGATGTTTCCTTTTCTACCATAGGACACAAAGCACTCCAAATGTCCCCTTGCAGATTCTGGAAAAAGAGTGTTTCCGAACTGCTCAATCAAAAGAAAGTTTCAACTCTGTGAGATGAACGCACACATCACCAAGAAGTTTCTCAGAATTCTTCTATCTAGTTTTTATGTGAAGATATTTCCTTTTCCACTATAGGCCTAAAAGCGCTCCAAATGTCCACTTGCAGATTCTACAAAAAGAGAGTTTCAAAACTGCTCAATCAAAAAAAAGTTTTAACTCTGTGAGATGAATGCACACATCACAAAGAAGTTTCTCAGTATTCTTTCTAGGTTTTATGTGAAGATATTTCCATTTCCACATTGGCCTCAAACCACTCCAAATGTACACTTCCAGATTCTACAAAACAGAGTTTCAAAAATGCTCAATCAAAAGCAATATTTAACACTGTGAGAAGAATGCACATATCACAAAGAATTTTCTCATATTGCTTCTGTCGACATTTTATGTGAAGGTATTTCCTTTTCTACCATAGGCCGCAAAGTGCTCTAAATCTCTACTTGCAGATTCTACAAAAAGAGTGTTTCCAAACTACTCAATCAAAATAAAGTTTCAACTCTGTGAGATGAACACACACATCACAAAGAAGTTTGTCAGAAATCTTCTGTCTAGTTTTTATGTGAAGATATTTCCTTTTCCACCATAGACCTCAAAGCGCTCCAAATGTCCACTTGCAGATTCTACAAAAAGAGAGTTTCAAAACTGCTCAATCAAATGAAGTTTTAACTCTGTGAGTTGAATGCACACATTACAAAGAAGTTTCTCAGATTGCTACTGTCTAGATTTTATATGAAGATATTTCGTTTTCTTCCGTAGGCCAAAAAGCACTCCGAATGTCCACTTGCAGATTCTACAAAAAGACTGTTTCCAAGCTGCTCAATCAAAAGAAAGTTACAACTCTGTGAGATGAACGCACACATCACAAAGAAGTTTGTCAGAATTATTCTCTCTAGTTTTTATGTGAAGATAAATTCCTTTTCCACCGTAGGCCTCAAAGCGCTCCAAATGACAATTTGCAGATTCTACAAAAAGAGAGTTTCAACACTGCTCAATCAAAAGAAAGGCTCAATTCTGTGAGATGAACGCACACATCACAAAGAAGTTTGTCTGAATTCTTCTGTCTAGTTTTTATGTGAAGATATTTCCTTTTCCACCGTAGGCCTGAAAGTACTCCAAATGTCCACTTGCAGATTCTACAAAAAGAGAGTTTCAATACTGCTCTATCAAAAGGAAGGTTTAACTCTGTGAGATGAATGCACACATCACAAAGAAATTTCTCAGATTGCTTCTGTCTAGATTTAATGTGAAGATATTCCCTTTTCTACCATAGTCCACAAAGCGCTCCAAATGTCCACTTGCACATTCTACAAAAAGAGTGATTCCAAACTGCTCAATGAAAAGGAAGGTTCAACTCTGTGAGATGAATGCACACATCACAAAGAAGTTTCTCAGATTGCTTCTGTCTAGGTTTTATGTGAAGATATTTCCTTTTCTACCTTAGGCCCCAAAGCACTCCAAGTGTCCACTTGTAGATTTTACAAAAAGAGTGTTTCCAAACTGCTCAATCAAAAGGAAGTTTCAACTCTGTGAGATGAACGCACACGTCACAAAGAAGTTTCTCAGAATTCTTCTATCTAGTTTTTATGGGAAGATATTTCCTTTTCCACCATAGGCCTAAAAGCGCTCCAAATTTTCACTTGCAGATTCTACAAAAAGAGAGCTTCAAAACTGCTCAATCAAAAAAAAAGTTTTAACTCTGTGAGATGAAAGCACACATCACAAAGAAGTTTCTCAGTATTCTTCAATCTGGTTTTTATGTGAAGATATTTTCTTTTCCACATTGTCCTCAAACCGCTCCAAATGTACACTTCCAGATTCTACAAAAACAGAGTTTAAAAAATGCTCCGTCAAAAGAAATGTTTAAGTCTCTGAGATGAATGCACACATCACAAAGAATTTTCTCATATTGCTTCTGTCTAGATTTTATGTGCAGGTATTTCCTTTTCTACCACTGGCCGCAAAGCGCTCCAAATCTCCACTTGCAGATTCTGCAAAAGGAGTGCTTCCAAAATGCTCAATCAAAATGAAGGTTCAACTCAGTGAGATGAATGCACACATCACAAAGAAGTTTCTGAGAATTCTTCTGTCTAGTATTTATGTGAAGATATTTCCTTTTCCACTATAGGCCTAAAAGCGCTCCAAATGTCCACTTGCAGATTCTACAAAAAGAGAGTTTCAAAACTGCTCAACCAAACTAAAGTTTTAACTCTGTGAAATGAATGCACACATCACAAAGTAGTTTCTCAGATTGGCTCTGTCTGAATTTTATGTGAAGATATTTCTTTTTCTATCATAGGCCACAAAGTGCTCCAAATGTCCACTTGCAGATTCTACAAAAAGGGTGTTTCCAAACAGCTCAATCAAAAGAAAGTTTCAACTCTGTGAGATGAACGCACACATCACAAAGAAGTTTGTCAGAATTATTCTCTCTAGTTTTTATGTGAAGATAAATTCCTTTTCCACCGTAGGCTTCAAAGTGCTCCAAATGACCATTTGCAGATTCTACAAAAAGAGGGTTTCAACACTGCTCAATCAAAAGAAAGGCTCAATTCTGCGAGATGAACGCACATATCACAAAGAACTTTCTCAGAATTCTTCTGTCTTGTTTTTATGTGAAGATATTTCCTTTTAAACCATAGGCCTCAAGGCGCTCGAAATGTCCACTTGAAGATTCTACAAACAGAGTATTTCAAAACTGGTCCTTCAAAAGAAAGATTCAACTCTGGGTGATGAATGCGCACATCACAAAATCTTTCTCAGAATGCTTCTATGTAGTTTTTATGTGAAGATATTTCCTTTTCCACCATAGGCCTCAAAGCGCTCCAAATGTCCACTTGCAGATTCTACAAAAAGACAGTTTCAAAACTGCTCAATCAAAAGAAATGTTTATCTCTGTGAGATGAATGCACACATCACAAAGTTGTTTCTCAGATTACTTCTGTCTAGATTTTATGTGAACATATTTCCTAGTCTACCATAGGCCGCAAAGTGCTCCAAATGTCCACTTGCAGAGTCTATAAAAAGAGGGTTTCCAAACTGCTCAATCAAAAGAAAGTTTCAACTCTGTGAGATGAACGTGCCCATCACAAAGTTTTTCAGAATTCTTCTGTCTACTTTTTATGGGAAGATATTTCCTTTTTCACCGTAAGCCTCAAAGCACTCGAAATGTCCACTTGCAGAGTCTACGAAAAGAGAGGTTCAAAACTGCTCAATCAAAAGAATGGCTTAACTCTGTGAGATGAATGCACATATCACAAAGAAGTTTCTCAGATTGCTTCTGTCTAGATATTATGTGAAGATAATTCCTTTTCTACCATAGGCCGCAAAGCGCTCCAAATGTCCACTTGCAGATTCTAAAAAAGAGTGTTTCCAAACTACTCAATCAACAGAAATGTTCAAGTCTGTGACATGAATGCACACATCACAAAGAAGTTTCTCAGAAATCTTCTGTCTATTTTTATGTGGAGATATTTTCTTTTCCACCAAAGGCCTCAAAGTGCTCCAATTGTCCACTTGTAGATTCTACAAAAAGAGAGTTTCAAAATTCCTCAATCAAAAGAAAGGTTTAACTCTGTGAGATGAAAGCACACATCACAAAGAAGTTTCTCAGATTGCTTCTGTGTAGGTTTTATGTGAAGATATTTCCTTTTCTACCATAGGCCGCAAAGCGCTCCAAATGTCCACTTGCAGATTCTACAAAAAGAGAGTTTCCAAACTGCTCAATCAAAAGAAAGTTTCACCTCTGTGAGATGAACGCACACATCACCAAGAAGTTTCTCAGAATTCTTCTATCTAGTTTTTATGTGAAGATATTTCTTTTTCCACCAAAGGCCCAAAAGGGCTCCAAATGTCCACTTGCAGATTCTACAAAAAGAGAGTTTCAAAACTGCTCAATCAAAAAAAATTTTAACTCTGTGAGATGAATGCACACATCACAAAGAAGTTTCTCAGATTGCTTTTGTCTAGATTTTATGTGAAGATATTTCCTTTTCTACCATAAGCCTCAAAGCGCTCCAAATGTCCACTTGCAGATTCTACAAAAAGAGTGTTTAAACCTGCTCAATCAAAAGAAATGTTCAACCCGGTGAGATAAATGCACACAACACAAAGGATTTTCTATGAATGATTCTGTCTAGTTTTTATGTGGACATATTTCCTTTTAAACCATAGGCCTCAAAGCGCTTCAAATGTACACTTGCAGATTCCACAAAAAGAGTTTTTCAAAACTGCTCAATGAAAAGAAAGGTTTTAATCTGTGTGAAGAATGTACACATAACAAAGAATTTTGTCAGAATATTTCTGTAGAGTTTTTATATTAAGGTATTTGCTTTTCCACCATAGGCCTCGAAGAGCTCCAAATGTCCACATGCAGATTCTACAAAAAGAGTGTTTCAAAACTGCTCATTCAAAAGAAAGGTTCAACTCTGTGACATGAATGCACAAGTCACAAAGAAGTTTGTCAGAATGCTTCTGTCTAGTTTTTATGTGAAGATATTTCCTTTTCCACCATGGGCCACAAAGTGCACCAAATGTCCAAATTCAGATTCTACAAATAGAGTCTTTCAAAACTGCTCAATCAAAAGAAAGGTTCAACTCTGTGAGATGAATCCACACATCTCAATGAAGTTTTTCAGAATGTTTCTGTATAGTTCTTGTGTGAAGATATTTCTTTTTCCACCATTGCCTCAAAGCGCCAAAAATGTCCACTTGCAGATACTACAGAAAGAGTGTTTCAAAGTTGCTCTTGTCCGATTGCTTCTGTCTAGATTTTATGTGAACATATTTCCTTTTCTACCATAGGCCACTAAGTGCTCCAATTGTCCACCTGAAGATTCTTCAAAAAGTGTGTTTCCAAACTGCTCAATCAAAAGAAAGGTTCAACTCTGTAATGTGAAGGCACACATCTCAAAGTAGTTTCTCAGAATTCTTCTGTCTAGTTTTTATGTGAAGATATTACATTTTCCACCATTGCCTCAAAGCGCCAAAAATGTCCACTTGCAGATACTACAGAAAGAGTGTTTCAAAGTGGCTCAATCAAAAGAAAGTTTCAACTCTATGAGATGAATGCACACATCACATAGAAGTTTCTCAGAATGCTTCTGTCTAGTTATTATGTGAAGATATTTCGTTTTCCACCATAGGCATCAAAGCGCTCCAAATGTCCACTTACAGATTCTACAAAAGGAGTGTTTCATAACTGCTCAATCGAAATTAAGGTTCCACTCTGCGAGATGAATGCACACATCACAAAAACTTTGTCAGATTGCTTCTGTCTAGTTTTGTGTGAAGATATTTCCTTTTCCACCACAGGCCTTAAAGCTCTCCAAATGTCCACTTGCTGATTCTACAAAAAGAATGTTTCAAAACTGCTCTATCGAAAGTTAAGTTCAACTCCATGAGATAAATGGCAACTCCGTGAGATAAATGACAAATAAGCTTGTCAGAATGCTTCTGCCTAGTTTTAATGTGAAGATATTTCCTTTTCCACCATAGGCCGTAAAGCGCTCCAAATGTCCACTTGCAGATTCTACAAAATGAGAGTTCTCAAAACTGCTCAATTAAAATCAAGTTTCAGCTCTGTGAGAGGAATGCGCACATCACAAAGCAGTTTCACAGAATGCTTCCATCTAGTTCTTAAATGAAGATAATTCCTTTTCCACCATAGGCCAAAAAGCGCTCCAAATGTCCACTTGCAGATATTACAAAAAGAGTTTTTCAAAACTGCTCGATGTCTGTTCATGTCCTTCACCCACTTTTTGATGGGGTTGTTTGTTCTTTTCTTGTAAATTTGTTTGAGTTCATTGTAGATTCTGGATATTAGCCCTTTGTCAGATGAGTAGCTTGGGAAACTTTTCTCCCATTTTGTAGGTTGCCTGTTCACTCTGATGTTAGTTTCTTTTGCTGTGCAGAAGCTCTTTAGTTTAATTAGATCCCATTTGTCAATGTTGGCTTTTGTTGCCATTGCTTTTGGTGTTTTAGACATGAAGTCCTTGCCCATGCCTATGTTCTGAATGGTAATGACTAGGTTTTCTGCTAGGGTTTTTATGCTTTTAGGTCAAACGTTTAAGTCTTTAATCCATCTTGAATTGATTTTTGTGTAAGGTGTAAGGAAGGGATCCAGTTTCAGCTTTGTACATATGGCTAGCCAGTTTTCCCAGAACCATTTATTAAATAGGGAATCCTTTCCCCATTGCTTGTTTTTGTCAGGTTTGTCAAAGATCAGATAGTTGTAGATATGTGGCATTATTTCTGAGGGCTCTGTTCTGTTCCATTGATCTATATCTCTGTTTTGGTACCAGTACCATGCTGTTTTGTTTACTGTAGCCTTGTAGTATAGTTTGAAGTCAGGTAGTGTGATGCCTCCAGCTTTGTTCTTTTGGCTTAGGATTGACTTGGCAATGTGGGCTATTTTTTGGTTCCATATGAACTTCAAAGTAGTTTTTTCCAATTCTGTGAAGAAAGTCATTGGTAGCTTGATGGGGATGGCATTGAATCTGTAAATTACCTTGGGCAGTATGGCCTTTTTCATGATATTGATTCTTCCTACCCATGAGCATGGAATGTTCTTCCATTTGTTTGTATCCTCTTTTATTTCCTTGAGCAGTGGTTTGTAGTTCTCCTTGAAGAGGTCCTTCACATCCCTTGTAAGTTGGATTCCTAGGTATTTTATTCTCTTTGAAGCAATTGTGAATGGGAGTTCACTCATGATTTGGCTCTCTGTTTGTTTGTTGGTGGTGTATAAGAATGCTTGTGATTTTTGTACATTGATTTTGTATCCTGAGACTTTGCTGAAGTTGCTTATCAGCTTAAGGAGATTTTGGGCTGAGACAATGGGATTTTCTAGATATACAATCATGTCATCTGCAAACAGGGACAATTTGACTTCCTCTTTTCCTAATTGAATACCCTTTATTTCCTTCTCCTGCCTGATTGCCCTGGCCAGAACATCCATCACTATGTTGAATAGGAGTGGTGAGAGAGGGCATCCCTGTCTTGTGCCAGTTTTCAAAGGGAATGCTTCCAGTTTTTGCCCATTCAGTATGATATTGGCTGTGGGTTTGTCATAGATAGCTCTTATTATTTTGAAATACGTCCCATCAATACCTAATTTATTGAGAGTTTTTAGCATGAAGGGTTGTTGAATTTTGTCAAAGGCCTTTTCTGCATCTATTGAGATAATCATGTGGTTTTTGTCTTTGGTTCTGTTTATATGCTGGATTACATTTATTGATTTGCATATACTGAACCAGCCTTGCATCCCAGGGATGAAGCCCACTTGATCATGGTGGATAAGCTTTTTGATGTGCTGCTGGATTCGTTTTGCCAGTATTTTATTGAGGATTTTTGCATCAATGTTCATCAACGAAAATCAATATATATCATAACAGCTCTGTAAATGTTTCTCTGAGTTCTGTGAGCCATCCTAGGAACTTAATTGAACCCAGGGAGGGGGCTCATGCGAACCCTTTTTTTTTTTTTTTTTTTTGAGATGGAGTCTCATTCTGTCTCCCAGGCTGGAGTACAGTTGCAGGATCTCAACTCACTGCAACCTCTGCCTCCCGGGTTCAAGCGATTCTCCTGCCTCAGCCTCCCTGGTAGCTGGGCTTATAGGAGCCCGCCACCACACCCAGCTAATTTTTGTATTTTATTTCATTTATTTATTTTTTTGAGATGGAGCCTCGCTCTCTCACCCAGGCTGGAGTGCAGTGACATGATCTCTGCTCACTGCAAGCTCCACCTCACGGGTTCAGGCCATTCTCCTGCCTCAGCCTTCCAAGTAGGTGGGACTACAGGCGTCCACCACCATGCCTGGCTAATTTTTTTTTTTGTATTTTTAGTAGAGATGGGGTTTCACCGTGTTAGCCAGGATGGTCTTGATCTCCTGACCTCGTGATCCGCCTGCCTTGGCCTCCCAAAGTGCTGGGATTACTGGTGTGAGCCACCGTGCCCAGCTTAATTTTTGTATTTTTAATAGAGACGGGGTTTCACCATGTTGGCCAGGCTGGTCTCAAACCCCTGATCTCAAGTGATCCACCCGCCTTGGTCTCCCAAAGTGCTGGGATTACAGGCGTGAACCACCATGACCGGCCGTGGATGTAGTTTTTAGCCAGGCAGTCAGAAGTATGTGTCGCCTGGACTTGGAATTAGTGCCTGAAGTGGGGCTGGTCTCATGGGATCGAGCCGTCAATCTGTGGGATTGGACACTATCTGCAGGTAGACAGTGTCAGGATTGAATTGAATAAGAGGACACCCAGTTGGTCTCTGTGAGAAATGTTTGGTGTGTAAGGAAAAGCCCCCACACAGCCAGCCACAGAAGTGTGCTATTGTTGAGTGTGAAAGTACAAGGGAAAAACAGTTTGCTTTTTTGCTTTACAGTGGGATATTTGATCCATAGGTCTATATCTAAGCACATGAATAGAATGTGTTTGGGCCTGGTTTTTTAGTCTTGCTGGTCAGTAACTAGTTTGACAAGAGAGACTAGCACACTGATCCCAAAAGAACTAGGCCAAGAGCAGATAGGATTTGTGGCAACTTGAACCTCTTATTAGCTCCTTAAAAGACGTACTTTTCTAGACTTCTTTGGAGCCTGGGATTCTAGTACTGGTGAGTTTCCACCGGCAGCAGACTCCCTGAAGATTCGCTAGCTCTCTGCAGGGTTGGCAGGCCACTACCACATTTAGTTGGCTCCTAGGGTATGTTCTACACCAGACTTCCCATTGTAGGAAGGCCAAGAGAACTGAAGACACAGTCTCTACTCTGGAGGTGGGGAAGTGGGGGAGGTGGTAATTTAATTAACAGTAGATGGTGGGTGAGGCGACTTGGTAAGGTAAGAGGACACACAAAGGAAGTAACTGCAGTAAACCTTAGCTGGCGGCACAAGTGAGGAGGTGTGCTTGAAAGAGAAATGAAGTGTCTGGAGGTGGGTGAGTATATTCTGGTAGGTGTGACAAAGGCACTGTTCCTCCAACACCAGTCCTGGGAAAGGCATATGATATGGTTTGGCACTGTGTCCCCAGCCAAATCTCATAATGAATTATGAGCTTCAGTGTTGGAGGAGGGGCCTGGTGGGAGGTGACTGGATCATGGGGGTGAATTTCCCCCTTGTTGTTCTCGTGCTAGTGAGTTCTCATGAGATCTGGTTGTTTAAAAGTGTGTGGCACTGCCCCTTCACTCTATCTCTTTCCTGCCGCCATGTGAATATGTACTTGCTTCCCCTTTGCCTTCCACCATGATTGTAAGTTTCCTGAGGCCTCCCCAGCCATGCCTCCTGTATAGCCTGCAAAACTGAGTCAATTAAACCTTGTTTCTTTATAAACTATCCACTCTCAAGTAGTTCTTTACAGCAGTGTGAGAACAGACTAATACAGCATGGGATCCCAAGTAACTATGCATTCAGAGAAGAAACACAGGTATGTTTGGGAACTGGATGATGGAAGGTACGGGGAAGCACAGTAGGTAACTTTCATGGGTCCTACACTCTACAACATATTCTTGGGGTTGGAATGAGTCAAACAGGAGACTGATGTCCAGGATGGATTTGGCTGTTTATGTTCCCAGGTGTAGGTCTCTTCCTTAACAGATCACGGTACCTTCATTACAAATGGCCTGGGAAGCGTACTTAATGCAGAAACCCCAGCAAATTCTTACAGGGGTTAGTCATGCAGTTATACATTTTCATTCTGGGATTTCTAGGGGCTTAATAAAATTCCTTCATTGGATCATTTAATCCAAAATAAATTATTTCCCTACACCTACTTTATACTTGCTCCCTGATTTCATACCAGTGAGTATAACCTGATGTAACTAAACATTCTGAATTTTTGATGATACCCAGAGAAGAGTGTGATAACCAATTCTCTCAAAAGCGATTTACTGCAAATATTTTCATTTACAGTAAGTCCTTACTTAACATTGTGGATATGTTCTTGGAAACAGTGACTTTAAGCCAAACGAGGTACTGTGTGGCTTCATAACTCAACTCTTTTTCCTATCAATTAGACTATGGGAAAACTGGTTTCGTATGCATTATGTCCTTTTGCTTAAAGTGGTAGTTTCCAAGAACCTATCAATGACATTAAGTGAGGACTTATTGTAATCTGATATCTGCGGGTGGATAATTTAAGGAACACGTACATAGTTAAACCTGTAAACTGCTGCAAGTTCCAGATATTATCAGTTCTATTTCTCCATAATTACAATTCCAGTTTTGGGGTTTCTTTTTGCTCATTAAATTTGAAAAGCCAATTCCAGTTTTAAAGCTTGACCCTTTTCTTATAACTTTTTTTATAACTGATAATATATCAGTTATATCAGTTATATTTCTTAGGCTTCATGAAACCCTCAAACTGACTCTGAGGGTGGCCTTGCTATCTAACTTACAAAACCGGTTATCTTGGTTTGCGTTCATTTTATTTCCCTTGCATACATTGCTTAGCTGCTTCTGATTATATGCCTCTTAGCCACGGCTGCATATAAAAGTGTAATAAGAGAAAAGTGTAACTAAGAGACACAGAAGAAAGAGAAATTCCATGAGAACCAGATACTTTTATGGATGCCTTTTGGAAGCTCTAGATTGAGATGTATCTTTGTTGTCAATTTATGCTATGAATCCAAACGAAAAACGGGGGGGAAAAAACAAGTAGGCTGTAGATGAAAGTGGAAGAAGAAAAATGAGTCTATATATATATTACCAGTTTTATGAAAGTATATGAGTCAATATTCCATCAATACCTAGAAAAGTAATAGATCAATATGCTGATTTTAGGGGTGGACACAAAGGTGTTATAAGCGTCTTTTATCTTTTCTTTTTTCCCTCCTTGACTCTGAAGAGAAACACCATTTTTCTACGTATGCAAAGAGTAAAAATTCAGAACTAACACACAGGGATTAATAGCAGTGAATTGCAAACTCAACTCAGTGGTATAGTACCTGGCAACATTATTACTCAGCATATTTCCCTGGCTGAGGCTGATTTCATTTAAAGTAGTTTTATACTTGTGCTAAAAATGTGTACATCACATTAAGGGAGAAAAGATCCTCTACACAAATGGATTGTACCTACATAACCTTATGTACCAGAGAGGAAAACATCATTCTCATGAGTCACAAAGCTTTCTTCTTCTTGTCAATATGATAAACAGTTTCCGGAAATTGAGAATGACGCTGGTTACTTTCCTTCCTCCTGAACATGCCACACTGAAGAGACAGGGATGACTCCTTCCCTATGGGACAGACACACATGTAGCTTTCCTTGGGTTGTGGAGGAAGGCATGGCCACAACACCATCGGCAGCCTGCTGCAGGGACCTCACGATGAGAGGAAGTAATGGATGCCTGGGCCAGGGAAATGCATATCTGGGAGAAAGCAGGAAATTCTGATGTAGAGATAGGGAAGAACCCTGGGGAAAAGTACCCAAGCTGGGCGGGGAGGAGGAAACCACCAGGATCCCAGGATCAGAGATAAAGGACACAGGGACACAAACAAAGTGAGGCCAGATGGAGAGGGCAGTCTCACGGGGAGAGCAAGCTCACAGGGAGAGCATGAGCCAAACCTGGCTTATTTCACACTCATCAGAGAGACTGCACAGATGGGGCCAAACCAGGGCCCAGGAGCATCAGAGAGAGGAGGGCCATTTCAAACACTTTTGTAAAATAAGCTCAAAGCTTCTTTGTTTATTTGTGGGTGTGGGAGTGGAAACGTAGGGAAAGTGAAGAGAGTGGGGAAAAAGGGATGGGTGATTTTGTAGGCAAGATGCTCCCTGAGGAGGTCCTGGTGGACCTGCTGTGGGGAGTGGCATTCTGCACACTCTCATATCATGGGGAGCGCATGACTACATTACTGCTTACACATCTCCAAGTGCAGCTTGGGGGGTGAATGTTTAATTGTCTCACTGTAACTGTCTAAATCTCTGGAAAATCTGAAGGGTCATGCATTTGATTTAAACCTATGAGGTCTGAATGAATTCTCCTCCATGCCTAACCGAGTGAAGCAAGTATATAACCAACCATGCATCCCTAAGCAGGGCCGGTATGAAGGGGAGGAAACGCCTCCCCACTGAGCTCACAAAGAACTTCATCACTGACCTGAATCAGATCCAGCAGGAAATGAAACACTGAGTACATAATTTTACAGTAGGGGGAGGGGGACGGAAAACAAAGTGAGCTGAACTGAAACGTGAGAAAGAACAGAATGGCAGTGAGTCCACGGGGCAGGGCCGCAGCTTTCTTTTTTCATGGCCCTCAGTCCAGTAACCCCACCCGGCATTCGTAGCGGGTGACATCACTGATGCCCCAAACATGCTCCAGCAATTTCCTGCTTTCCAGAGTCCAGCCGAGCAATGATGTCAGTGGTGCACCTGGGTAAAGATATGGCAGGGCCGGGTCACAGGGAGTGGGGACAAAGGCCAACCCAGTTAAATAAACTGCTGGTCTTCTAGGGCCTGGTCCCTAGGCAGGCTTCCACCATGAGATAGGTATAGCCCAGGCCAATCCCAACAAGAGGAAAAAAAGCATGTACTTGGCTGGGGGCGGTGGCTCACACCTGTAATCCCAGCACGTTGGGAGGCTGAGGCAGGTGAATCACGAGGTCAGGAGTTTGAGACCAGCCTGAACAATGTGGTGAAACCCCGTCTCTACTAAAATTGGAAAAAATTAGCTGGGCGTAGTGGTGGCCGCCTGTAATCCCAGCTACTCGGGAAGCTGAGGCAGGAGAATCACTTGAACCCGGGAGATGGAGGTTGCAGTGAGCCGAGATCACACCACTGCACTCCAGCCCACGCAACAGAGTAAGACTCTGTCTCAAAAAAAAAAAAAAAAAAAAAAAGAATGCACCCATGCAGTGCCTCCTGTCACCCTCTGCCCAGAAAGGGCACAGGGGCCAGGGTGAAAGAGTTACAGGAAGACAGAGGGAAGGAAACCGTGCAGAGATAACCACATGGGGGCAGGCCCTAAGCTGCTGGGACCTCCACAGTGTATCCCTTTCCTCCAACTGGGAGACGGAAGCACCGACGGTCTTTCTCTACAGTGCCAGGAGCCACCCTGCCCCCAGAGATGCCCTACAATCAATGACTACCATCTAAATGCTTCTGGATAGTTTCATTCCTTGTAGGTGATATTCCAAATATTATAATTTGTACTTCTCCACAATTACAATTCCAGTTTTGGGGTTTCTTTTTACTCATTAAATTTGAAAAGCCAATTCCAGTTTTAAAGCTTGACCCTTTTCTTAAAAGTTTAACTTCTCTTTTTATTCAGGCTTCCCACTAAACCCTCAAACTGACTCTGAGGGTGGCCTGGCTAATTTACAAAACCGGCCAGGCTGCTTAACCCCTAGATTCCAGCCCAGAGTGTTGCCATAAATTGCTGTCAAGACATGCCTCTATGTCCCATGTTTGCCAGTGAGAAAAGGGTTCATATTCTAAGTTCTTCAAGTCTCTCTCACTGCCTCAATTTTGAAGTCAATGGAAAACAGTCAAATACACCAAAAATTAACTTCAAATGGATATCTGCTATGAATTCCAACTTGGTTGGACACCTCTCCAGGCCAACTGTTGTGAAAATGCGTTGTTGTTTTAAAAAACACTGTGAGAGATGGCTGGGCGTGGTGGCTTACTTGAGTTCAGGAGTTTGAGAACAGCCCGGCCAATATGGTGAGACCCCAGTCTCTATGAAAAATATAAAAAATGAGCCAGATGTGGTGGCATGCACTTGTAGTCCACGCTACTTGGGAGGCTGAGGCAGGAGTATCACTTGAACCTGGAAGGCGGAGGTTGCATGAGCCGAGATCATGCTACTGCACTCCAGCCTGGGTGACAGAGCAATACTCTGTCTCAAAAAAAAAAAAAAAAAAAAAAAGAGAGAGAGAGAGAAAACACTGTGAGAAGAAAGAAGTCAATCACCCCCTCTCCAATGCCCAACACAGTAAGCAAGAAGGGCCCAGGAACAAATTAACAGGGAAAAACAATCTTGCATTTGCTTAGTGGAATCTGGGGTTTGCACACATTAGTCAGAGCTAGACAAATCATACTGAATACACTTCTTATAGAAACATTCTAGCTCTGATGGCCTTTCCTTGCTGTCCCAACTTTTGAGGTGCGAAAACACAGCAACACAGCCAGGACCGGCCAGGTGATGGCACAGAGCCCGCTCCCACAGGCTGCGTCTGTGTTCTCACTCTCTTGCAACTGGCCTGAGTTAAGCCTTCTCCCCAAGCACTTGCAGTTTATCATTGCCCTATTTACTGTATTTTCATGTTATAAAAGTGATATACGCCCAACGTAGTAATTTGATCTAGTTTTTGTTTAATGGCTATTAAATGCTCAGAAGTGAATTAAGGTTGCAGTTAAATGCACAGTTTTTATATCAAACTATTTTCTTTGCTAATTCACTTCTATCTGCGTCTACCAGCTGTAAACTACCTGAAGCAGAGAAAGCTTCTTTAGGTTGGGGCTTCCTGTAGCCCTGAGCTGAGTGCCTTATGCAGCATTGGCCGAGTGAATGAATTTGTTGGGTGAACTGCTTCGGGGTTTAGAGTCCGCAGAGGATAGGACAGGACAGATCGTGATCGAGGCTAACCTTCTCATCTACTCTACCATTTCATGCTCTGTTTGGGCACCTCCATCACCCCTCACTTCCCCTGATGGTCCAGTCTCTCTGGGCCTGCACTGTCCAGCTGCCCTCTTATCCCTAAGCCAAGGCCTTTGCCAACTAAAGCTCAGGAGTAAAGTGGCCATCACTGAGGCCATTCTATGTATGTATGTATGTATGTATGTATGTATGTATGTATGTATTTAGAGATGGAGTCTTGCTCTGTCACCCGGGCTGAAGCACAATGGCACAGTCTTGGCTTACTGCAACCTCTGCCTCCCAGGTTCAAGCAATTCTCCTGCCTCAGCCTCCCGAGTAGCTGGGATTATAGGTGCCCGCCATCATGCCCAGCAAATTTTTGTATTTTTAGTAGAGATGGGGTTTCACCCTTTTGGCCAGGCAGGTCTCGAACTCCTGACCTTGTGATCCCCCCACCTTGGCCTCCCAAAGTGCTGGGATTACAGGCGTGAGCCACCGCACCCGGCTGACTGAGGCCATTCTAAGGAATATACAGCAAGCTCTTCAGTACCCATTTTTGTTAACTGAGGTATAACTAAATGATACACAGGCCCGGCACAGTGGCATGAACCTATAGTCACAGCAACTTGGGAAGCTGAGGTGGGAGGATTGCTTGAGATCAGGAGTTTGAGTCCAGCCTGGGCAACACACGTGTATAGGTCTATGAGTCTGGAAGAATGTATATAGCCATGGAATCACTACCATGTCAAAACATAGGGTATTTCCATTATCCCAACAAGTTCCCTCCTGCCCCTCTGCAGTCAAACACTTCCCTCCCCCAACTCCTGGCAACTGCTGATCTGAACTGTAGACCTGAAAATGTCTTTCAGAACCCATTTCATCTGGACCCTTCTCTCTGTGTCAACATTGCTGTGAGCGGTGTCTGTGGGATTTTTCTGGACGTTCTCTGCCATGCCCCTGCTCCTTCCTTCCTGCCTTCTGGAAGGCACCCCTGCCAGGAGTCGGCTGCATTAAAGTGGGTGTTTCAGGGGTGTCTTCCTTTACTCTCTTCTCACTGATTTCCAGCTATCCCTGTGTCTCTTGTTTAATGAGTGCCTTCACCCATATCCTTAAACCCACCAGGGCGACCTTCCTGCCCCTTTCTTTGGAGCGCTGTATCTGTATTTCCAGTGGAGACACAGACTGTTCCTTAGATCCTATTAACCCTCCGAGCTCTCTCTCTTCAAGCCAGGCTCATTTCTGGCTTGGCCAATCTGCCTCCTCCCGTGTCCTTTCCATGACACGGTGATGGCATCACCAGCCAGTCACCAAGCTAGAACAGTCCCTTCACCCGGCCCCTACTGTAGGAGGATACTTTTAGAGTGTGTCTGCAATTCACCCCCACTCTCCGTATCTACTTCTGTGGCCAAAGTGTGGACCTTGATTTCCTCTGGCCCCAGCTGAATTAACCCACCTCTCTGGGCCTGGTTCTCTTTTCACTAAACATTCTCCACATTGCTGCCAGAGCTATTTTTCTAAAATACACGTCAGACCACATTCTTCTCCTCCTTATTTAAAAACAAAAAATAAAAAAAATAAAAAACCAAGAAACAAACAAAAAACCCACCCTACCGTGGCTCCTCAGTGTGTAGAGATCAGATTCAAGTTCCATGAGATGGTCTTCAAGATCCTTGGCCATGTGACCCCGTCCTGCTATCCCAATCCCATTCCCATTCCCATCCCCAGCCTCCCCACCTCATCCAACTCCAGCCACATTGGATCACCCCAGGAGAGGATGTCATGTATTAGTACTCTGGTGCCTTTGAGTCAAAACTCACTGTTTTGCCAGTTCAGAGGTTGAGCCCTTTTTGAAGAATCCCCTCTTCTTCCACAGCCCAGGTAAGTTCTACCCCAGGCATAATGAGCTGTTATCCCCCTGGGATCTGAGGGCATTCAGAATACCAACACAATGCTCTCCAGATACCTCTATGCTATTCAAATCCATGCATCTCACACCTGCTCATCTTAAAATCTCTGTGCCTCACATGCAGGAAGAATTCAAATGATGCTGATTGAAAAAACATTGTGTCCAATATTAGATGAAGTATGTAAATATCAAGGCAAGAATCTGCACTTTTTGTCTGTCTATTGCTTGTTTGCACAATAGAGCCACATGGTTTATTATAAAAAATTATTATAATGTATGCTGTTTAAGCTCAGATCACTTTGCACTAATGATGATGATAATGATGAGTTAGAATTTTTTTTCTTTTCTTGCCATGGGATCTGCCAGGTTTTAAGAATTCTTTTTTATTCTAAACCAAATTCAGGAGCACTCCCAAAGACAAGAAATCAAATTTAGGCCACTGATGGTACCAACGGAAGGCTATCACTGTGTAGCTATACAAAATGAAGCCAATCTTCATGGATTTTAAGCACTTTGATAAGCTTTTATATCTCTGTTCATCTCCTTTACCTCCATAGACAACACAAAATAACAGAATAATCAACCAATAGCAACGTAATCCCATCACAACAACATCAAAAATGAGAATTCATATGATTCAGTAATTTCCTAAGCCAGAACTTCCCACCTGATGTGCTGGGGAAGTGAGAGGGTGAGGACTGCTTTCCCCAGCCCTTGGGGTGACTGGGCAGATCCTGTCTGGTGTGAGCAGTCAACCCTACTGATTACATCATTTTGGGTGCTATGTGTGATAAAGGTTGACAACCACTGTCCTAAGCCATTCTACCATTTAAATAACAGACTGAATTCTCCCAAGTTATGTTCTTACTTGCCTTAGGAAGGAAATTAGTATTATGACTCTAAGGATCCTGAACACATGATCTAAAAAAAGAAAAACCCAAACCACAATGGCAAAGGTAGGTGAGACAGAGTGTTTAGAAAAATAGCGAATACTGTACTATTAATTACTCCCAATTCTCCCTAATCCATGATTTTTAAAGAGCGGGTGGAGCATAACGATTTGAGGCACTGCGACAATGCAGAATGGGGAGGGTTTTTGGAAAATGTGACTCATTCACCGTTCCGACCAAAGGGTAAATGAACCCAGCGTCTGTGCTGACCCGGACATCACTGATAGGTAAGATGAAGTCCCTTGGCACACCTTTTTTGTCAGGTTGGTGAGACAGAGAAAGGTCGGTCTTTGCCATGCAGATGGGCAAATTTCCAAAACCCTGTAAGAAAGGAAAGAAAATGTGTTCACTGATATAGATGTGAGTCTCCTATGTTTTTCAATTTGCACTTTATACAGTCTCGGCAGCAATGGTATGCCAGCTCAGATCTAGGCACACGCAGGAGCTGCTTGTTACTACTTGTTCACTGAACAAGCAAGAAGGTGAGGATAAAAACTCATCTCCATGTGATGACTGTTTAGTAGGTCAAGGGTGACTTTTGTTTATTTTGGAGGTTCTCGTTAAGAGAAGGCAGTGTTATGTGCATGTTTGGGAAAAACATTGCTATTTTCAGGCAAAGCAGCAGCTGTAGAAACCGCTTTCCAAGACTATTAATATCCGGGACCCAGCAAGGTAGTCTGGAGAAAGGCTCTGCGACTAGGCTCTTAGTCATGTTGTTCACTCATTCTGGAGTCAGTCAAGAAGCAAAGGGTTCCTTTGTGTTGGTTCATGAATCATGGTTATTTGATCTGCAACTACATTACAAGAACTAAGATGAGGTCACTATTTAAGCTTCTTGTTTTTAAGGACCAAAGTCTATGTCTGACCCAGAGTTCCAAAGGTGAAAGAGCAGGAAGTCACACGTGGTGTCTCACAAAAAGCACAGTGTCCTCGAAGCCTGTTTCTGATTAAATGGCACATAGTGTTCCTTTAGAGGCTTTGCTAATTCATTGCAACCACATACTTGGCACTAACTTTAAAAAAAATAAAAATAGAGATGGAGGTTTTGCTATGTTGCTCAGAGTGGTCTCAAACTCCTGGCTTCAACTGATCCTCTGCCTTGCCCCCACAAAGTGCTGGGATTAGAGGTGTGAGCACCGTGCCTGGTTGACACGACTTTTAAGGAGTATTTCCTTGATAGAGATAAAGGGAATGAAATCTTTAGTCAAATTTTCATAAGACTTAGCCTAAAACTATTTGGAAGATCTTAGAGTCTTAACTTAGGGAGGACTTGGGCTTGGGGCCATTTTCTTTTTGAAATCTCCACTCTTCTATACTGATAAGAATTTTGCTGAGTGAGAATCACAACTGCCTTTCAGAATGATGCCAGAATTTTGAATTTCAGACATGGTTAAATATTAAAGTAATTTCTATAGGTTTGCTAATGTAAAAATTTTGTCAGTAGGCATATTAAAAAGAAACAGAAACCAACCAGTATGCTATATACTGTCACCAGATTACTTCATAAAAGAAATAACATTTTAACACTGAAAGGAGAAAAGACTTAATATTACAATAAATGATAGTCTTAAATATCATTATTAAAAACTCAGGGGAAAAACAAACAAAGCAATCTCATGAGAATGACCTTATTTTACTTGGTTCATTGCACATGAATGAAAACTTCACCACAATGCCTAGGCACAGAGCAGTGCTTGGGAATCCTTTTTGTAAAGGGTAAGCCAAGAACATCAGGGAAAATTCTAAGAATTTAGAACTTTCTGAGTTCCTATTTTACCAAACCTAGGAGAACAAATACCCTGGCTGGCAATGGTAGCATTTAACAAAATTTCAAATGGGTTTACAAAAAAGAGTAAGGAGTTGGAGATTGTTTTTAAAGATAAGGTCAACACTACCAATCATGAAGCTCTTTAGCCAGCAGGCTCTTAAAATGTTCTGACTTCTATCTATCTGATTACACCAAAGTAGGAGGGACACTGGAGGCACATGGTCCTTTTGGTAAAAGTTGGCTGAGCCTCCTGTAATGGAGTTGATTCATCATGACTGTCACTGGACTAGGTGATGACACATGCTGTCAGATCATAGCCACCTTCCCAGCTGTTTGCCTACTTGCCTTTCTCAGTGGCTAGAGGTAGAAGATAATGGAGCCTTCAACCTCAGTGGACCAGCTCAGTAAAAAGCCAATGAACCGCTTGCATAAGAACAGCAAACATTCCCATCTTTATAGGCTGCACTCCTATCTGCCTACCCTGGCACCTTGCTAGCATTTTTAAGGTAGTAAGAGGCCTGTAAGGAAGAGGAAGCATTGCAATTCATCTAAATCTGACTCCGCAGCTCTACTCCAAAGGATAGTTTCAACATTCTGGGCTGAGTGGGAGGGATGAAAGATCACACATCACCTACAAACAGGGATACCACCCATATCAGACACATTTATAGTCACAGAAGTAAATGATGCATGGATCAGAGGATACATGCCTCACCATAAAGTTCTAAATATAGTCTGCACTCTACCCGAGGATATTACTTTCATCTTTGTTAACCAGAAAATAGATTAAGCAAAGGTTAGCTGGTGAGACATGTACAAATCCTCAAGTCAAGCTGAGTATTCTGAGAGCCTAAGGTGAATTTTTTCTTTTCCCTTAAAAGTACAACTTTTACCTGCTGAGTGTAACGATCTATTTTGACTTGTGCCTCAGGACAGAGTTCGATATCTTTGGCTCCACAGACAGCCTGGGCAATGGTCCTTATCTTGTCCACAATTGGAAGCTGCAGAAACACAAATTATAACAAAATTGTGTAAGTTTAATCTGGTTAAAGATTTTTTAAAAAGTTTAGTGACACTTACTGTAATTGCTTAAAATTCCCTTATCAGGGTACCCCCTCAGCAACTGCAGGATTCCTTGCAAACCCTCTTTTTTCCTTTTAGCACCCTAAAGCACTGAAATTTTCAGTGTCAGAATAGATCAGATGTCAAATAGCAAATAAGCCTTAGGTGTTCAGGCAATTTAGAGGCTGCTTAGAGCCCACGTAGAATCTGCAGAGGGAGGCCGGGCACAGTGGCTCACACCTATAATCCCAGTACTTTGGGAGGCGGAGGCGGGTGGATTACCTGAGGTCAGGAGTTCGAAACCAGCCTGACCAATATGGTGACACCCTGTCTTTACTAAAAATCCAAAAAAACTAGCTGGGCTTGGTGGTGCATGCCTGTAATCCCAGCTACTTGGGAGGCTGAGGCAGGAGAATCACTTGAACTGGGAGGCAGAGACTGTGGTGAGACAAGATTGTGCCACTGCACTCCAGCCTGGGTGGAGTGGGACTCCGTCTCAAAAAAAAAAAAAATCTGCAGAGGGAAGAGGGAAGTTAGTGCCTTACAGAGGGCTTCTGACTAGGAAGCCCCAGGACTGCGGCTGACCCCTTCCTCTCCCTGCCTCACCCCTGCAGAAAGATCTGCAGAAAAAGCTGGAAGGGGTGGGACGGTGTGTGTAGGGGTGGGGACTGGGGCTATGCAGTTTCCAGACCTGGTCTTTGGCACCCTCTACAGGACAGTTCCATTCCCACACCTGAGCTTTGGGCAACTGAATCCTATGCCCCTTCCCATCCATGGAACCTGGTGCCAGAAATTCCCAGGACTTACCCACTGTCCACCACGCCACATAGCAAGTGTCCTCAGTGTCTGCAGACCAGAAACAACTCCCTTGTGTCTCAGCACTTGGCCACCTGCTGAAACCCCAAACTGCCTGCCCCATTGTTTGAGACCCAGTCAGGCCTTGGCTCCAAAAGTCCTCTTGGACTGCCGCTGGCCCCCAGGGTCTCTCCTGACTGCACCTCGGTCCCAGAGCTCCCACGCCGCTGGGCCCCGAGCCCCATGCCCCGATCCAGCTGTGGCTCCTTTATGGGGGCTTTGCTGGCCTTTCCTAAGGGAGGTGTTTTCCCGAGGGCAGGTGGACTGCTCCTCAGACTAGGGGCCCTTGGAGGGCCAGGCCTGGGCTTCTACCTCCTCTCGCAGGCTGGTGTTTCTCTGCAAATATGGCTCGTGTGTCCTCCTTCCTCTCAGACTGGGGACCCCTGAGGACTGGGCCTGAGTTCCCCTCTCCCCCTTCAGAATGGGGGTTCCCTGAGGACTGACCCAGGGCTTCCCCCCGTCCCCTCCATCTGGCTGTTAATCTCCAACACTTCCACCTCCAGTCCTATTCTGCACAGCTCTCCCCAGCGCTGGGGGCTCAGAGGCCTCTTCAGCCTTCCCCAGGGCTGGGGCTCAGGGAGGGCTTCCTCAGGCCCTGGCCCCAGAGTCAGCCTGCACATTGGCTTGGAGGACAGGCCTTTCCTCTGGGACTGTGAGGCCCAGAGTGCCCACCCAGAACTCCACCTCTGACCTCACAAAGGCCTGCTTCAGAACTCGGTCTCCACGGCACTGCTGGCCGGACGAGGGATGTTATTTTGGGCAGTGCATCTGAACTTGGTTCAAGTGGCACCAGCCAAACCCCTGCCTTACTGACCTCTCCCCTGGAGGAGCAGGAGGAGCGCTCGAGGCCGCCCTGGGAGGGCTGAGAGGCAGGCTCTGGACTGGGGACACAGGGATAGCTGAGCCCCAGCTGGGGGTGGAAGCTGAGCCAGGGACAGTCACGGAGGAAGAAGATCAAGATGCGCTTTAACTGAGAAGCCCCCAAGGCAGAGGCTGAGAATCAGAAGACATTTCAGGAGAGTGAGTGGGGCTCCAGGCAGGGTGGGGATGGGGCAGCCTCCTCAGTGCCCAGATCTGGAAGGGCCATTCCCTGGGTACCATACAGTGAGGAGGTGACTGAGGGATTGTTTGGGGAAGGAGCCCTGGCTGGGAGTGGAAGTCCCGGCTTTCTTGTTATGGTGCAGTCCTGTGTTGCTGTGTGACACAGGCACATACACCTTCTCTCTGGGCCTCAGTTTCCTTACCTGTAAGTTGGTTGTTGGGAGGACCAGCAGTAGAGCAGAGATGGCAGGGATGCACTGGGCTGGACTATCAGCAGACCATGGGGGTGGGACGAAGAGAGAGCTGAAGACCACCAGCAGTGGACCACAGGGGGAGGCGTGCAGGCAGGAGACGGGTCAGCTGCCGGCTTGCTGGAGTCATTCCTCCCATGCAGTCCCCTCCTGAGGGGCTGGAGCTGGGGCTGGAGGGTTTCAGCAGTCAGGGCTGGAGATAAGAGTCTGTGCTGGAGCTAGAGGGAACTGGGCTAGATAATCAGGAGGACAGACAGGGTGAGGGGACTTCGGGCTACCTTCATGCTGTCAGAGATAAAGATAGGAGTACAAAGGGGAATTTTTGGGTGAGGTACACGGGTGAAATGAGTTTTCAGGGCCTCATCCTGTGTGTTCACCTTCTGTGTGTGTGTGTGTGTGTGTGCATGTGTGCATGTATGTGTGTGTGCAGGTCCTGGACAGTCGCAGCTTAAGTTAGCAGCAAGAGGGATTGAGGTTAAAGGTGTAGCACGCAAATATGAGGCTGGAGCCACTGAGTAGAGGCTGAGGGCATCTCCACAGTCCAAAGCTGGGCTGCAGACAGGGAAGGTCAGGAGGAGCACTGGAGGGTCTGGCCTGGGGTTGGGGTCCTGGGGCCAGCATGGGTGGGGTGGGGCTCCAGGACGTCACCTCATTGGCTGAGCACCACTCCTCCCTCCCTGTTGCTTGGCTGGGCTAAGGGAGTGGCACTAGCAGGAGCTGCCCCAGGGCTTCTCCCCTGGGGACCAAGGTCTGATGGAAGTGTGGGGCCAAGTTCTGTGTCCTCCAGCCCTAGTGACCTCTCTTTGGCTCCTCAGCATCTACAAATCTGAAGGACAAAACATGGTTCAAGCATCTGGGCACAGGCGGTAAGTACCCCACCCTCTTCTCACCCTCCAGCCCCCTGTCCTCCACCCAGCCCACTTCAGTGCCCTCCCTGCTCCATCCTCAGCCTCTCCCTTGGGGCAGCTGTCCCCCCTTGACCTCCTCCTCCCCACCCACCCACTCACCTCTGAGGTCCCAGAAGAAAAGCATCTTCCACCTGTTGCCTGGGCTGGGTCCTGGGGTGAGGGGAGGCTCAGAAATACTTGGATGAGGGTCAAGGCATGCAGGTGGCCTTCAACTCAACTGCACTCAGCACCTCTCACCCTCTCAGGCTCAGCTGTCTTTGGGGTGAAAAAGAGCCAGTCCTTGCAATGGCCAAGGCCCTGCCTATGTAGTCCTTGTTAGCTTTCTGACCTCCCCACTCCAGCCCCCTGCTCTCCCTCCTCCAGCCACACTGAGTTTCTTTTCTGTTTTTTTTTCTTTTTTTTTTTTTTTTTGAGATGGAATTCAGTTCTGTCACCCAGGCTGGAGTGCAATAGCACGATCTTGGGTCACTGCAACCTCCTTCTCCTGGGTTCAAGTGATTCTCTTGCCTTAGCCTCCTGAGTAGCTGGGATTACAGGATTACAGGCACACACTACCATGCCCAGCTAATTAGTTGTTGTTTTTTTTTTTTTGTATTTTTAGTAGAAATGGGGTTTCGCCATGTTCGCCAGGCTGTTCTTGAACTCCTGACCTCAGGTGATCCACCCGCCTCGGCCTCCCAAAAGGTTGGGATTACAGGTGTGAGCCACTGCACCTGGCCTCACACTGACTTTCTTTGCTTTCTTCAAACAAGCTGAGAGTCCTCTGGTGACTATTCCCTCCATCTGAGAGGCTTTCTGCAGTTAACATACAGCCCACTCTCATCTTCATGGCTTTGCTCCAAGGCCACCTTCTCAACAAGGATTACTCTGACTGCCCTATTTGAAATCACACCCCATCTCCAGCCCCTGCACTCCCAATTCCCCTCTCCTTGCTCTGTTTTTTTCCATAGGAGCTGGTACCTTCGCTTATACAAATGAACTTACTTATTACATTTCATTGCTGTCAGCTCCACACAAGCAGGGATATTTGCCTGTTGTATACTTGGACGGAGAGAATGAATAGTGCCCCTCTGTTGACATCATTGCCTCTAGCCTACGTCTCTTTCCAGGGCTTTAGATCCTGTTTCTAGAGACCCACTGGTGTCTCACAGGCAACTCAGCTCCTAGATGGAAACAGCCTCCTCCGCCCCCCACAAGTCCACTCCTCCTGTGCTCTTGGCTCAGTCAGGGGTCCCCTTCTCTTCAGTTGCTCAAGCCAGAAGTCAAGGTCATGTCCTTGATACTTCCCTCTCCCCCATGCCTCACATCCAGTCACCAATCTCCTAAAATATCTAGAATGTGCACAGCTTCCACCATTCTTTCTACCACCACCCTACTCCCCCATGGCCATGTCAGGCCACCACCCGCCCATTCTTCAAAACTCCCTTCAGTCCTCACCTCCCATGCCTCCCCTGAGCTCCCCCAGTCCCAGGCTGCTTCTCTCTGGTGGTGTTGCCATTACCCATCTCTTCTATTAAACAGAGTGACCCAAGAGTGGAGAGTGGGTTTTGACTTTGTATCCCTGGTGCTTGACTCATAAGTAGGTGCTCAACAAAAATTTTTTCTTTTTTTGAGATGGAGTCTTGTTCTGTTGCCCATGCTGAAGTGCAGTGGCATGATCTCGGCTCACTGCAACTTCTGCTTCTTGGGCTCAAGTGATTCTCACGTCTCAGCCCCCACCCCAGCTGGGATTACAGGCACCTACCACCACGCCCAGCTAATTTTTTTTTTTTATTTTTAGTGGAAATGGGGTTCTGCCATGTTGGCCAGGCTGGTCTTGAACTCCTGACCTCAAGTGATCCACCTGCCTCGGCCTCCTAAAGTGTTGGGATTACAGGCATGAGTCACCATGCCTGGCCAACAAATGTTTGTTGAATGAAGAAATGTTGGTTAGCAGGTTGAATTGTTGGCTCGTGGTTAGTTGGATAGTTTATGGTTGACTGGTTGATTAGATAATTCAATGAGTTAATAGCTGGTTAACAGGAGAATCAGTTAGTTGGTTTTTGATAGGTTAGTCAAAGGGTTAGTAAGCCACCGGGCATGGTGGCTCACGCCTGAAATCCCTGCACCTTGGGAGGCTGAGGCTGGAGGATTGCTTGAGTCCAGGAGTTTGGGACCAGCTTGGGTAACATGGCAAAACCCCATCTCTACAAAAAATAAGAAAAAATAGCCGGTCATGGTGGCATGCTCCTGTAGTCCCAACTACTTGGGAGGCTGAGGTGGGAGGATCACTTGAACCCTGGGAAGTCTAGGCTTCAGTGAGCTTTGACTGTGCCACTGCACTTCAGCCTGGGTGACAGAGTGAGACCCTGTCTCAAAAAAAAAAAAAAAAAAAAAAAAGAAAGAAAAAGAAAAGAAACAGGCGTTAGTGAGTTGTTAGCTATTTAGTTCCTTGGTTAGCAGATTACTTAGGGGATCTGGTTGGCTGTCAGTTTCTTGCTTTGTAGGCTGGCTTTCTTGGGCCCCTCTTCTTAGTCTGTACCCTCTCCTTGAGCTCTCTCATCTATGCCCATGGCTCAGATGACAATCTGTGATTTGCTGTCCTCCAAATGTGTCTGTAAGTGAGACCACATGACCAGCTGCCTCCTCACTGGCCATCCCACCCAAGTGTCTAGCGGGCTCCTCACACTCAACATGTCCAGAAAGGGCCTCCTTGTCCATTCTCCCACAGCTTCTCTGCTGTGCCCCACGCTAGTCATTCCGCTGCCCTAGCCAGGACCTGAGGGCATCGCTGAGCTGCCCCGCTCCCTTCCCTCTCTAACCGAACACCAAGCCTGTCAGCTTGACTGTGCTCTTGTGGCCATTGGCACTGCCATCTCTGTGGCTCAGGCTGCCACCACTTCTCCACCCATCTGTGGAGAAGCTGATGCTCACCCTGCCTCCACTCCACTTCCTCCATCCTGGCCTCCGCAGGGGAGGCAGCTCTCCTGCTGAAATCCTCCACTTGGCCCATGGCCCTCTGGTAGAGTTCAGACTCCCTAATGTGGGCCATGAGGCCTTCTGCCACCTGGCTCTGGCCCCTCTCTGCCCATCTCATGCCACCTCCACTCCTCCGTGGCCAGCCCATTCCTGCACATTGGATACTGCCTTAGTTGCAGGCCTTTGCACATGTCAGTCCTACGCCCAGAGTGATCCCTGCCTCCCTGGAGGCTCCTTTACCCTCCAGCCTTCTTTTCTTGACCTAAATTTCTCTTTCTCTGGGAGCCTCCTACCCCCTCCTCTAGGCCATTCACTTCCTCCACATGCCCCACAGTGCCCACTCTTTCAGCTGGGGCAATGCTCATCACACTGCATAGTAATTGCTCAATTGATTGCTTTTCTTCCCACGGGCTGGATTGTACCAGTGTCCTTTACTGCAGTGACTGAACATTCTAGGCATAGTGGATTCAAGAAATCTTGAGTTCATTGGCTGGTTGGTGGTTATCTGTTGCTTACTGTGTCTTGCCTGCTGTGTGGTGATGAGGAAGGAGCCAGGCTTCCAGGACTCTCTTGGTGTTCTTGTCTTTCTGCTCTGTCCACTTCTCTCTCCTCTTCTGTGGTTACCTCCAGCATGGGAGGTGGGGTTGGATGGGAGCCAGTGGAGGGTCACCTCGCCCTGCTAGGGAGAGCAGCAGCATTCCTCAGGGCTCCTAAATTCCCCTGACCTCGCAGCAGCAAAAAGTAAGCAGAGGGAATGAGAGACGTCCAGGCATGGAACAAAACATCTTCCACTTTTCAGCTGAGACCCTCTGTTCATAGCTCACCCATCCCAGTCCTTGCTGTATTCCTTACCCCAGAGAAACAAAACCAGGGATGAGTAGATTGAGGGGGATGCAGAGTTGCGTGGATATTCCACTGGCCCCCATCCAACTCCAGCTCCCATGCAGCATCGTATAGGGATCTCATTATCCCATGACCAGCCTCCTCAGCCCTGAAGAAGAGACCCTACCAATGCAAGCAGCAGCCCAAAGACAGTCCTGGGAAGGTACCATAGAGGCAGGGGAGAGGTAGACAGAGCAGGGAGCCAAGAACACCAAGGGAATCCTGGAAGCCTGGCTCCTTTCTCATCAGCACAGAGCAGGCAACAACCAGCCAAGGAACCAAAGATTTATTGAATCTACTATGCTTACTATGTTCAGGCACTGCAGTGAAGCAAACTGGTATGATCCCAGCCCTTAGGAAGAAAAACTGTTAATTAATTAAGCTTTTTTTTTTTTTTTTTTTTTTTTTTTTTGAGACAGGGTTTCGCTCTGTCACCCACGCTGGAGTGCAGTGGTGTGATCTCAGCTCACTGCAACCTCTGCCTTCTGGGCTCAGGCAATCCTCTCACATCAGCCTCCCCATTAGCTGGAACCACAGGCATACACCACAACACCTGACTAATTTTTGTATTTTTTTTTCGTAGAGATGAGGTTTTGTCATACTGCCCAGGCTGGTCTTGAACTCCTGGGCTCAAGCGATCAGCTCGCCTCGGCAAGTGCTGGGATTACAGGCGTGAGCCACTGTGCCTGGCCTAACTGAGCAATTACTATGCATTGTGATGAGCATTGCCCCAGCTGAAAGAGTGGGCACCATGGGGCATGTGGAAGAAGTGAATGGCCTAGAGGAGAGGGTAGGAGGCTCTCCCAGAGAAAGGGAAATTTAGGTCAAGAAAAGAAGGCTGGCGGGTAAAGGAGCCTCTGGGGAGGCAGGAGACCATTCTCGGTGTAGGACTGGCATGTGCAAAGGCCTGCAGCTAAGGCAGTACGTGATGTGCAAGGATGGGCTGGCCAGAGGAGTTGAGGGGCTGGTGTCAGCTTCCGGGCATGCAGACAGTGAGATAGCAGAGTGACTAAGGCCACACTTAGAGGTATCTGTATCCCTCCTCTTCCTCTTTTTTTTTTTTTTTTTTTTTTGAGATGGAGTCTCGCTCTTGTTGCCCAGGCTGGAGTGCAGTGGCAAGATCTCGGCTCACTGCAACCTCCATCTCCCATGTTCAAGTGATTCTCCTGCCTCAGCCTCCGAAGTAGCTGGGATTACAGGCATGTGCCACCACGCCTGGCTAATTTTGTATTTTTTAGTAGAGATGGAGTTTCTCTATGTTGTTCAGGCTGGTCTCGAACTCCCAACCTCAGGTGATCTGCCCACCTTGGCCTCCCAAAGTGCTGGGATTATAGGCGTGAGCTACCGGGCCCAGCCCCTCTTCTTCCTCTTTATCCTCCAGTCCCACCCCGCCACCTTCCCCAAACTCCAGTCCTATACGTCTCCCTATATGCAGATTTGGGCCCTGTTACTCACCTGTTTCATCTACCTTTCCATCTAACCATGCACTTAACTAAATATAAATCAAGTGCCAGGCCCTTTGGGAAGCTCTGAGGATCTAGTTGAGAGTAAGACAGATTCCCCAGTTTTCACTCATTCAACAAATATTTATTCACATCTACTATGTGCCTGGCATGGTGCTGGGCACTGAAGATACACCAGGAAGTAGATCCAGTCCTTCCTTTTCTCCCTCCCTCTCTCTTGGTCATTCATTCATTCACTCACTCTCTCACAAACCTCTGTTTGCACTGACCTGGTTGCACAGCCTCATGCATTTTGCTGACCCCTTCATTTTTGACAGAACCTGGCACATGTTTCAGCACTCAGTGCTGTTTACAGAGCTCGGCAGCAGACTTTGTCACACCTCATGCTGTTTGTAGAGTGCCTCACTGTTGCCAGGCCCTGGCCTGTGACCCCAAAGTTCTGGCTCTAGCAGATAGGCAGACAGACAGATGGACAGACATAGACAACTGAGCTCTACTTTCCAGCCTGCTCTCTCCCACCCTGCTTTTTCCCAGAGGCTTGTTGGCACCGTGGATTGCACTTTCAGCTCCCCACTTGCCCGTCTGCAAAGTGGCCTCATTGGTGTGCCATTTTTACTGGTCTAGTCCCAACTAGAAGGGGCATGGCCTGGCCATCTACCCCAGTTCCTCTCCATGTCCCCATGGCTCTCAAGTGTCTCCAATTCCAGCTGTCCCAGCTGCCCCGGGCAAGAGGAGGCGTGTGTGGCGAGGCTGCTGGGTTACCTATTAACTCAGCTGTGAGTTGAAGAGCCGATGGGCAGCAGGCAAACTTGAGTCTCCTTTCTGTCCCTGGGCTCGGGCCACTGTCTCAGGTCCACCCGTGGCTCCAAAATGGTCTCCTGGTCCGTGATAGCAAAGATCCAGGAAATATGGTGCGAGGAAGATGAGAGGAAGATGGTGCGAGAGTTCTTGGCCGAGTTCATGAGCACATATGTCATGATGGTGAGTGGGTGGGCAGCACGAAGTGGGTGGGGCTCCACCAGGGCTGTCCATGACCCCCTCCCCATGCTGACCCCATGGGTCACATTGTCCATTCCTTGCCTCTGAGCTGGGAGCCTGGGGAAGCAGTGAGGAAAGTAAGGAGTGGGGGCTTTCTCATCAAGTCTTTTTGGACAGAAAGGGCTCATAATATGTGGGGGTCAAATGAAACCATGCACTGGGGTATCCGGGGCACGGCTGGAAATGGGGAGAAGGGAAACCCAGAGTAAAGATATTGAAGAGGCCCAGGTGCAATGGCTCATGCCTGTAATTCCAGCACTTTGGGAGGCTTAGGCAGGTGGATCACCTGAAGTCAGGAGTTCGAAACCAGCCTGGCCAACATGGTGAAACCCCATCTCTACTAAAAATACAAAAATTAGCTGGGCATGGTGGCGGACTCCTGTAATCTCAGTTATTCAGGAGGCTGAGGCAGGAGAATCACTTGAGCCCAGGAGGTGGAGGTTGCAGTGAGCTGAGATCACACCATTGCACTCCAGCCTGGGTGACAGGAGCGAAACTCTGTCTCAAAAAGAAAAAAAAGAAAAAAAAAGAGAGAGAGATTGAAGAGAAACTTGATGATTGGGCTCTGATAATGAATCTGGAGGGCAATGGGTGATGTTGAAGGCTGGCAAGCAGGGGAGTGACATGATCAGATTTGGATTTTAAAGGTAATTTTGGGTGCAGTGTGGAGCATAAGCAGGACAGGCAAGGCTGGCAAGAGGGAACAAGTTAAGAGGCTGTTTTTGATCTGGGACAGAGAGAGGGTGATGACTGATCTGGGGTTGGAGAAGAAAGCACATGTTTGAGAGGGCTGTGGAAGATGGAATCGGGGAGACTCTGCCAGCAGAAGATGTGGGCAAAGCGCCGATGAGCTGTTCTGGAGCACGGGGCCCAGCACAGGGTGAGAGGCAAGATGCCTGTGGGGAAATCCAGGAGATAGTTAAACACAGGCAAGGGGCTGGAGCTCAGGAGAGGCTTGGTCTGGAAGGAAAAAGTTGAAGTTCATCACAACACAGGTGGTGGTTGTCAACACTCTCTAGAAGGAGTGTACAGAAAGAGAAAAGGATGGTTTGAGGACAGAGCCCTGAGGAATGAAGAGGGGCATGCAAAGGAGCCTGAGAAGGAACGGTCAGAGAGGTGTGAGGAGAACCAGAGCTGACTGCATGACAGAGGGGGGCAGTGGTTCCACCAGGAAGAAGCCGTCAGCGGCATGGGCAGCGGCAGATGGGCCACGCAAGGTGAGCACTGGCAAGAGGCCTTAGGGTTTGGCAACGTGGAGGTTGCTGGTAACCTTGACAAGGGTTCTTCTTTAGTGTGTGATTGGGACAGTATCCAGACTGCAGGCAGGATGTGAGGTTGCTCCCTCTCCACCTGCTTCAGCCCTGCCACTTACCCCAGTGAGCCTCTGCCCTTAACATGACTGTAGCCATGTTTATTGCATCTTATGCAGGGTCCAGGGTCTAGAAAAAGAAGGGGCAGCCTCTGGGAAGGGAGGCAAAGGCAGCCAGGTGCATGGCTAGAGGAAGGTGGGGTGACAGAGGCTGTTTGTGTGTGTGGTGGGGCCCATGGAGCTCAAGGGAGAGAGGAAATCGGAACACCAGGGTTCTTAGCCTGACCCTGCCACTGAGTGACCAGTTGGCCTTGGGCAGGTCTCTCCCTGGCTTAAAGCCTGACTTCTCACTTATATTGTGTAGAATTAGACCTTCGTGGGCTTTGGAGCTGTGTTTGAATCCTAGCTCTGTTATCTTCTAGCTGTGCGACTATCCACAAGTATCTTAACTGTTCACAAATTTAGCTTTCTTGTTTTTGAGACAGGGTCTCACTCTGTCTCCTAGGATGGATTGCAGTGGTACGATCTCAGCTCACTGCAGCCCCCACCTCCCATACTCAAGTGACTCTCTTGCCTCAGCCTCTTGAGTAGCTGGGACTACAGGCACGTGCCACTGTGCTCAGCTAATTTTTCTATTTTTAGTAGAGATGGGGTTTCACCGTGTTGGCCAGACTGGTCTCGAACTCCCGAATTCAGGTGACCTTCCTGCCTCGGCCTCCCAAAGTGCTGGGATTGCTGGCGTGAGTCACCTCGCCTGGCCCACAACTTTAGCTTCCTTATTGGTTAACAGGAGGACTTGTGTGAAGAAGGCCAAGTCTCAGCACCCAGTGTGGTACCCATGTATTGCTCCCTTGTTATTAGGACGGGTGCTCTAGCTGCTGTCTCCTCTCTGCCTCTGGCCCTCCCCTACTCCTCTCTTACCTCCCCACCTGCTTTGGCTCCTGAGCTGTGAGGACAGCAGTTGGATCCTGTCCCTCCTTAATCCAGGGCAAAGTAATTCACTTACCACAAGACATTCCAGCCCCATGAGGGCTGTTAACCCTTGGAACCTCAGAAGCAGGAGGGTGCATCCTCTGAGAGCTGTTAGGGAAATAGGCACTGCCCACATGCTTGATACCTGCCCACATCTGTGTTTCTCTTCCTTTTGTTGAGATTTTCATTGAGCACCTAATGCATCCCGGGCTCTGTGATGCTAAGCCCCTTATGTGCAGCATCTTCCCAAATCCATGCAATAGCCCTGTGAAGTAGGTACTATTATTATCCAAGTTTCACAGATGGGAAAACTGAGGCTCCTTGAGACTAAGCCTTTTGCCCAAGGTCACACTTTAAGTCAAGATTAAATCCAGTGCAGTCTAATATCACAGTCTTTTTTGTTTTTTTTTTTTTGTTTTTTTTTTGAGATACAGTCTTCCTTTGTCGCAGTGGTGCAATCTCGGCTCACTGCAACCTCCACCTCCCGGGTTCAAGCGATTCTTGCATCTCAGCCTCTGGAGTAGCTGGAATTACAGGTGCATGCCACCATGCCCAGCCAATTTTTGTATTTTTAGGAAATACAAGGTTTCACCATGTTGTCAAGGCTGGTCTTGAACTCCTGACTTCAAGTGATCCTCCCACCTCGGCCTCCCAAAGTGCTGGGATTACAGGCATGAGTCACCGTGCCCAGCCCAATATCACAGTCTTGACCCTTAACCTCTATGCTCTGTACCTTAGCTTAAATATTGACAGCTTTTAAAGACTGGCTTGTTAATGCTCCCCCAGCCAGGGTAAGGTCCTCACTTTCAGGTAGTTCAAGTTGCCTCTCTCAGCCTCAGTTTCCCCATTTATAGAGTGGGAGAAAAATTCTTGCTGTGCAGATTTGTTGTGAGGATTGAAGACAGTAGCACTTGTAAAAGAACTTTGTGAGGTGTAAGCCTATATCGGATATTGTGTTGTTGTTATTTTTAGTTGCCAGGCTGTGCCAAGAAGTGAGGGCTTTTTTTTAAAAATATATATATAGGAATCTCAGTGAGTCACCAGGGTGAAGGTTTTGCCAAAAAAGCTAGTGTGACCTTGGCCCCATTTATTGCAGCCAGGACGAGGGAAGTGGATTGATCCGTGTTGCAGCTTCCAGGGGTGTTGCCCTTGGAGCTGGCCTCCTGGCTGTGGGGGAGAGTTGGATGGGCTGGGCCACATTCACTGATCAGGGAGAGGAGGGGCTGGAGCCATCCGGGCCCTGGAAAACCAGCCATACACGTGAGACACGGGGCAAGGGTTGTAGATCACATGCTATGGGGGCCAAGAGAGCAGCAACTCTGGGCGGTGGGGACTTTGGCTGGCTGCAGAGTGCCAATCTGTGCAAAGCTGTATAGCTGCCGCCACTCCAGCTGACTGTTGTCATGGAGGGTGGAATGCAGGCCAGTGTTGCCTGAGCTGCTCATTTTTCAAGAGAGACGGAAACTTCTGTTCTTCAAAACCAAGTTATCTAAACAAAACCTGTGCCCTGGATGAATTACGTGCATGAGTTGCCAGTTGGCAGCCCTGACACAGGGAATCATGTGGGGTTCATTCACTCACCCAGTATTTTATTTTATTTATTTATTTATTTTGAGACAGAGTCTGACCCTGTTGCCCAGGCTGGAGTGCAGTGGTGTGATCTCAGCTCACTGCTCTGCCTCCCAGGTTCAAGTGATTCTCCTGCCTCAGCCTCCCGAGTAGCTGGGATTACAGGCATGTGCCACCACACCTGGCTAATTTTTTGTATCTTTAGTAGAGACGGGGTTTCACCATGTTGGCTAGGCAGGTCTCGAACTCCTGACCTCATGATTGGCCTGCCTCGGTCTCCCAAAGTGCTGGGATTACAGGCGTGAGCCAACACACCTGGCCTATGCTCATCCAGTATTTTTAGCACATGGTATTGGAATGCGGGAAAGGCCATGGGGGCCCCTCTGTTTTCAGACCCTCCATGCCTCCTCCAGTCCCTCTACCTCTTGACCCTGCTAGCCTGTCAACCTGTCCTGACCTCACTCCCCCCGGCACCCCCATCTGTTCCTGTCCTCTCCTGCTGTATCTTATCCTGGATCCAAAGCCAGCCCAGCTCTGGGCTCCCCTGCTTCTGTCCTGGGGCTTCTGAGGGACCCAGTGGGCCCTGCTCAGCTGCCTCTCCCCCACCATATCTGGGCTATTTCACATTTTCTCAGACATCCCCAAAGCTGCTCTGTACTCTGACTTTTTTTTTTTAAATCAGCAAATGGCTTGATCTGCTGCTTGATAGGTAAAATAATCAACACTTCATATGTTCAGCTCACCCTCTTGTCCCTCTTGCCACCAGACCCATTAACCACCCGTGTATCCACATATCACCCCTTGGCTGGGGCGGGGTCCTCTCCTTCCTGGAGGACCCCTCCACTTCTGCACCAATCCAGCTGTCCAGCCTATTCAGGTACTTTACTCTGTCCTTTTTCTCTGTCCTTTATCTTCAGCCCGTCCCTCTCTCAGCGTATAAACATACTGAAGTTTCTCCACTGAAAACAACACAAAATGAAACATCCCTCCCTTCACCCTGTCAGCCCCTTCACGGGATCATGTTCTCTCTTCCCCGCTCCTCAGGCAAGTTCTCGAAGAGGAGTCTACACTGGTGCCTTTCAACTCTTTTTTTTTTCTTTTTTTTTTCTTTTTTTTGAGATGGAGTCTTGCTCTGTCGCCCAGGCTGGAGTGCAGTGGCGTGATCTCGGATCACTGCAAGCTCCGCCTCCTGGGTTCAAGCAATTCTCCTGTCTCAGCCTCCTGAGTAGCTGGGATTACAGGCAAGCACCACCACGCCTGGCTAATTTTTGTATTATTAGTAGAGACGGGGTTTTGTCATGCTGGTCTTGAACTCCTGACCTAAAGTGATCCATCCACCTCGGCCTCCCAAAGTGCTGGGATTACAGGCATGAGCCACCGCACCCAGCCTGGTCTGCCTTCTTACCCTGTACCCTCTCCTGGGGCCTTCTCCTCTGACGGCTTTGACTTCGGCCCTTATGTCTACAATTCTTCAGGTTTTTTCCTTTATCAACTCTAGAACAGAGTTCTCCAGGGGAAATACAATGCAAACCATCTGTATAATTTAAATTTTTCTAGTATCCACATTAAAAAGGTAAAAAGCAACAGGTGAAATTAATTTTAATAATTAACCCATATATCCAAAATCCTATTTCAAGATGCAGTCAATGTAAAATTATTAGGATATTCTGGCCAGGCATGGTGGCTCACACCTGTAATCCCAGCACTCTGGGAGGCTGAGGTGAGAGGATTGCTTAAGGCCAGGAGCTCAAGACCAGCCCGGGCAACATAGTGAAACCTCATCTCTACACAAAATAAATTGAAAAAATTAGCTGGGATAGGGCTCAATGGCTCATGCCTGTAATCCCAGCACTTTGGGAGGCCAAGGCAGGCTGATCATATGAGGTCAGGTGTTTGAGACCAGTCTGGCCAACATCGTGAAACCCTGTCTCTACTAAAAATACAAAAAAATAGTTGGGCATGGTGGCGTGCACCTACAATCTCAACTACTCGGGAGGCTAAGGCAGGAGAATCACTTGAACCCGGGAGTTGGAGGTTGCGGTGAGCCGAGATTGCACCATTGCACTCCGGCTTGGGCAACAGAGCAAGACTGTCTCAAAAAAAAAAAAAAAAAAAATTGGCTGCGTGCCGAGGCACATGCCCATAGTCCCAACTACTTGAGAGGCTGAGGTGGGAGGATCACTTGAGCCAAGGAGATGGAGGCTGCAATGAGCCCTGATCATGGCACTGCACTCCAGCCTGGGTGATAGAGCAAAACCCTATCTCAAGCATCAAACAAACAAACAAATAAAACAGAGGCACAAGAAAGCAAGGCATGCATGGAGCAGCGCAGTCGTTTGGTTTGAGGCCATCTGGCACAGGTAACTGCCTGGATTTAATCCTGGCTCACCATGTACAGGCTGTGTGACCTTGGACAAGCCATTCAAGTTCTCTAAGCTTCAGATTACCCATCTGTCAAGTAGGGGAGAATAATAGTGCTTAACTATCATTTGCAACATCTGAGTTTCTGGCTCGGCCAACGGGGATGGGGAACATAGAGTGAGGAGCAGGTGTGCTGTGAGATGGCAAACCTTCAACAGAGCCTGAGACGCCCACGGAACACCAGGAGAGTTCCAATGGGGATTTGCAAATAGGCATCTGGCTCCCCCACAGAGGTGACGGGAATTTTAGCGCATCAGGCATAGCTGAAACTGTCTACGTGGTAAAACCATGCCTGAAAAGACCTTTGGAAAATCAGGAGGTTGCTGGAGCCCTTGGAGAGAGCTTTGGTGTCTGTGACATGTGGAAGTGGAAGCCAGATTGAGGAGGGGGTGCGAGGGAAGGGGTGAAGCAGCTGGCCAGTGTGTTCTCTCCTGCAGCATGACTGAAACAGGGAGGGGGCAACCAGGAACCCACAGCTGGAGAAGGACGCTGGGCAGGGGTGGGACAGTTTGCTGGGAAGGATGAGACTCCAGTGTGTGGGAGCTGATCAATGGGAGAATGGAAGGTATGGGGGAGACGGAGGCCTCTGCAGAGGGAGAGGATAGCACAGGAGCCAGGACTGAAGGGAACAGTGGCTCTAGACTGAGGGTAATGGGCCTGAAGGTAGGCCCCTTCCCCTGTGAAGGCGGCATTATCTGAGGAGCCGTGAGGGATGGGCAGCAACAGCTTGGGAATGCCGCCTGAGGTCAGTGGAAATGAAGCTGAGGGCAAGACAGTTAGGGCCCCACTGTTCCAGCATTGTGGGAATTGCGGCGGAGTGTGTGTGTGTGTGTGTGTGTGTGTGTGTGTGTGCAGGGAAGGGTTCCTGGCAGAGTCAGGTGTGGATGGATTTGGAGGTCCCTTGAAGAAACTTCCTTCAGGTCAGCCTGAAGTGTGAGGGACTCTGAGGGGGTGCAATGCATGCCAGCCATCCCCTCCTTGCAGCCCTGCCTCACCCCAAAACTTCAGGTGGGCCTGGGGCTGAGGTGCTTGGATGTTTGTCGTAAGAGCTTCTAACTCTGCTGCTCCACCCGGCTCTCAGTGGCTCAGGACTGAGAGGCCTCAGCAGGGGCAAGGAGAGGAGGCAGTGAGGAGGGAAGGCTCTGGAGGAAGAGGGCGTGGCAGAGGGTCTTCCAGGCAATGCCAGGGAGGCCCAGGGCATGGGGGTGAGGAGCTAGAACTGAGCTCTGAGCCCTCCTCTGAGGTTGGGGCTTCTGGGCAGGCAGCCCCCTTAGAGGCCCTCCCTTGTAGGTATTCGGCCTTGGTTCTGTGGCCCATATGGTTCTAAATAAAACATATGGGAGCTACCTTGGTGTCAACTTGGGTTTTGGCTTCGGGGTCACCATGGGAGTCCACGTGGCAGGCCGCATCTCTGGTGAGTGAGCCCAGGGCCTACCAGACTGGGCAAGACCAGGTGTCCCCAACAGGCTCTTTCCTGCCCACCTCAGCCAGCTCCTTTCCCAGCACAGCCAGTGCCTCAGCCTGGCCACCGGGCAGGAGGAAGTCTCCTCTGAACCCCGTGCCTATGACTTGTCTGCCCCAGATTCTTTCTGGGCCCCCCTGACCTACCATTTTCACTGGCTGGGTCATCTTAGGCAAGCCATCGCCTTCTGTGTTCCTCAGTTTCCTTAAGAGTGAAGGTGGCCCCTGCCTCACGGGGTGGTTGTGAGGGCTCAAG
This sequence comes from Homo sapiens, assembly GCF_000001405.40. Classification (NCBI taxonomy): domain Eukaryota; kingdom Metazoa; phylum Chordata; class Mammalia; order Primates; family Hominidae; genus Homo; species Homo sapiens. The sequence continues at coordinate 94,602,919 of NC_000002.12, forward strand.
GAGAGAGCTCTGTCACAGAGCATGCTGTCATACACACTAGCCATCGTTGTTCTCATACTGTTTGTCACTGTTGTTTGTTCTGCTCTCACTCCCTGACACACTTGCCTGCTGCCCGCAGGAGCCCACATGAATGCAGCTGTGACCTTCACTAACTGTGCGCTGGGCCGCGTGCCCTGGAGGAAGTTTCCAGTCCATGTGCTGGGGCAGTTCCTGGGCTCCTTCCTGGCAGCTGCCACCATCTACAGTCTCTTCTACAGCAAGTGTGCTGCCTGGGTGTCCACCTCTGGCCTCAGCCGCCTCCTATGAAATATGGGCAGATTGGACCTCAGTGTCCTGATTTGTAAAAAATAGCTGGGAGAAAAAAGCCTTGGAGCTCCCCCACCCTCTAACCTATAACCTCATTTCTGGGACCCCAGTGGGGCTTAGTTGGGGGCAGGTTCGCATGATAGTCTGTGTCTCCGCAGCGGCCATTCTCCACTTTTCGGGTGGAGAGCTGATGGTGACCGGTCCCTTTGCTACAGCTGGCATTTTTGCCACCTACCTTCCTGATCACATGACATTGTGGCGGGGCTTCCTGAATGAGGTCAGTGGTCCAGGATGAGTACCCCTCCCCCTGCCCTCCACCCCTCAGGACAGAGCCAGCAGGGAGTCCCTCCAGATAGACAGGACAAGAACTCTGGATGGAGACTGTACTGAGACGTCTCTCTGCTGGTGGGCTTGGGTCTGGGCCACTGCCGATGTCCTGTGGCTTGGGGAGGGGCCCAGGTGAGCTGCCACAGCATCTGCTCCTCAGGAGTGGCTGACCAGGATGCTCCAGCTGTGTCTCTTCACCATCACGGACCAGGAGAACAACCCAGCACTGCCAGGAACACACGCGCTGGTGATAAGCATCCTCGTGGTCATCATCAGGGTGTCCCATGGCATAAACACAGGATATGCCATCAATCCATCCCGGGACCCGCCCCCCAGCATCTTCACCTTCATTGCTGGCTGGGGCAAACAGGTCTTCAGGTACTGCCCCTGCCCAGGCCCATTCCTTTGAGTTTTTCTGTGGAGCTCCTGTGTGTTGAGGGGTGGGGGGTGATGTGAGGGGCAGCACAGGAGGGTCCTGCAGAGCCCCCAGGTGGCCTGGGGAGCAGGAGTGAGTCCCAACATTTCCCCAGGCCAGTACAGATACAGATCCTGCACCTGCACTGAGTATCAACCCTGTCCCTGAATCGGGCTGAGGCTGACCAGGGCCCTGGGTTGGGGGTGTTTCCTGGGGTAGCCTGGGGATGACTCCTCTGCTCAACCAGTCTTCGCCCAAGGTGGATGAGGGTGCTGTCCTGGGCATCAGCCCCCTCAGCAGGCCTCTGCCTCTTGCCTGCAGCGATGGGGAGAACTGGTGGTGGGTGCCAGTGGTGGCACCACTTCTGGGTGCCTCTCTAGGTGGCATCATCTACCTGGTCTTCATTGGCTCCACCATCCCACGGGAGCCCCTGAAATTGGAGGACTCTGTGGCGTATGAAGACCACGGGATAACCGTATTGCCCAAGATGGGATCTCATGAACCCATGATCTCTCCCCTCACCCTCATCTCCGTGAGCCTTGCCAACAGATCTTCAGTCCACTCTGCCCCACCCTTACATGAATCCATGGCCCTAGAGCACTTCTAAGCAGAGATTATTTGTGATCCCATCCCTTCCCCAATAAAGCAAAGCTTGTCCCACAGCAGTACCCCCACTTCCTGGGGGCCTCCTGTGGTTGGGCTTCCCTCCTGGGTTCTTCCAGGAGCTCTAGGGCTATGTCTTAGCCCAAGGTGTAGAGGTGAGGTGCCTCAAGTCTTTCATGCCCTGGGAACTGGGGTGCCCCAGGGGGAGAATGGGGAAGAGCTGACCTGCGCCCTCAGTAGGAACAAGGTGAGATGAAAGAATGACAGAAACAGAATGAGGGATTTTCAGGCAAGGGGGAAGGAAGGGCGGTTTTGGTGAAAGGACCGTAGCTGACTGGTGGGGGGCTGGCTTTGGAAATAATTTGAGGGGATCCTGAGATTGGACTCTAGACTCTCCCCTGGTTCTTCCCTTCCCCGAGTTCTGGCCGGTTCTTGGACCAGACAAGGCAAGGCCCAAGAAGGTAGATCAGAATTTTTTAGCCTTTTTTCATTAGTGCCTTCCCTAGTATTCTTCTAGATTTTTTTTTTCTTAATCACATGAAATTTTAATACCACAGATATACTATATATCTGTTTATGTTCTGTATATGTTCTGTGCTTTATACGTAAAAAAGAGTAAGATTTTTTTTCACCTCCCCTTTTAAGAATCAGTTTTAATTCCATTGAGAATGCTTGTTATAGATTGAAGGCTGGTAAGGGGTTGGGCTCCTCTTTCTTCTTCCTGGTGCCAGAGTGCTCCCACATGAAGGAATAGGAAAGGAAGATGCAAAGAGGGAAATCCTTCGAACACATGAAGACACAGGAAGAGGCCTCATAGGCCTCCAAGGGCTCCAGGGAAGCAGCTGCAGAGGTTGGGTGGGGTGGGGGGCCAGGATCCACTGACCCTGGGGCCAGGCAGGAAACACTCTATTGCCTGGGGCTCAGAAGGCAGCATCACCCATGGTTCCTGTCATTGCTCATGCATTTTGCCTTTCAACAATTATTGTGCACCTACTGTGTGCAGGCCCTGTCTGGACACTGGGGATGCGCAGTGGATGCACTGGGCTCTGCCTTTGAGGGCTGCAGTTTAATGGGCGACAGGTAATTATAAGGAAGAAGGTGAGTGCAGAGTGGGAGGCTTGGAGGCAGTGGGGCTTGGGGTGGGAGAGCTCACATCCAGCCTCTGAGCCAAGGCCAGGAGGCTTCCCAGAGGAGGAGACAGAGCAGGGTATTGTGGTGGGGGGTGTCCTTTTTGGGGCTGGGAGCTGCACTTTACAGTTTGAGGGGATGGGCAGAGGAGGCTGGGCTTCGTTCTGGAGGTGGGGACATGGTAAGGTGAGGTTTAGAAAGCACACCTGAGCCACAGTGTGTAGGATGCTGGAAATGGTGGAGATGGGCCTGCAAAGAGAGTGCTGGGAAGTGATGACCCAGGAGCAGCAGCCAGGCACCTAACAATGGGTCAGCACCATGGGCGTGGAGACGAGGGCCGGGATTGATCAATACCCGAGAAGTACAATGTACAGGACTTGGGTTCCATTTGGATGGAGTGGGTGAGGGAGAGGGAGGAGTCAGAAATGGCTTCCAGTTTCCAGCTTGGGCCTGGGGATTAGAGATGTCCCCACTGAGAGTAGGGCACAAGTGAGGAAATGGTTTGGAGAGAAAGATGATAAGTTACATCATGGATGTGCTGAGTCTGAGTTGCCTATGGGACTTGGAATGGGGGGTGGAAAAAGGTGTGTGATCTTGAGCAAGATATTCAACTCTTCTGGGCCTTGGTCTTCTCATTTGTAAAATGATGATAAGAATATTACTTCCCATTTGTGTTGCTGTGAATATTAAGTGCGCTACCACATGTAAAATGTTGAGAATCGTTTCTAGCTCAGAGTAAGTGCTCAATAAACACAGTTATGCCTTTTATATGGTCTGGAGCTCAGAAGTGGAAGACAGGGTTTTGTGAAGTCATGGCTTTGTGGATGTAGCTAGAGTGTGGAGTAATGACAGGAGGGTCGGGGGCACGGCACAAGGTAGGTGGTCAAGAGACACTGGACACAACCCAAATGTCCATCCACAGGGGAACAGATACATACACTGCTGTGCAATTGCACATAGTAGAATCCTCTACAATAGCAAAAATTAAGGCACAACAGACACCTGCAACAACACAGAAAAATTCTGGAGGCATAAAAAGTAATACAGTAGCTGGGCGTGGTGGTTCACACCTGTAATCCCAGCACTTTGGGAGGCCAAGGTGGGTGGATCACGAGGTCAAGAGATCGAGACCATCCTGGCCAACATGGTGAAACCCTGTCTCTACTAAAAATACAATAATTAGCTGGGTGTTATGGCACACAACTGTAGTCCCAGCTATTCGGGAGGTTGAGGCGGGAGAACTGCTTGAACCTGGGAGGCGGAGGTTGCAGTGAGCCAAGATCGCATCACTGCATTCCAGCCTGGTGACAGAGCAAGACTCGGTCATAAAAAAAAAAAAAAAAAGCCTGGTGTAGTTGGGCACCTGTAATCCCAGCTGCTCAAAAGACTGAGGCAGGAGAGAATCCCTTGAACCTGGGAGGCGGAGGTTGCAATGAATGGAGATTGTGCCACTGCACTCCAGCCTGGGTGACAGAGTGAGACTGTTTCTCAAAAAAAAAAAAAGTAATACAGTAGACTATATACAGTGTGACACAGTCTTGTAGCTGAAAAATAAGCAAAAATACATTCTTTGCTATATATATGTATGTAAGAAAACTATTTTAGAAAAAGAAATAATTCCTACAGGCAGATGGGAAGAACACAGGAGTAGTACAAGCTATTAATAATTTCCTAGTTTTGGAGTTGGACATTTGTGGGTTTATTATATGATTGTGCTTGTTAACATAAAAATGTGATACATATTGTTTGTATGAGATATATATATATATACACACACACACGCACACATACATGTAGATGATTGCTGACAAGGAGTTTCTAAAGATAATATATATATTTTTAGGTAAAATAGAATAACATTCTGCTTCTGGTCTTCATAATAAAAGAGAAATCAGGACTAAGAAATCAAGTGTTTATTATATAGAGTTTTAATTTTTATTCTTTTATTTATTGATTTATCTTCTTTAGGCATGTGCAGAGATGAACTCACTAATTGTTCAAAATAAACAATTTGAATTCAAAGCAAAGTATATTTTTGGAATATCAATTATCACTTATTGCAGATAAATGATAATGTAAAACACCAACTTTGGAATTTATTTGTTTTACTTCTGTGACTCTCAGCCTTCTTTTTAAAATATAGTGTATGTTTTAGGTAAGTCCAGACAGCAGCCAGCACTACATTTGGTTTAAAATCCAGCTTTATAATGACTACATCTTTCAACCAGCCAAAGGCTAGTTACCTTGTGTCCGCCATCGTGCATATGCTCTCAACTGTTGACTGAGAAAACATGCCTGCAAGCACTTCCCTGCCTGAGATTATATTAAAAATCCATACCTGGGCTAGCAGCATGAGTTCAAGTTGATTATTGTTCTAGATCTGTGACTTCCCATTCATCCTCCTAAAGATATAAATGATTGCTTTCCAATAGACCACATAATTAGGAATGATTATGAAGGCAAGGTTTAGTAACAATAATATACATAGCACTCTAATGGGATTGAATTGGAACACCCACATTAAACTCTCTTAAAATATGTGGAGCAGAACACATGAGAGAAAGCAAAAGAACAAGCGCACACAGCAGAGCTGCGAGTTGCATACTCTGTGCATGCTAATACCATCGCAACAACATCACTAAGGCTTCTGGGTGACGTTTGCCGCATCATATTGTGACGTGCATTTGTTTTTATATTTTACCCTAAAAGGCAAAATAACTCTCCATGTGATGACAGAGGGAGCACACACAAAAAAAACCCTCTCAGAAATATTAAAATGGTTACAGGTAATTCAAATGGTATACTGTTTTAAAAGGTACTTGTCTAATACTTTAAGTTGGAAAAGCATCTTGGAAGTCATTAGATCCATATTTACATTACTTGAATTGTGACCCTAGCTTGACATTTCCATGGTGGGAGACATATTTTATTTAGGAGGCAGAAGTCTATTTAGTTTTTGAGAGCTTAATCGATAGATGGTTCAGGTTTTCTACTGAACCAAAATCTAAATGCCTACCCATTGGTTTTGGTAGCCAACGTCAATATCCAACTGCTCTTTCACACAACATGGCTTCAAAGGCTATGTAACTAACATCATGTCACTGCACCTATGTCTTTTTAAAGCCAAGTACCTCTAGTGCCCCTCATTATAGCTCATATTTCAAGGTATCTTTCAGCAACAATGAATTGCATTAATCAAACTCACTTTTTTTGTGTGTGCTTCACTTTATAGCTCTTCACAAATAACACATTTTTCACAAATTGAAGGTTTGTGGCAATCTTGCATCAAGCAAGTCTATTCATTCTATTTTTCCAACAACATGTGCTCACCTGGTGTCTCTATTTGACATTTTAGTAATTATCACAACATTTCACATTTTTAAATTATTATTATTATTTTAAATATTTTAACTTTTATTTTAGGTTCATGGGAACATGTGCAGGTTTGTTCTTTAGGTAAATTCGTGACTCAGGGGTTTGATGTACAGATTATTTTGTCACCTGAATAGTAAGCATAGTACCCAACAATTTTTTTCCCCTGAACCTCACCCATCTCTCATCCTCCTCCCTCAAGCACACCCCAGTGTCTATTGTGCTGCTCTTTCTGTCAATGTGTTCTTATTATTTAGCTCCCATTGATAAGTGAAAATAGGGAGTATTGGGTTTTCTGATCCTGTGTTACTTTGCTAAGGATAATGGCCTCCAAGCTCCATCCATGTTGCTGCAAAGGACAGATCTCATTCTTTTTTATGGCTGCATAGTAATTCATGATGTATATATACCGTACTTTCTTTTTCCAGTCTACCACTGATGGGAATTTAAGTTGATTCCTGGGTATCTATTACCTAAATTACATATAAAAGCAGAAAAGAAAAATGACAAGTAGAACATGAAAGTTAAACAGTATCTTTTCAGGTTCAATGACATAAATATTCTTATTATCTAAAGGTATACAGTCTAATGTTTTATTTCCTATAGTGCTTTTATAGCAAAACAGTTTTCAGAATTAGATAAACCAGATTGAGGCCCCAGTCTTACTACCTATTAGCTAGGTAAACTTGAGCTTTTGGATTTTCAGATTCAGATCTCGCAGGCAAATAAGATTTATTTGATATTACTTGAGGATGACCATGTCTATCTTGCAGATTATTATGGTAATGAGTTTATTTATGTGGATTGTTTTAGGATATTTTAAAACTATGTACAGACCTAAAAAAAATCCTCATAATCTTTGCAGAACTGGGGAGGCATACAGACATAATACAACTGTAGGAGTTACTGTTTCTCATGCTTTTGTTTTCTAACTGCTCTGGCCACTGTTTTAGAAGGAAGGGTGAATATATGTAAATATTCCTGAAAAAATAAAGTTTTAGAATATTAAATTATTACATATTTCATTCAGAATTTTTTGAAAGGTAAAACCAACGATTGAACGTAGTTCATGGGATGATCTGGTCCATATTCATCTACCATGATTTAACAAATTTTTTTCTCATCTATTGATGAGGAAAAAATTAAGGGGAAATGTAGAAATGTAAGGTAAATGATCTGCAAAGAAATAAACACAGGAGGTATGTGGGAATGTAACTGTGTAGGTCCGCAGGCAAACTAGGTGAAGGAGGAAGGTGAGGAAGAAAGGCATTTAAGACTTACTCTTTCTGTTTTCTTCTCAATTTTAAAGCCTGATGGAATATAATTTTCTCTACAGTAAACGTTGAATGAAAATCAGTTTTGTGTGTGTTAATAATGACTTCACCAAGAGCATTTGAAGCTCTATCATATTTTGATGCTCAAAATAAAACATTGTTTTTATAGCTTAATAGTCTCATACAGTCAATTATTGCCTCCCCTCCAGACTGACACTTTGAACATTATTATTAACACTGCTGTCCTTAAACCATCATCGGCCTGCAGTGCAGACAATTTATTGATAGCTAATAAAACAGTGTTCAGATGCTGCCTGAGGGCAGGATTCAGAATTGTCATACCAATGCATAACCACATTTGATTTTTTGGAACAAGTTCCATTACTTAAAAATCATGGTTTCATTTTCTTATTTTTATATCTAGATTTTAACATTATATGCATGCCTATATAAGCATTAAATATGTTATTCAGTTATGTGTGAGTGTAACTCAAATTTCTTGTAATGTGTATGTACAGTTTAATATAAGACAGATTATTGATTAGGAAATAGTTAACAATTAATAATAGACATTGGCCAACCTCAATTACTAAACCAGAAAGAAAGTTTATTTATTTATTTTATTATTTATTTTTTTATTATACTTTAAGTTTTAGAGTACATGTGCACCATGTGCAGTTTATTTAAATGTATTGACTGTTTTTTAGTCACTACACAAATCATCTAAAAGAAAATACCACAGATGAAACCTGCAGATCCACTAACTGGTTATCAGTTTATCAAGACTGATCGTGTCCACTCCCTTCAGAAATCACATGGATTTGTGCATTATGCAGATCTTTTTTGGTCTTCCCCATCTTTTCCCATCCTGAACTAGAAGTAGAAGCCTATTGCATTTTTATCTGGTACTTTCTTTTGCATTTAGTAGAAATACATACACATACTACCCTAGGCTACTCCGCAGTACATTAAAATTTCCTTTTGCTTTCCAGTAATTTCAAATATCTCAACTAAATTTCTCAGTTGAAAAATCAAAGTTTTAATTCTTATCCATCTTTCAACATAAAAACTTTTAATATTGATTATAATGTGTTGCCTGCACTTTTTTTGTTTTGTTTTGTTTTGAGACGGAGTTTCACTGTGTTGCCCAGGCTGGAATGCAGTGGCTAGATCTCAGCTCATTGAAATGTCCCGAGTTTAAGCAACTCTCCTGCCTTAGCCTCCTCAGTAGCTGGGATTACAGGCAAGCACCACCATGCCTTGCTAATTTTTGTATTTTTATTAGAGATGGGGTTTCACCATGTTGGCCAGGCTGGTCTCGAACTCCTGACCTCAGGTGATCCTCCTGCCTCGGGCTTCCAAAGTGCTGGGGTTACAGGTGTGAGCCACCCTGTCTGGCCCAGCAGCCTTAATAGATACATAAATCTTACTCTATTAATTGAACTAAGAACATCTTTATAATTTTCCAAATATCATTTATAATTATTAAATATTAAAACATATTTATTCTGCTTACCAAACTTTGCATCTCCTCAGAATGCCTAAATATTTTGCCATATGAAGGTTCCAGTGGAAGTTTCAGATGATACATTTTGATGGCAAATGGTGAATTTTCCTATTGAAAAATATGTTGATTACAAGAAATAAGAGAGACGGTAGATTTTCAAAACCTTTTCAAACTATTTCAGATGAATATTCAGAATTATTTTACTTATAGATTGCACTCTTCTAAGGCACTTACATATTCTGACAACTACGTGTTTTTGAAGCAAATTTTGACTGAATTAATAAATGACAGCACAGATCAAAATTTAAAAACTTACAAAATTCTCAATAGATTTCACAATTGTGCAAAGTCCCATGCTTTCTTTTAATATTGTATACTTATTATACTTTTAAAGGGTACTTTTTAACAGTTGATTTATTATCAAATAAACTTTCTATAATTTGACAGAACAACATAAACTCTTGTTTTTCTCCTTTCTACCTAGAACATACATATGATAGTTGAGAAAGACACATATTCTGATCATGAAGAAATAAACACAAGTTAAATATGACTAAGCAGAAAGATGGAAGGACCAGGAACGGTGATGCTAACTTGGAACCACGATGCAGGCTCTAAACTCCTCTAAAATCATCCTCCCTTGTGAGAAAAATACATAAGTCACTCTTAAAATAAATAGAAACCTGAACACACTTCTTAGCTGGTTTAAGTATTTTAAAAACATTGATGAATTAAACACAGAAATATGGGGAAATCTCATTACTTACCTTAAATTTTGAAATTTTCTTTACAGATCATGAGTTACTTAATGCTCTTTCACTCCTGAGTTTACATTGTAAATTAAAGTTATGTCAGCTTTAAAAAATAACCAATTAAAAATAATTATCTAAATTTATACTTTAATTTTAACTAATAGTATGATCTCTTATTATTTACCTCTGATAAAGTCCAAATGTTTGTAGGCCTATAGCTCTGGTTATATACAATGAAATATCTTTCTCATGAGTGTAGAATATCTAGATTATATTTAATGCATTTACTTTTTGAGGAAAAGGAAACCCTTAATAAAATAGCTTCAAATATTTGGTTTTAAAAAATGAGAAAACAAACACATTACAGGACTTTTGGATTTATCACCAACATGTGAAGGGCTCAGAAGTTGTCACTCCTGACCTTACAATTATAATAATAATAAAAGCTATACAAATTGAAAATCAATGACATTTCCACAGTGGGAGACATATTTTATTTAGGAGGCAGCAGTCTATTTAGTTTTTGAGAGCTTAATCAATAGATAGTTCAGGTTTTCTAGTGAACCAAAATCTAAATGCCTACCCATTGGTTTTGGTAGCCAACGTCAATATCCAACTGCTCTTTCACACAACATGGCTTCAAAGGCTATGTAACTAACATCATGTCACTGCACCTATGTCTTTTTAAAGCCAAGTACTTCTAGTGCCCCTCATTCTAGCTCATATTTCAAGGTTTTCTGTTCCTGCATTAGTTTGCTGAGGATAATGGCTTTCAGCTCCATCCATGTCCCTGCAAAGGACTTGATCTCATTTCCTTTTATGGCTGCATAGTATTCCATGTTGTATATGTACCACATTTTATTTACCCAGTCTATCATTGATGGGCATTTGGGTTGATTTCCTGTATTAGCTATTGTGAATAGTGCTGTAATGAACATACACATGCATGTATCTTTATAATAAAATGATTTATATTCCTTTGGGTACATACCTAGTAATGGGATTGCTGGGTCAAATGATATTTCTGGCTCTAGGACTTCGAGGAATTGCCACAGTCTTCCACAATGGTTGAACTAATTTACATTCCTACCAACAGTGTAAAAGCATTCCTATTTCTCTGCAGCCTCAACAGTATCAGTTGTTTCTTGACTTTTTAATAATCACCATTCTGACTAGTGTGAGATGGTGTCTCATTGTGGTTTTGATTTGCATTTCTCTAATGATTAGTGATGTTGAAATTTTTTTTTGCATGTTTGTTGGCCACATAAATGTCTTCTTTTGAGAAGTGCCTGTTCATGTCCTTTGCCCACTTTTTAATAGGATTGTCTGGTTTTTTCTTGTAAATTTGTTTAAGTTCCCTGTAAATTCTGGACATTAGACCTTTGTCGGATGGATAAATAGCAAATTTTTCTCCCATTCTGTAGGTTGTCTGTTCACTGTGATGATAGTTTCTTTTGCTGAGCAGAAGCTCTTTAGTTTAATTAGACCCCATTTGTTAATTTCTGCTTTTGTTGCTATTGTTTTTGGCATTTTTGTCATGAAATCTTTGCCTATGCCTATGTCCTGAATGGTATTGCCTAGATTTTCTTCTAGGGTTTTTATAGTTTTGGATTTTACACTTAAGTCTTTAACCTATCTTGAGCTAATTTTTGTATAAGGTGTAAGGAAGGGGGTCCAGTTTCAATTTTCTGCATATGGCTAAAGTTCTTCCATAGTTCTTCCAGCACCATTAATTAAATAGAAAATCCTTTCCCCATTACTTGTGTTTGTCAGGTTTGTTGAAGATCAGATGGTTGTAGCTGTGTGGTCTTATTTCTGAGTTCTCAATTCTGTTCTATTGGTCTATGAGTCTGTTTTTGCACCACCACTATGCTGTTTTGTTTACAATGCTGGTTTGGTAGCCTTGTAGTGTAGTTTGAAGTAAGGTAGCATGATCCCCCCAGCTTTGCTATTTTTGCTTAATATTGTCTTGGCTCTACAGACTCTTTTTTGTCCATATGAATTTTAAAACAGATTATTCTAATTCTGTGAAAAATGTCAATGTTAGTATAAGGGGAATAGCATTGAATCTGTAAATTACTTTGGGTAGTATGGCCATTTTAATCATATTGGTTCTTTCTATCACTTCCCTTCTTAGCTGTATTCCTAGGTATTTTATTCTCTGTAACAATTGTGGAATTGGAGTTCTTTCATGATTTGGCTCTCTGCTTGTCTGTTGTTAGTGTGTAGGAATCCTTGTGATTTTCGCACATTGATTTTTTATCCTGAGATTTTGCTGACAATGGGGTTGAGACAATGGGGTTTTCTAGATAAAGGATCATGTCATCTGCAGAGACAATTTGGCTTCCTCTCTTCCTATTTGAATATCATTTGTTTCTTTCTCTTGCTTGATTGACCTGGCCAGACCTTCCAATAATATGTTGAATAGGAGTGGTGAGAAAGGGCATCCTTGTCCTGTGCCTGTTTTCAATGAAAATGCTCACAGCTTTTTCCCATTCAGTATGATATGGGTTGTTGGTTTGTCATAAATGGCTCTTAATATTTTGAGGTATGGTCCTTCAATACCTAGTTTACTGAGAATTTTTAAAATGAAGGGATGTTGAATTTTAACATGAAGTGTTGTTGAAAGGCCTTTTCTGCATCTATTGAGATAATTATGAGGTTTTTATCTTTAGTTCTGTTTATGTAATGGATTACATTTATTGATTTGCGTATGTTGAACCAGGCTTGTATCCCGGGGATGAAGCCAACTTGATTGTGGTGGATAAGCTTTTGGATGTGCTGCTGGATTTGGCTTGCCAGTATTTTCTTGAGGATTTTTGCATCGATGTTCATCAGGGATATTGGCCTGAAGTTTTCTTGTTTTGTTGTATCTCTCCCAGGCTTTGGTATCAGGATGATGCTGGCCTCATAACATGAATTAGGGAGGAGTCTCTCCTCTTCAATCATTTGGAATAGTTTCAGAAGAAATAGCACTGACTCCTCTTTGTACATCTGGTAGAATTCCACCATAATTCCATCTGGGCCTGGTCTTTCATTGGTTGGTAGGCTATATATTACTGCCTTAATTTCAGAACTTGTTATTGGTCTATTCAGGGATTCAACTTCTTCCTGGTTCAATCTTGGGAGGGTTTATGTGTCCAGGAATTTATCCATTTCTTCTAGATTTTCTAATTTATTTGCATAGAGGTGTTTATAGTATTCTCTGATGGTTGTTTGTATTTCTGTAAACTCAGTGTTGATATCCCCTTTATCATTTTTTATTGTGTCTATTTGATCTTCTCTCTTTTCTTATTAGTCTAGCTAAAGGTCTATTTTGTTAATTTTTTTCAAAAAAACAGTTACTGGATTTGTTGATTTTTTGAAGGGTTTTTCCCGTCTCTATCTCCTTTAGTTTTGCTCTGATCTTACTTATTTCTTGCCTTCTGCTAGCTTTGGGGTTTGTTTGTTCTTGGTTCTCTAGTTCTTTAAACTGTGATGTTAGGATGTTGATTTGAGATATTTCTGATGTGGATATTTAGTGCTATACATTTCCCTCAATGCTGTTTTAGCTGTATCCCAGAGATTCTGGGACATTGTCTCTTTCTTCTCATTAGTTTCAAATAACTTCTTGACTTCTGCCTTAATTTCATTTTTTACCCAGTAGTCATTCAGAAGCAGGATGTTACATTTCTATGTAGTTGTGCGGTTTTGAGTGAGTTTCTTAATTTTGAGTTCTAATTTGATTGTACTGTGGTCTGAGAGACTATCAAGATTTTAGTTATTTCGCATTTGCAGAGGAGTGTTTTACTTCCAATTGTGTGATCGATTTTAGAGTAAGTGCCATGTAGCTCCAAGATGAATGTATATTCTGTTGTTTTTGAATGGAGAGTTCTGTAGATATTTATCAGGTCCACTTGATCTAGAGCTGAGTTTGAGTCCTGAATATCCTTGTTAACTTTCTGTCTTGATAATTTGTCTAATATTGACAGTGGGGTGTTAAAGTCTCCCACTATTATTATGTGAGAGTCTAAATCTCTTTGTAGGTCTCTAGGAACTTGTTTTATGAATCTGGGTCCTCTAGAATTGGGTGCATGTGTATTTAGGATAGTTACCTCTTCTTGATGAACTGAATACTTAACAATTATGTAATTCCCTTGTCTTTTTTATCTTTGTTGATTTAAAGCCTGTTTTCTCAAACACTAGAATTGCAACCCCTCCTTTTCCTGTTTCCTGTTTGCTTGGTAAATTTTCCTCTATCTCTGTATTTTGAGGCTATGTGTGTCTTTGCATATGAGATGGTTCACTTGAATACAGCACACTGGTGGGTCTTGACTATCCAGTTTGCCAGTCTATGTCTTTTAATTGGGACATTCAGTCCATTTACATTTAAGGTTAATATTGTTATGTGTGAATTTGGTCCTGTCATTATGATGCTATCTGGTTATTTTGCAGACTTGTTAATGTTGTTGCTTCATAGTATTATTGGTCTGTGTAGTTTACTGTGTTTTTGTAGTGGCCGGTAATGGTTTTTCCTTTCCATATTCAGTGCTTCCTTTAGGAGCTCTTGCAAGGCAGGCTAGGTTGTGATGAATTCCCTCAGTATTTGCTGGTCTGAGAAGGATTTTATTTCTCCTTTGCTCATGAAGCTTAGTTTGGCCAGATATGAAATTCTGAGCTGAAAATTATTTTCTTTAAGAGTGTTGAATATTAGCCCCCAGTTTCTTCCGGCTTATAGGTTTTCTGCTGAGGAGTCCACTGTTATTCTGATGGACTTCCCTTTCTAGGTGACGTGGCCCTTAACAATTTTCCTTCATTTTGACCTTGGAGATACTGACGATTATGTGTTTTGGGTTGATCTTCTCATGGATCTTTCTGATGTCCTCTGAATTTCCTGAATATGAATGTTGGCCTGTCTTGCTGGGTTGGGGAAATTCTCCTGAATGATTTCCTGAAGTATGTTTTCCAACTTGGTTTCATTCTCCCCATTTCTTTCAGGTACCCCAATCAGTTGTAGGTTTGGTCTTTTTACATAATTCCATAGTTCTCTGATTATTTTTCATTCCTTTTCAGTTTTTTCTCTAATCTTATCTGCCTTTCTTATTTCAGCAAGATAGTCTTTGAGCTCTGAGATTCTTTCCTCTGCTTGGTCTATTCAGTTATTTATGTTTGTGGTTGCATTGTGAAGTTCTCGTGTTGTGCTTTTCAGGTCCATCAGGTCATTTATGTTCCTCTATAAACTGGTTATTCTGGTTTACAGTTCCTATAATGTTTTCATAGTTATTAGCTTCTTTGAATTGTTTTAGAATATACTTTAGCTCAGCAAAATTTGTTATTACCCACCTTCTGAAGAATACTTCTGTCAGTTCATCCATCTCAAGCCTCCACCCAGTTCTGTGCCCTTGATGGAGAGGTGTTGCAATCATTTGGAGGAGAAGAGGCACTCTGGCTTTTTGAGTTTTCAGCATTTTTGCATTGATTCTTTCTCATCTTCATGAGCTTATTTATCTTCGATCTTTGAGGCTGCTGATCTTTGGAAGGGGTTTTTGTGGGGTCATCTTTGTGGATGTTTTTGTTGTTGTTGTTTTCTGTTTGTTTTTCTTTCAACAGTCAGACCCCTCTTCCTTAGGGCTGCCGCAGTTTGCTGGGGGTCCACTCCAGACCCTATTCACTTGGTCCCTCCCCTACCTGGAGGTGTCACCAGTGGAGGCTGCAGAACAGCAAGGATGGCTGCCTGCTCCTTCCTCTGTGAGCTCCATCCCAGAGGGGCACTGATGTGATGCCATCAGGAACACTCCTGTATAAGGTGCCTGGAGACCCCTGTTGGTGGTCTCAATCAGTTAGGGAGTATGTACAGGATCAGGGACCACTTAACAAAGCACTCTGGCTGCCCCTTGGCAGAGAGAGTGCACTGCGGTGGAGGGAATCTCCCTTGTCCAGAATGTCCAGACCCTTCAGAGCCAGCAGGCAAGAAAGACTAAGTCTGCTGAACCACAGAGACTGTGGCTGCCCCTCCCCACAGGAGTTCTGCCCAGGAAGATCACAGTTCTGTCCATAAACCTCTGGCTGGAGTTGGCGAAATTCCCACAAGGGGGCCCCACCCAGTGAGTAGGGATGGATCCAGGTTCCGCCTAAAAAAGCAGTCTGGCCATGATCTGCCACAGCTGCTGTGCTCCCCGTCTAAACCTCCCTGTCTCCCCAGCACCACCAGGGTAAAACAGCCAACTGAAGCCACAGTGATAGCAACCACCCCTTCCCCTGGGAACTCAGTCATCTTAGACAGTCTCCAGTCTGCTGTCACTGGCCACAGCCTGAGCGGTGATGAGAGTCTGCACAATTCTGTGCTTGGCACCCAAGGCCCTGGTGGTGTGGGCTCACAAGGGGATCTCTTGATCTGTGAGTTGCACAGATCCATGGAAAAAGCATGGTTCCTCAGGAAAGGTAGCACAATCACTCACTGACTCCCTTGACTGGGGGTGGGAGTGCCCCTTGCCCCATGCAGCTCCCAAGTGAGGCACTGCTCCACCCTGCTTTTCCTTGCTCCCTGTGGGTCACGCCAATCACCTTGTCAGTCCCAGCGAGAGAATCTGGATACCTCAGATGAAGGTGCAGAATTCACTCGCCATTTTTGTTCTTCTAGATGGGAGTCACAGACCACAGCTGCTTCTAATTGGCCATCTTGGCACCTCCTCATTTAACCTCCTTTTCTCATCTAAAGGGGATAAAGGATGAAACTGTCCCAAAGAAAAGTTTATAAACCAATTAAGGGAGAAAATAAAATTCAACTAGGCTTGCAGAATAATCAGTGGCAATCATGAAATCCACTTCCCAATTTGGCCTACTTCCTTGTAGCTAGTTACTGCTTACTCCCCCAAGATAGTGTAGCCCTTGTCACAAGACTGTGTTCCTTTTCTTTTCTATAGATAAGATCTAAGGCACATGAGATGATATGCTTTCTGTTTGAGTTTCTCCTTTATGTTACGCATACTGATAAAACTGTTGATGCCAGTTGATCTGAAGGTCCCAGCAAGGAGCCGACTCACGGAAGAATGCAGTTTTCACATCGTGATGATTTAATCTTCCTTGACCTGACCAATTGACAACCCCAATTCTCCAGACCCTCACCCGCCACAATCCCCTTAAAAACCCTGGCCCAGAACCCCTCAAGCAGACAGATTTGAAGCTTGAGGATTCCTTCATCTCTTTGCCCAATGGCATTGTGATTATTAAACTCTTTTTCTGCTGCAAATTATGATGTCTCAGTGTATTGGTCTATTGCTGCTCAGTGGGCATATGAATCTGGCAGTCCTGTAATAGAGACAAAAGATAAACTACTGGCAAAACACTCGTAAAAGTCATAACCTAAGACATAGGCCCACTGAAAGGCGGATATTCAATCAGAGCACTACAGAACATATTTCTCTGCTCATACCATAAAATTTAAACCAACATGACTCCAATATAAGGAGACAGACAAAAGAGCTACAAGAAACAGACACTGTTTGAAGATGAGTACTTAAGGAAACCCAAAGTTAAGGGAGGAGACAAAAACAAGGACACTAGAGGAATTTGAAACCTTCAGAAACTTGAGCTATAACAAATATTAAATGCAGTTCAACTCCAAGACAGATTAACATATATCCTCAATTAACTTTATCTCAGTATCAATTTATCTCAGCATCAATTTATCTCAGTATCTATTATGGATACCACATGTCTGGCTCTCAACAATGGCAACAAAATTACAAAACATGGTAAAAGGCAAGAAAAAAATTAACAATCTGAAGAGACAGGATGATCATCAGAACAAGACTCAGTGATGATGATGCATATTTTGGAAATAGCAATCAAGAAATTTTACATAACTATGATTAAGATGTTAAGGACACTAGTGGAAAATGTAGAAAATATTCAATAAAAGATGATTAGTATAAGCAGACAGATGAAAATTCTAACAAAGAACCAAAAGAAAAGGTTAGAAATTAAAATAACTCCAATAGATTTTTTTAAAATGCTTTCAATGGTTTCATTAGTAGACCAGACATGTTTGGGGAAAGAATTGGTGAAACTAAAGATAGGTCAAAAATACATTTTAAAACAAAGTGCCAAGAAAAAATAAATGGAAAAAAAAAGTGAAGGACATCAAAGACCCGCTGGGCAGTTTCTAAAGTTGTACAAAATGGGAAGCTGGAATAGCAGAAAGATGAGAAAGAGAGAAATGAGGAGAATCTATCTAAATGAGTAATGGTCAAGAAATTTTAAAGCATAATAACATGAAACAAACGACTGGTCCAGGTAGCTCAGAGAATACAATTCATGACAAACAACAAAAATACAGCACCAGACGTAACATTTCCTACATGTAGAATAAAAGAAAATAAAATAAATCAATAAATAGACACAGAGAAAATCTTGACAGAATCTGGAATGAAAACTACATTCCTTGTAGAGAAAAAAAGACCAAGGATTTCAGCCCACTTCCAGTAAGAAACCAGGCAAGAAAGGAGAGAGTTGCGGGAAATGTTTAAAGTGTTAAAGGAATAAATGCACCAACTTAGAATTCTACATCTAGCAAAATTATACTTCAAAAGCAGAGGGGAAATCAGAATTTACTAGACAATAAAACACTAATGGAATATATTGCCAGAAAACTTTCCTGCAACTGTGTTAAAAGAGGTTATTCATGGAGGAGAAGAATGATATAGATCAGAAACCTGTATTTACAAAAAGAAAGCAAGTATGTTGAAAAAGGAAAAAAATGTTATATTTTTCTTATTGTAAATCTATTTAAACTACATGTTTGTTGAAAGTAATATTAGTAAATGTTTTGGGCAATTACAGCATGTGGGTAAGTGAAATGCCTGATGGTTATGATACAAAAGATATGAAGGATGAACTGGGACTATTCTATTAACATGTCCAGAATTGGTGGGTTCTTGGTCTCACTGACTTCAAACATGAAGCTGCAGACCCTAGTGGTGAGTGTTACAGTTCTTAAAGATGGTGTGTCTGGAGTTTGTTCTTTCTGATGTTCGGAAGTGTTCGGAGTTTCTTCCTTCTGGTGGGTTTGTGGTCTCGCTGGCTTCAGGAGTGAAGCTGCAGACCTTTGCGGTGAGTGTTACAGCTCTTAAGGCAGCGTGTCTGGAGTTATTCATTCCTCTCGGTGGGTTCCTGGTCTCATTGGCCTCAGGAGTGAAGCTGCAGACCTTCCCGGTGGTTGTCACAGCTCATAAAGGCAGTGTGGACCCAAAGAGTGTGCAGCAAGATTTACTGCAAACAGCGAAAACACAAACCTTCCACACCATGGAAACGGACCCAAGCCGGTTATCACTGTCCCTTCTGGCAGCCTGCTTTTACTCCCTCACCTGACCCCACCCACATCCTGCTGATTGGTCCATTTTGCAGAGAGCTGATTGGCCTGTTTTGACAGGGTGCTGATTGGTGTGTTTACAAACCTTGAGCTAGACACAGAGTGCTGATTGGCGCATATACAATCCTCCAGCTAGATACAAAAGTTCTCCGAGACCCCACCTGACCGGGGAGCCCAGCTGGCTTGCCTAGCGGATCCCGCGCTGGGGCCGCTGGGGGAGCTGCCCACCAGTCCTACGCCAGGCGCCTGCACTCCTCAGCCCTTGGGTGGTTGATGGGACCAGGCGCCGCGAAGCAGGGGGCAGTGCAGTTGGGGAGACTCCCGCCTGCCTCTGGGGAGCCCACGGGGGAAGGCGCGGGCGGGGAAAGGCTCGGGCATGGGGGGCTGCAGGTGCCGAGCCCTGCCCCACAGCGAGGCGGCTGAGGCCCGGCAAGAATTCGAGCCTAGAGCGGGTGGGCCGGCAGTGATGCGGAACTCGGCGCATACTCCGCAGCGGCTGGCTCTGGGTGCTAAGCCCGTCACTGCCCAGGGCCTGTGGCGCCAGCCTGACCGCTCTGAGTGCAGGGCCGCCCTGCGTGTGCCGCGCGCAGCCTCAGTTCCCGCCTGTGCCTCTCCCTCCACACCTCCCCGCAAGCAGAGGGAGCAGGCTCCGGCCTTGGCCAGCCCACAGACGGGCTCCCACAGTGCAGCGGTGGGGCGAAGGGCTCCTCAAGCGCGGCCAGAGTGGACGTCCAGGCCGAGGAGACACGGAGAGCGAGCAAGGGCTGCCAGCACGCTGTCACTTCTTATTAAGGTACCTGCACTATATGTCAACTGGTGGAGTGCTATTTGAAGGTGATCTTAGATTAGTAACAAATGTGTATTGGATACTCTGGGGGAACCACTAGAATAGTTGAAAAAGAAAGTATGCTTTACATGTAATGAGTGACATTAGGTTTGATAATGGATTTTTAGATATAATATTAATACGAAAAGCTCTAGCTACAAAAGAAAAAATGATGTTAGAGTTTGTTAAATTTAAAATGGAATTTTCTGCTCTGTGAAAGACTCCAGAGAGTTAAAAGACAAGCCACAAACTAGAAGAAAATATCTGTAAACCATATATCTAATAAAGTATTGGTATCTAAACATACAAATAACTCTGAAAACTGAATAATAAGAAAGCAAACAAGCCAATTACAAATGTGCATAGAATCTGAAAAGACACTTCACCCCTGCCCCCGAAATACCCATGGCAACTGGCATATAAAAATATGCTCAACAGTATTTTTTTTCTTTAGAGAAACACAAATTAAAACAATTGTGATACTACCACACATTAGTTAGAATGGCTTAAATCCATGAACCGAAGTATTACAAATTCTGGTGAAAATGTAGAGCAATAGTAGCTGTTTGCTGAAGGGAATTTTAAAAATGGTACTGCACACTGGAAGACAGATTGGCAGTTTCTTACAAATCTAAATATCGTCTCACCACGCACTTCAGTTATCATTCTTCTACGTATTTATCCCAATGATGTGACAATTTATATCACATAAAAATGTGAGTGTTTATCAGAGCTCTTTTTTATAATTATCAAAAATGGACAGCAATTTACATGGCCTTAAACCTTAAATAAGTGAATTGATATACTAGTACATCCAGAAAAAAGAAATAAATATAAATCTACAGGAATAAATACATGAATATTCAATATTTATTGCTCTGTGAAAGAAATTAGTCAGCAAATGACTCGTATTATATATTGCTAAATATATGACATGGTAAAAAAGGCAAAACAATATAGTATAAAAGATTAGTGCTTCCAGAGGTGAGGGGAGAGGAGGTAGGGTTAAATATGTGAAGCATGAAAACAAATTTTTTACTGTACTGAAACTATTTTATATGATATTGTAATGGCGGACATAACATTATGCATTTCTCAGAATCCATAAGAGTTTTTGAGCTTGAGGAGGAAACATTAATTTATATAACTTTAAAAAAAACTATCCTTTAGGAAGTAGAGGGATTGCAAGATGGAATGCAGAGTGTGACAAAATATTATAACTGTATTGAAAATATATGAAACAACCTCACTGAGATGGGTGGGGAAAAATGCGTTGAAATAAGTAACTTCAGAAATGAGAGGAGACTGTAAAATTAAAGGTGAAAGGAAGTGTATACAAGCACAGTGCTCCAGTTAATAAAGTTGTTTCTCATGGAGGTATGGCGTAACATTTCTGACATCACTGTATATGTACACTGTGAATGAACAATTAAGAAAGTGAGTGATGAATGGTGGCTGGGAACAAGTAGAGGGTTATTCTTGATATTCTCCTCAAATTTCTTTAATTAATTAGTAAATGAATTAGCAAGTCCCTAATGGCCTTTAGAGTCTGCTGAAGGAGATGAATAAATAAACAGCTGACTATTAATAGCATAATATAATATGGTGTTTAATATAAACAAAGGGCTATGTGAGTGTGGACCAAGAGACTGTTATTTTCACCTTTTATCTAAAACCTTGTAAAAGTTGGCACTTCTACCTTACCTTAGATAGTAAGCAAGAGTTAGATAAGTTGAAATGACACATTTTTCATGCAGAAAATATTACACACGAAGGCATGGAGGTTCAAAATTTCCAGGTTATAGGGAAATTGCAGGTTGCTGAAAGGAATGCAGTATGATGCAAGATATTTGATGTTGGGCAAAAATAATTTTAACTTCTATTATACAGTCTGTGGAGAATGGGCAACATTGAGGGGTAACAGAAGCCTTTGTTACCCCATCTTTGAAAAATAAATAATAATAATTATCCCATTTAGATATTAAAGATAAAATAGGTTAGTGAATTGAAAGTATGCCATATAAATTCTGGCAAATAATATGTTCAAAATAAATTGTAACTTTGATTATTAAAACATATGTATACACACACGTACATATATGTATGTGTATATGTATGTGTATGTGTGTGTGTGTATAACAGAATTAATTGTATATCATAGTTGAAGTAAAAGAATAGGAAGAAAAAATACTTTAATGGGCCTCCAAATAGGACAAGACTATATACATATAGTCTTGCATATATATATATATATATATATATATATATATACACACACACACACACACACACATATAAATAAAATGTATCAATACACACACACACATATATTCTCAGTACATGGGGATAATCAGAAAGGTGGCTACAAAAATACAACCCTCTTAGTTTTATATAACCCTTTATAAATATATAAAACTAAGAGAAGAAAGAATGCCTTCTGAAGCACTGTAAACTAACCTAAGGGGGGTAAAGTCAGAGGATTTTACTATGTTGGGACTGAATTTATTAACATAGCTATAGAAAGAGTCTGTCAATGAAAGGAGAATTAGTTGCCTATGGAAACTGAGCTACAGATGAATCTTTAAGGCATAAATCTCTTTTCCACCTAAGTGGAAGTCCAATTCCTGAGGTAGGAAGTCTGGGCAAGTGAAATTGCCAATTAAGTTGGTAAGCCTTCCTACAATAAAAATAAATGCATCTGCACATTTATATTAGCTTGATGGTGTTAAATATTCTAATCATTGAACTTTATTTTTCTGATCTAATACATACCCAGCTATCATGTGACTACATTTTGTTTTCCCATACAGGTGTGCGTTTGGGTGGAAAGTATGTACTGTTTATGCTGAAGTAAGAATTTTATTTTATATAACATAGTTCTTGTTATAAATTAATAAACTAACATTCTGATTGTTTATAGTCATTGTGTGTTGAATCGGGTCTCCAAAATGAAATACTAATCCCAATACTTGTGAATGTGACCTTATTTGGAAATAGGTTATTGCAGATGTTATTTTGAAACAGGGTCATATTGAAATGGGATGGGCCCTAATTCAATGACTGGTTTCTTTATAAAGAAAGAAAATATGGACACAGAGAGACATAAAGAAATATAGGGAAGAAGGCCATGTAATGATGGAGGCAGACAGTGGGGTGATGCATGCACAAGTCAAAGAACACCAAAAATTGCTGGCAACCAACCAGAAACTAGAAGACACACGTGGAATGGACTTTAAGTCAGAACTTTTCAGAAGGAACCAATCTTGCCAACACCTTGATTTCAGGCTTCTAGCTTACAGAGCTGTGAGACAATAAATGTTTGTTTTTTTTTTTAAGCCACCTATATTGTGATACTTTGTTATGGCAGCCCTAGAAAGCTAATACAGTAGTCAAAAGGAAATAAATTATCTCCCTGTAGCCCAAAACTTTAAAATAATTTTTTTTTCCCAGAGGCCTTTTCTTTCATTTGTTGGTTTTGGTTTCTATACAATAGATCAAACATCTTCACTAATAGTTTTCTTAGACATTATTTTTGGAAACATTTGTCAAAGGACTCATGGAAATCTATAATCTATGCTGATTGACTACTTCGATGTAAAGAATTTGATATTTTTCATAGTTACTACTGGCTGTTGCTGTGCTATTCCTAATTGTCTTGAATGTTGTGTATGTAGCATGAAATCCCAATTTTTATTGAACTAGGATATACACATATAACTCTTCTATGGTTGTCTTCAAGCTGGAGCCTATTTGTTAGCACTGCAGGGCATCGTGTGTGTGTGTGTGTGTGTGTGTGTGTGTGTGTGTGTGTTGTAGAAGCTACTATATGAGAAATGTGGACATACGCCTTTAGTTCAATTCTTTAGCTGCTAACTAATTTAGAGTTCTTACTGTTGTTTTAGTCAGGAAATAATGAAATATATCGTCAATAAAAAGTTAAAGGAACAAGGTGAATCAGTCCAATGGGAGAATCTAAATCTTCCCAGGGATCTGTCCAAATCCATAAAAAGAGTACCAGTTGATAGGTAACAGCAGGGGATTAAAGACTGAAGCAGTTTGCTGCAGGCTATGAATGACCTGATCCCTTAATCCATCTGTCTTTTTATATAAGAATGTTATGCTAATTAGCTGAGTAAATTGTTTCCTGATGATATTAATTTAGTGCCTTTTTGTTATTCTAGGCTTTGACTTTCACTGTGACAAAAATATACGAAGGGGCATTTTCAATTTAGATGGTTCCTATCCTGATAAATTCCAACACAGCAATGTTGTGGGGGAAACATGTATAAATAGCAAACTTAATCAATCCCGAGGATAGACATAGATGACTTTAGCTTCCTATATAATCGTTCCCTTTAGCTTCTTAAAGCATTACATTAACACACTTGAAATGTTAAAACATAATTCAAGGAGAATTTTAGGAAATGCAATTTTCATTGCCCCATTTTCTTTGGAGAAAATCAAGACTTGAATTCATTAACATGGAGGAAGTAATGGAACAGATAGTCGTGATGTGAAAACTTATTAGTAAACAAGAGCTGCATCTGAAAAAATATTGTCATTAAAAGCTATGTAGTAGTTAATTGAGTTTGATATGAAATTTAGTGCTGGAAAGTTAATGACTAATGCAGCTATTTCACAGAGCTTGGTTACTGCAGGCTCCATAATGATCTCCTTCTGCTTTGGAGCAACAATGAAATTAACCTCTCTTTTGTCCTGCAGGTGTTGTGTTCTGATAATGCATATTCTTTACAACTTTGGGTAAATTATTTGCTTTGCATATAAATTAACTCCAAAGCTGAATCAATATTAGAATAATAAAAATGTAGAGAATATTTTTATTCCAAGGAAGCAAAGATTTATAGCAAAATATATCCAAATCCTAGATGCAATTTCAGGAGGATAGATTTAAAACTATTTATCATACTCCAAAAAGAAAAAGGAGAAAGAAAAAAGGAAAAATACATACAATTGAGAGAAAGGAGGAATGGTTTTGGAAAATACAATATTATGTTATTATTGTTACATTAGGGAGAAAATAATTGAGAATCGATACATTTGTTTTTCAGTATAAAAACAAAAAGATGGCACTTATTTAACAATTCTTAAGTGATACCTTCTGAGTTCCACTTTATTGGGTATGTATTGGTCCTAAGCTAAAATCTAATTTCAAAATATTACGTATTACAGCTGTAGTGTTGTCTCGGTCTGTTTTGTGTTGCTGTAACAGAACACCTGAGACTGGGTAATTTATAAAGAAAAAAGGTTTATTTAGCTTATGGTTCTGGTGGCTGGAAAGTCCAAGACTATGGCATTGGCATCTGTTGAGCTTCTGATGAGAGCCACATGCTATGTCACAGCAAGGCAGAGAAACAAAATGGAAATCAGGCAAAACATTGCTTAATAAAAGAGGCAACTTTCTTTAGAATG
The DNA here is from genome assembly GCF_000001405.40 of Homo sapiens. Lineage (NCBI taxonomy): Eukaryota > Metazoa > Chordata > Mammalia > Primates > Hominidae > Homo > Homo sapiens. The sequence continues at coordinate 94,628,208 of NC_000002.12, forward strand.
ACTGGCTCTTATGAGAACTAATCCATTATCATGAAAAATAACCCAGTTTCACCAGAAAGTTATTAATTTGTCTTAATGACCTAATCACCTCTTCAAAGCAAGATCTCCTAACACCTTACATGGGAAATTAAATTTCGACATGAATTTTGGAGAGAATAACCCATGTCCAAACTATAGCAAGGGTAAAGACCCCAAATTTACTTAGACATGGGGATTAATAATCATGTGTCATTGCCAATAAACGTTTTCTTTCTTTTGCACTTCCAAAGAATTTTTTCACCACCTATTTTCCTCTATGTTTTTCTTTCTCTAGTATTTCTTTCTCTAAAAATTTGTGCTTGTGTAAATAATTTGCAAATGCAACTTTTTTCTTCTTTGAAATGATAGCTAAATTCAAATTACTTTTATCTCATTCAAAATTCAGAGAAAAATTCAGAAGTGACCTATTAGATGTTTGAGAATGTGCTATACTACATCAGGTGCACAAGTTCCTGTGAATAAGAAGCAAAAAAGCTAGCACTTTCCCTTCTTCTGTTTTTAAAGAATAAGCTTATCAATGGATATTGAGGAAAAAAACTACTGGTAATATTTAAATGGTAAAATGGGTATGGTAAAATAATATTATGAGCATTTTTTCAAGTAATACATTTTGAACTTTAAGTTTTATTCTGTTAATTTTATCTGTTTATAGGAATAATCCTGTTTTGTTCACTTCAGTATATTCACTATTCCTTTCCCTTACAGTCAAGCATTGGACATGACCTTGATATTGCTGGTGATTACCCATAGGGCTCAATGTTCATCTTTTGTTTCTAAATTCCAAAAGCAAAGTTGATTCTAAAGGATGATAATAATCATTAATAATTCATAGAATACCCATCTCCAAAACAGAATCAGGAATGCTATAGACAATAATAAGCACACGTTAAACCAACTGGGCACAGTGCCCAGAAAATCAGCCAAGTACACACAATAGGCAAGAAAAGAGCTTGTATGTGTGTGAGGAGAAATAAGAAAGGGAAAGCAATGCATAAAAGACTTCCAAACAGAACAACCAGGGAGTCAACAGATTTTCAAACTTTCACAGAAAACACAAATATTTTGAAGTCATTTCTGCTGGGTCTACTAACTGTCTTACAATGTGTGATAGCCATGAACCCCAATGGAAGAAGTAGAAGCAAATTGAGTATATTCTAAAAAATTCAAAATTTGTAGGCATATTAAGTTTTAGGTTTTACAAGCTTCCAAGTGGTGAATTACAAGACCACAATATAGGTGTAGGTTTATGGGCTTTTTTATTTGTGATGATGACTTAAACCAACCTTCTTTTTTCTATATGATTTGTTGAAATTAAAGCACTGTACATGTGATTATGACAAGGAACAAGGAGTCTCATGTATATGTTTTCTTATATTATAAAACAGCACCTGAACTTTTTCATGTCAGATCTCTGCTGGCAAATTAAAGGAGGAAAATACCCCCATGAACTGAAGAAACCTATGGAAGTTAGCTTATTGAAATGCTGCCAGAGGCTTCATTTAGAGGGGTTTTTATAGGTAGTAGGTCTAAAGGATACTAGCAAACAAAAAATGCTAACAACATTTTTTTCCCAAGGGAGAAGTACCCCACCAAATTTATTCCGTGTAGGCCTGAGGGTTGGATACTAATTTACTTACTATGTATTTATTATAAAACACTACTTAGGCAGGTGTGACCCAGCTATAATTGGCAAGAAACCAGGGATGTACATTTGCTTTTGTTATTATATCTAAACTAGAAGAAAACTAAATCCTTTAATAGGAATAAAAAGTTAACACAATGATTTAATTTAATTCTACTTAGTATAGATAACATTTGGTAGAGCTTCAGGAACTTACTATATATTTTAGCCCTTAATTTGTAATGAAGGCATTGACAGTATAAATCTTGGGATAAACTAGGTAAATAAATTACTTTTTTTGAATATGAATGTTCTTTTTTATTTATCCTGGAGTCATATTCAGTGAACTGAGAAATGCATTTTGTTAAACTGACACCTAGATTTCAGGGAGAATATACTCAAATGATAAAATATTTATATCAAGAAAATAACTTTTACTCCATGACATTATATTATTTATCAGATATGAATGTCATTAAAATTCATTTTCAAACTGTGTAAAAGAGAATGATTCCTATGCCAATGTTTTCTTACAGTGTGAAATCTTATATTGATAAAAGTACAATATTTATATATGAAATTTTGAAAAGCTTTGAGCATAAAGTTCTCAGTCACATCATAACATTTTCTCTGACAGTGTGTGTGTCTTAGGGTAGGGAAAGAGAGTGGTTGAATGTCCATATCTTACTAACTAAGATGGTATGCCCACTGTCTTAACAATTTACTTCCTGTATTGACTCGACTAATTAGGTTGCCATAACTTTATTTCTTAATTGTTAATATGTTGGGGAAATTATCAATAAGTATAGAAAATGACAAAGTTATTGTTTCTGAAAAACTATGAAAAAGAGGATAGCCTTACTTATGCAGAGCCTATTAAAAAGAGAGTACTTTTTCTTCTTAAAATGCATAGCTTGACCAGCTCCATTTAACACTGTTTTTTAAAAGATGTGTTAATATCCTAATGGTATAAATGAATTCAGTCATGACTAATTGAGTCAAAGAGATTTAAAAATTATTTGAACTGTTTTATCAAATTTCTAGCTCATTGTTTAGTGCTAGATATTCACAAAACAAATAGTTAAGTTCCTAAGATTATTGTTGCAAACTGTGGGAACTGAAAGTCTTTAATTACATTACTTTGAAAGCAAAAAGTGATTTCCACGCAAAATATTTTAAAGGATTTCTACCCAATGTCAAATTTTCTCATCTATTCATTTAATAAGCATTGATTAAATATCTGTTGTGTCTTAGTATAGATAACATTTGGTAGAGCTTCAGGAACTTACTATATATTTTAGCCCTTAATTTGTAATGAAGGCATTGACGGTATAAATCTTGGGATAAACTAGGTAAATAAATTACTTTTTTTTATATAAATGACGAATAACATTCTAAACTTCAGCAAGCATATGGTTGAACACTAAATAAAGAACAAAAACCAAGGTAATTACAGTAGAGTGTTTCAGTGATATATTACCACCAAGAACAGAGAGCTATAAAAATCACTGGAAGAACATCTAACTGAATCTTTGGGGAGTGAAGAAAAGCTTTCTTTGGAAAATAACCTCTAATCTGATATCTAAAGGACCAGTAGGAGTTATCCGTAAAAAGGAGAAAGAAAATTCCAGGTAGTTGAAATGGCTTGCTGAATTGCAAGGGCACAGATTACTAAAATGTTTAGTAATACTCATGGTAATTTTGTTTATAATTTTGAAACAGATATCATGTAGTCAACACAATAGGTCAAATCAGGACCTTTGGTACACATAACCCTTTTTCTGTAAGGTGTTGATAGGTATCATTTGAATAAAATTGGCGATATTTAGTGTTTATTGGTGTTTGGGAAAAACATGTGCTTCCTAAAATTTTAGCATATTTTCCTATATGATTTCTCATTAATAAATTAGTGCACAAAGCAAATATCCAGGAGGTGTTAATAGTAAGCAGTAATTTCCAAAATTGCGTGACCAAGAAACTTTTTACTCATAGAATAACTGAAATACTTTTCTCAGGAATATACTTTGAGAAACATTGCTTAAATACATGTGGAAAAAAAGTGTTCTAAATCCAAGTTCTTTATGATGGAGATTACTGAATCCAAGTGTTCTAAATCCAAGTTCTTTATGGTGGAGATTACTGAAAAAGTATGGGAGAAAATTACACATTTTGATAGAAAATCGTAAGAGTTGAATGGTGTTTGCCCAAAAGGTTTGTCCACCCAGAATCTCACAGTCTGACCTCATTCATAATAAGCATCTTTGAAGATGTAACAAGGTAATAAAGTGTGCTCATCCTCTATTACAATAAATTCTAAATCTAATGAGTGTCCTTATAAGAGATAGAATAACAGAAAGACACAGAAAAAAAGGCGGGGAGGCATGTGAAGACAGAATCAGAGAGATTGGAAAGACAAAAACCGCTAAGAATTGCTGGCAGCATGAAATGGGTTTTTTCTGGGTCTCCAGTGGAAATCAATACTGCCAACACATTGATTTGTCTTCTGGCCTCCAGACCTGTGAGAGAATCAATTTCTGTTGTTTTAAGTCATCAAGTTTGTTGTAATTTGTTATGACAACCCTGGAAACCTAATACAACAATGTGATGCTTTAGAACCAGTTGTATTCGAACAAATTTAAGCCTTAACTCATATTCTTACCAAACAGTCCCCAATGAATTATGGATGTCCCTTGATTTCATGTCCTTGAATTATCCTCCCAACCAGACAATAGATTAGCCTTGTGAATTAGTTGAGCCATGAGAATGCAGCTAAAGAGACACTGTATAAGTTTCAGTCCTAGGCTTAAGGAAGCTTTATAGCTTTTGTTTACTCTGTCTTTTACCTTGAGCCACTGTGCAAAGATGTCTAGGTTAGCGTCCTTGTGGATGAGACACCTTATGATGAAAAAGACCAGGAGGAATGAAAGACTGGGAAGATAGAGAGGAAGACCCAGTTTCTAGTCATTCCAGCACAACATATGAATGGGGCCAGCTAGGATCCTCCAGTCCCTATGGAGCTGCCTCTAAATACAAACATATTAAAGAGTCCAGCAGAAGACACCATCTAGGGAAGAGATGAGCCACCCAGCTGAGTTCAGCCCAGATTGAAGAATCATGAGCAGGTCCATCTGTGCTACTTAGCTGTTTTAAGCTGCTATGTTTAGACTGGTTTATTATGCAGCAATAGAAAGCTGTAACCATCTAATATGATTATCAAGTATGTGTTTTTAAAACAAAGACAAAAAAGATGAACAGATATAAGATTAGGTTGTGGGCTGTAGCAAAGGTGGATTTGACCTTTTTTTCAATTAAGAATTTTGATAATCTACCATACATTTTTAAATTCTTTCTTGCATTAACTTTATCTCTGGATAAAAAATTCAAGCCACCTGTAAGTAAATAGAAACAGTAGGCATAAATACACAAAAGGAAAGTTATATTAAAATTCTGCAGAAATGTAACAAGAATAAAAAAGCTGAACTGGATTTTTAGGATGTTCTACACTCAGCTTTTATGGGAAACAGACAAATGACAATCTCATGCCAAGGATTTGTTTTAAAAGGCTGTATAACAGGTAGACCATTGACTAACACATGTTTTACCACCTTTATCTTCAGAATACTGCAGACAAATGATATTCATAATGACTCTACATGATATTGAAATGGTATCTGAATATTAACAACTAAATTCTGACCAGTTGTGATTTAAAACATTTAGCTATTTATTGATTGTTATTTTTTTAAAAAACTTGGAATGTGCATTATATGTATATTTAACTATAAAGTCACTGAACATTTAATTAACATATGTCCTGTTTTTCAATCATTACTAGGAGTAATCTTTATAGAAATACAAGTAGCAACCATTACCACAAATGAATTCTCATAAGAAACAGTTATTCAAGTCTTTTTCTCTCTGTCTTTGTCAAACGCATGTGCGCGCGCACACACACACACACACACACACACACTTTGTTTGTATGCCTGTGGATTGTGAGAGAGTGAGAATGAGCCTGTAAATACAGAATTATATCAGAATTCTTGTAGCAAATAAGCTATCAGGAAAATTGAGCCAACTTAGTATTGGTCTTGTGAAGGACATTTTCTCTTTTCTGACCTAGTCTTTTCTATTAAGTGAAAGATGTCACACAATGACCACTCATCTATTTTTGATGGATACATGAATTGTACATTACATGGAAAGAAGAGAGAAAATAATCCTAATTTTATATAATGTACAGGTTAGAAAGCCTGATACAGACTAATATAAAATTAATGCTTTGAATAAATTTGTTTATACTATTGCTCTGTTAGAGTGTTGCTACTTTTGGTTTGTTTTTCAATTGTTTTTCCAATATGTATTTAGTTTGATTTTTAATAATCTTATCTCTCTCTTTTTTCTTTTCTTCTCCTTTACCTCTTGCTCCTCTTCCTTATTCTCCTTGCCTTCCTCCTCAGTCTCCTCATCCTCATCTTCCTCCTCATCCTCTTCTTTCTTTGTTTTCATTACAAAATAAGCAATCAGAAAAGTTCATACAGATATTGTTACTTATCTTTAGGGACCTGGATCTAACTTAGTGCTGTTGCTTCTGTTTCTTCTCTTTTGTCCTCCTCTTCTTTTTCTCCTTTGTGTTCTGTTTTACTTTTTAAAAATAGATGCCACAACTCTGATTTTTAATCTGATTGCGTAAATGATCCTTAATAGTAAAATCAATTTTAATATTTCTTATAAAACAGAAGCACAGCAAAGCATTTTGCAGAATTTATCATAAAGTAAATAATAACCATTCCTAGTATGATAATGCTGCAACTATTTTTCTTTCATCCTCTGCAACATTTTTATCTGACACAGTCTCTGCTGTTTCCAAGTTCAATGTCCTGCAGCAAGCCTTGCCAGCAATACAGAATACTTTCAATTAGTAGTTCTCTACTTCTCTGGTCGCTAAGCAACTGACCTGTGGTGAAGAATACATAATGATCTGCATAGACACCTTAGAGCAATAGAAAGTATAAGCTTCACAAGTTTCATTTGCTCTCTTGTGTTGATGTTACAATAACAGGTTAAATGCATGGAAATATTTGATAGTAGTTTGCTATAATAAACTTTAATAAAGATTAAAAGAAGCCTCGGAGAAAGGTAGAAATAAACACAACATAAAATATTGTATTTGTCATTTGTTCATGTATGTCATTTTATTGTTTATAGGGAGGGCAAGCAATCAGGTTAATATTTTATTAAATGTTTATATTCTAGCTACTGTTTAAGACAGAATTCATCAAGTAGCAGAAGTGATGGAAGGGCCAAGGGGAAGAAAGATGGACAAAACCTGAAAATTGAAAGTGCAATAAAATGAAAATTACAAATGAAAACCAGTATGCCTGAGATATACATGACTGTTTAGTAGAGTGTCTTCATGTGGGTTAAAGAAGAAAAGGAAATATCAGCTGGAATCAGCAGAACAGATTTAGCACTTGACCCTTGGATACTTTTCATTCTATTTATCTGTCATATTTTTATTGGTTTGTATTCCATTGACCACTATATGCACCGACCCTCAGCAAATTCATTCAATAGAGAGGAGAGATTATATCTCCACTGTATCAGTGGAGCTGTTTAGGAACGTTTCTCCCGCTTCTTGTATGTATTTTGTCCTATTTGTACATTGTATTTTATGAGCTGCTTTAGAATAGTAGAATAACTTTCCTTTATATGGTATAGAACTTTTAATATATCTCAAAGAAATTTTTAAAAAATGATCATTTGAAATGTATGTTCTCATACTGTATGTGCAAATATCAGTAGTACAAACACTAAGGATTAATGAAAATGAAAATCCTAATATATTAAACTTAGAAAAATAGACTAAATATTTACTGAAAAGAAACAGATAATCAAAATTTCGTGATACACAATGAAAAGCCTTGAGACATTAAAGAGGACTTTCACTGTCTTTGATGATGTCATCTTTTACATATTAAGTTCTTCTAGCATGGTAACTAGAACTAAACTTTTAACTTCCTTTTAAACCACACACTGAATGCATCTGTGAAAAAGACCTGCATACTACAAGATAACTTTAATTACATATCTTCTGTGGGGTCCGTGCTTTTAGTTTAGTATAGGTTTATGCAAAGTGATACTATTGGTAATGTGTAATTTAAACACACACACAAACTAACAGGCCCTGCCGCCTATCAATGTCTGGGTGATATCAGAGAAGGCCGTGTGGGAATCTAGAACTTTCTTCTCTACCAGGTAGTTACAATGTGCCCCGTCCTTCTCCACCAGATTCCTTAGGTGTCAAAGTAAACTAAGTGAGAAGTTGGAACTTTCACTATCATCTAGTGGTAAAAAGGTCCAAGGCCTCCTGATGTTTGCCTTCCCTTCAGTGTAGGCCATAGTGGGAGCAGAAACAAGAAAAAAATCCCTCACTCTCCAAAGGTGGTTGAGCAGGGATAAATTTTTATCACCACCTAGCAATAACAAGGCACCCCCACTTTCACCATGTGTGGTGTCACAGGAGGTTTATTTCCAATAGTTAAAATACAGAACCTCATAGCATAATATCCAAATTACCCTAGATACATTGAAAATTACTCAGCATATCAAGCACCAGAAAAAAATCTCATCTTGAATGAGATAACACATGCCAACACAGTGATAACACATAAATTAGATTTATTCACAAGGATTTTAAAGCCACCACCATAAAAATGTTTTAATGAGCAATTGCGAATATTGCTGAAACAAATGAAACAATGGAAAGCTTTACAAATAAATAGAAGATGCCAAGAGACAAATAGAAATTTTGGCACCGAAAAATATAATTGAAACTTTAAAAAATACTTGATGGCTCAACAGCGTAATGGAGGAAATAGAGAAAAGAATAAGTGAACTTGAAAATAGGACATTAAAAATTTACTAATCCAAAGACCAGAGGGAATATAGACTGAAAATGAAGAAAAAAAAAAAAAAAAAAGAACAGAGCCTCAAGGACCTATAAGACTACAGCAAAAAATCTACTATTCATGTCATCAGAGTCCTAGAAGGAAAGGCAAAAGTGGGTTGGGCTAAAAATATATTTGAAAAAATAATGTCCAAAACGTTTTCGAGTTTGGCAAAAGACATACAACTACAGATTCAAGAAATGAGAAAATCTGAAACAGGACACATACAAAAAAATCAACAAAGAAACAGGTCAATTTCAGAAAACTTCAGCAGAAGAAAAAATCTTGGAAACAGTGAGGTAAAACAATGCTTCATCTCTCCAGAAGAAAAACAATTTGAATGACAATGATTTCCTGTCAGAAATAATGGTGGCCAGAAGGAAGTGATATATTTCTCAAGTACTGCAAAACAAGAACTGTCAATCCAGAATTCTGTATTAGGCAAAAATGTCCTTTAGAAATGAAGGAGAATTAAATAAATTCTCAGAAGAAAAATTAAGAATTGGTTGCAAACAGACCTGCCCTAAAGAAAAGCAAAAAGTTCTTGAAACATGAAATGAATAAGGGGCCTGAAATCATCAGAAAAATGTAAGAGTAACAGAAAGAGCAACAATATGAGTAAGTACAACAGATTTTTCTTCTTGAGTTTTCTAAATTATGTTTGACTTTTGAATCAAAAACTGTAACATCGAAATGGTTATCAATACCTAAATGAAAAATTTAAAAAATTATATAAACAAGGATGGGTAAAGAAACTTCCAATGAGATAATATTTTTACACTTCACTAGAAGTGTTAGATATTTTGATAGTGGTAGTGGTCACAAGAATTTACACGTAATAAAATGACAGATGTATGCATACACATTTTTTCAATGTCAATTTCTTGGTTTTAATGTTTTACTGTAGCTACAAAAAAAATGTAACCACTGGGGAAACTAGGTGAAGAGTATGAGAGACCTCTCTGTACTATATTTGCAACCTTCTGTAAATCTATAATAATTTCAAATCAACAGTTAAAAAATAAAAATATATCTAATAGACCAATAGTTTCATATGGAGGGCAGAATGATTTTAAAAAATGAGATATTTTGTTTATGCATACCTGTAAAGGCATCCATGAAAGGTATTATTAACATTTGAAATTATGTAAGTCCAATGCTGCAGGAACATGGGCATACTATAGCTTATTTTAGATGCTTTAGAAAGCCAAAGTCATCTCTGATAAGTTCTACATTGATGATAATAACCTGAGAGACTTCTCAGTCTCCAAAATTGCACTATTTCTAAAATATAGGTAAATATTCCCTTCATCCTAAATCTTTCAAAGTTTAAGAATGTCATTGATAGTCTTTGCTTTAGAGGAAAATACAGAGATCAAGAAAAAAGGTCTGGAAAAATGAAAAAATAATTTTAAAAGCTTCCTCAGAGAGAAAGAGTTTCAGACGGATATAGTTTAACTACAACTCAGCCATGAATTTCTTACTTCTCTTCTAGTACCAGTTACTCTTTTGCTGAATGAATCTACCTTATGAACACAAGTTAAAAAAAATGTACCCATGATAAGTAAAACATTATTAAATACAGCTATTTTTATAAAAGTTTCAAGTCAAAAATGGATCCATTTCTGTTCTTCTTCTTACGGGGAGTTGCTTATTCCCCATCCTTCATTAAAAGGGCCGAAAAGTATACTCATCTGTAGTAGAGAATATGCATAATGTTTATTTACTCATGCTTATTATAATGTTAACACATTATCTGCCACTCCAAGAATGTGGGCATATTTAGAAAATGTTCAATATGGTATCTATAAATTATTCTATGGCAGACTTTGATTTAATTCTTTTCATCTTCATTTTAATAACAGTGGAGTGGTTCTTAATATCATATTTTCATTATTTGCATGTCCTTTGCAAGAAGGCTTGGGAACCTATTTACCCCAAAATAAGTTCCAAACAGGTCAGACTTCTAATTGTTCATACAAATAACTAAGGATTAGAAATATAGATGCTATACAATTCTAATATAAATCTTTTGGAATTAACCCCTCACCATTGAAAACACATTAACTGACTTGTAGTGTTTGATCATTTCCACACAAAGAAGATGGATCACTGTATGTCTCTTAATATCTACATAGCCTTAAACCAGAAGATAGAACATGATTGCTCAGGAGAGTCACATGATTTCAATCAAATTATTGTAAGTATGTCATTTGAGCAGAAATAACACAATGTGCAGAATACTGCAAGTGAATTTTCTTTTCTCCAAATAGTGTGAGTTAAATCATGTTTACTATAGTGATAATATTAATTATTCTATGGATATGCTAGAATTATTCTACTGATCTTATGTTGTTTTCTGACCACTTTTTCCGAAACACTTTAAATTGTGCTTTACCCTTTCATACCCTTTTATTGTTTACTGATTCATTCCACAAATTAAAATTAACTAATTGGTACTAATGTGTACTCAAACAAAAAACAATAATGTCACTTCAGATTGTGACTGATTCTTAAAATATTCTCCTCCATGGTCTTCATGGCCTAATGGTTTTAAGTTATACACACAGTATTTCACTTAAAATATTATGGAAAGCAGCATCTGGAGCTTTAAACAAGTTACTTAGTTTATATCTGTAGTTTATAAATCATGATGTGTTAAACTTTATTATGATCTTACAATTTGAATTTAATTCTTTTATAATGTCTCTAGGCTCTCTCTCCTGATGATCGATAGATAGATAGATAGATAGATACATAGATACATAGATACATAGATACATAGATAGATAGGTATTTTCCTTTTAGAAAACCTCTCGCTTTTCTCATATCCCACACTCTTGACAGCATTATATTCAAGAGCAAGGGTGGGAAATGTGTTGACTGCCAAGGTATTAGATAGCTAGGTTAAATGCCAAAATTAAACTGATATAAAAAGTAATACAGAAACAAGAAAAAAAAGTGGAAAATGAAAGTATAACCTTGTAAAGTTTTTATTCTAATATACAGGTATGTTAATGAAAATAATAGAATGGTTTCTGAAAGACATAAATGGACAGTATTGTTTTATGAATACATCAGTAAGAAAATACTTTAACACGAAGGGGAAATTCTCCAGGTTCAGTGTGAGATTTCCACCTATAATTTTCATTTGGCTGGCGAGACTGACTTGCGTTACTTGAGTTATGCTATTTTAAAAGTATTTGTCACCAGTATGTATCCCTTCTTTGATATTTTTCCTCCCTTCTACAGTGACTTTTAAAATCCAAATCTAATCAAGCTGCCACTGAGGACATATTGTTATATTAAACATACAAATGTTTAAGCCTTATTAAATACAGACTGGGTTTCAGTAAATCAGAAATGGTTAAAAAAAAAAAAAAAGAGGCCAGGCGCGGTGGCTCACGCCTGTAATCCCAGCATTTTGGGAGGCCGAGGCGGGCGGATCACGAGGTCAGGAGATTGAGACCATCGTGGCTAACATGGTGAAACCCCGGCTCTACTAAAAATACAAAAAAATAGCCAGGCCTGGTGGCGGGCACCTGTAATCCCAGCTACTCTGGAGGCTGAGGCAGGAGAATGGCGTGAACGCGGGAGGCAGAGCTTGCAGTAAGTGGAGATCGCGCCACTGCACTCCAGCCTGGGCGACAGAGCAAGACTCCGTCTCAAAAAAAAAAAAAAAAAAAAAAAAGTGGATGAAAAATAGTATAAAAGGAATTACTCCCTAATTATTTATATTGTGCTAAATAAAATTCCCAGTTCCAAAACCAAAATGTAATGACTGCACCATTTTTCACTTTTTCTAGATGTGGTCAGAGACTTTAAATGAGAGAAATGATACATGCATATACTTGGAGAGTAATAGGTATTGCTGAATAATATAAAGTTTGAGAATACACTTTTGCTTAAAACGTAAAATTGGTGATTTATATTATTTTATTTTTAAATGTAGAAATAGCTAAAGTATAAATTTTGTATAATGCAAGTGCTTTTCCTAGGTTTTAGTTTTGTTTTAATTTAGGAGTAAGGGTAAAGAAGCTATTTATAAATAGTACTAAGTCCGTGTTTTCTTTTCTCTAAATACATCTTGATGTGTTACGAAGATCAAATGTTCTGAAAAAGCAAATTTCCTCTAAACCTGAGTCCTCTCTTTCACTAGCAGAGAGAAAAAGTCTCTGCTAAAGTTACTGGATGAAAACAGAAACTGTATACTTGACTCTATTAAAGGAAAAAATAAAATGTTTTTTATAATATTAAGTCAACTTGAAATAAAAGAAAAAAGTTAGCTATTCAGGCCTGTCCCTAACATTTGTGGAAGTTCAGAAGTATTGCAAATCTAGACCCACATATTAATGACTACATATTTATAAGACATCAATCAAGCTTAAGAACTGTTAAAGTGTATTGAAATTCCTACATTGACAACTTCATAACAACTTAAAAAATTAAATTGAAATCTGCATTCTTGGACTGCCAGGAGAGGTCCACAATGGAATGTGAGGATTGGAAAGAGGCCCCAGGTCATAGCCAATTTCATTCTCTTTCCACCCCTCTTTCCATCTTGCTGGATGAGGGGTTTGTTACATCCAAGATACTGCAGCCTATTTGTCCAGCATCTCCTCATGAGACATCCCTTTGACCAAGGGTTGTACACACCAGTCCACCTTCAAAAAGGCTGGCGTAGGGAATGGCCTTGAATAGACCTTGAAAGCAATCTCAGGACCTTTTATTTCTCCTAAAGAGGAATCCAGAGTCTTGAGTATTGGTACATTGGCATAGCACATGGATGGGCAGGAGTCTTGTTTCACATGAGCACATTCACTTGTTTTGTGGACTCATCGCCACTTCCCCTTCTACTCTCCTTCCCAGCCCCCATGGGAGGAAGGTGAAAGTGGTTTGTGGTTCACTCTAAAGGGCTGGCCTAGAACCTGAGTTCCTCTTCCCTTTAGTCTAAGTTTAGCACTGCAACTATCTTGTTCCACTGTTCACATTTACCACGAAATGGGTCAAACATAAAAAGAGAGCCTAAAGACACTTTTAATACATATTCGTAAATGAAAGTTTATTAATAAAATTGAAGGAGATGTATCAACACATAGTCACTTCTTTTCTAGAAAACACTCCCTACTTTATAGAATTGCTATGTGTATAGTTCCTCAGTAAGTGCTATGTGTGAAAAGAAGATGTAGAATACAGATCTTTTATCTTCAGGTCACTTAATATCCAAGTCTGAACATAAGAAACATAAACACAAAAAAGCAACTTTCAGAAAAGTGCTATGCAATATATATTGGGGATCTTCTAAGGAGGGAGATGCCATCGTGGACTATGATGATCAAAGAAAGGTTAATAGAGCTTCTATTATGTGATACTCTTCAATAATATGGGGAAGAGGAAAAATGCATTATGGATTATTCAAAAGACAAGTGCAAATTTGGTGATAAGCATAGAAAACATATTCAGAAGTATAGAATGCATACATTAGACAGAATAATGTGATTGTTTCAGAATATTTGAATATACAATTAGAAGTAAATGTTGGGACAAATTATGAAGGATTTAGAATATTAGATGTGAGAATTTGAACTTTATTCATAAATAATCAAAAAAAGAAAATGATTGTAAATTGCTCAAAAAAGGGCTATCCATCAAAAGGAGAGTCAGGGAATAACATGTATTTTGTGCATTCAAAAAAAAAATCAAAAGACTGTCTTCCACTTTCACCTTTTAAGTGTAAGGGTCACAGAAGGTAAAGAAAGTAGAAATAAATTTGAGAAATCATTGAAAAAAAGAATTTAAGTATATGAGTAGGCATAGACAAACCAAGGTAATGACAATGTCTGTGACCACAAATTTTTGATCAGTTTGACAATAGTACCTTTAACATAAATAGGAGAAACTTGAGTCAGGAACTTTGTCCTTTACTCATAGCACCTGGCATAAGAGCTGGAGCCAGTTTTATGTTTTTGCTACTTTTTGTTTGTTTTCTTTATACATAAAACAAAGTAAAAATGAAAATGGCCAGAAAAAAGTTGGAAATTTGAGACTGGAGCTCAGGATAGGTATTATGATGTATTTTTAGTATACTCATTTACATAGAGATGATGGTTTACACTGTTTTGAGAGAAAGTAATGGTTTAGATGGAAAGTTAAAAATCAAGAAAAGAAATAAAGCATTAGACAGAAACAAAAATATTCAGGATAGGTTCATGTTATAAAAGCCTTAAAAGGACAGGTTGATAGATTTTAAAAATATTACAGTAAATAATAATGTTAGAAAGAAATTGATTACAAATTTCTCTCACCAAACATGCTATCACAATCAGATTACCTCAAACCAGAATGTAATCAAAACCATTGCCTCTTTCTCTAACAACAAAGATTACTATTTACTACTGCTATCATTTTGATACCTTCAGGTCTATAGGAAAGGAATAAAACACCAAATGATTCTCAGCACAAAAATGGATAATGAATATCCATTTATTGTTATTAAAATAATGGGCATGATTATGCTAATAGGTAATATTCTTTCTTTAGTATGAAATTGCATTGTATTGTGTCTAAGAAAAAGTGTTGGTTGTTTTTGCAAAGTATAATTCAGGAGATTAATTGTATTCACCAATCCACAGATTTCACTAATGAGAAGTGAACTGGAATTTGAAAGCACATACACTTTTCCCCTTAAACAATTGCCCACTCCATTTTGCAAGCTGAGAAATGGAGAAAGAGGGATATCAATCTAGGTAAAGTCTGAGGTGCTACTTGTATTTACAGGACTCAGGAATCAAAAATCTGTACTTCCTCCCATAAAAAGGGGTGTGATTTTTCCCTGTAGACAGTGAGTTAATGTGGCTGCCTTCAAAGGCAAACAGACTTCAATGTGACTAGAAGAAAAGGACAATGGAGTGTCCCCAAAAGAGAGGCATGTTTTTTAATGAATGAAAAACCAGAGATACTTTACAAAATAATAGAATAACATGGCTTAGTTATTTTCATTACATTACAATACATTTAGTAGACTGTCCTGTCCTTCAGAAATAAGAGCCACAGTGAAATGACAATAATACATAGTAACCCTTTACTATGAGCCTAACACTAAAAATATTATTTTGTATTTATTGTTTTATTTAATTTTCACAAAAATATAATGCCTATACTACCAATACACACTTTTGCAGATGAGAAAATTGTATCAGAAGATGTAATGAAATTCTTCAACTTCACATACCTAATAACTGCTAAGATTGGCATTTGAATATACTTTGTCTGATTTTAGAGATTGTGACCTTAACCACTATGTCATACTTACTTCCTGAAGTGTTACTGATTCACATAGACACACAAATCTGGGCTTGGCTAGGTTCCTTTTCCCAAAGAAAGAGATGGGAAAATCTACTCCTTAAATGGACTATCAAACCAAACTTTAGATATCTTAGTCACAGAATACTATAAGTTAGTATATTTTATTTCTTAGTAGATTATTAATGAAAAATTTTAGGAAGAAACTTAACAGGAAGCATAACAACACATTGTTACAATAGGGAGTTAGAGATGAAATATTTTTAATAAAGGAAGGACTATGTAATAGTAGCCATATCAAGGAGGTCTTTTGGAATGGACTAGCATGAGTCTGCATTAGTACAGGAGGAACCACAGAGGATTAACAGCTTAAAGCTGATAGAGAATATTTGATGCTAGAGATAAAAGGAATTGATTGAATTTAAAGTTCTAGTGGAAAAGTTAGTCTGGACAATGGGCACTGAAAATTCAAGAATGGGTGATTTCAAATGTAGGAAAATGTGAGCTAGGATGATTTATAGGTACATAAAGGAGCTCTTTATAGATGGTCACTGATGGTTTCAATAAAGTAGAAGTGAGTTCATTTGTCAAGAATAAAGAAATTGGGACCATTGGGAGCTTAAGGTGGTTAGGCAAAGCTTGGCATAGATGCTGACAGAAGTGTATCAGAAACGTAACAGGTCCAATCTTACTGATCTACCTTTATTGATTCATTTGTTTACTTGTTCATTCACTTTTTATTTAACAAAGAATTTAGTCATAACATTTTATATTATATTTATGTATATATTTAAATTATATTTATATTTATTTAGCTCCCCACCCCACAACAGGCCCCAGTGTGTGATGTTCCCCTGCCTGTGTCCATGTGTTCTCGTTTTTCAACTCCCACTTATGAGTGAGAACATGCGATATTTGTTTTTCTGTTCCTGTGTATTTTTGTTGAGAATGATGGTTTCCCACTTCATCTGTGTCCCCGTGAAGGACATGAACTAATCCTTTTTATGGCTGCATAGTATTCCATGGTGTATATGTTTCACATTTTCTTTATCCAGTCTGTCATTGATGAGCATTTTTGTTGGTCCCAAGTCTTTGCTATTGTGAATACTGCTTCAGTAAACATACATGTGCATGTGTCTTTATAGTAGAATGATTTATAATCCTGTGGGTATATACCCAGTAAAGGGATTGCTGGGTCAAATGATATATCTGGTTCTAGAACCTTGAGGAATCACCACATTGTCTTCCACAGTGGTTGAACTAATATACATTCCCACCAACAGTGTAAAAGCATTCCTATTTCTCCACATCCTCTCCAGCATCTGTTGTTTCCTAACTTTTTAATGATATCCATTCTAACTGGCATAAGATGGCATCTCATTGTGGGTTTTTTTATTATACTTTAAGTTTTAGGGTATATGTGCACAACATGCAGGTTTGTTACATATGTATACATGTGCCATATTGGTGTGCTGCGCCCATTAACTCATCATTTAACATTAGGTATATCTCCTAATGCTATCCCTCCTCCCTCCCCCCACCCCACAACAGGCCCCGGTGTGTGATGTTCCCCTTCCTGTGTCCATGTGTTCTCATTGTTCAATTCCCACCTATGAGTGAGAACATGCAGTGTTTGTTTTTTTGTCCTTGCGATAGTTTGCAGAGAATGATGGTTTCCAGCTTCATCCATGTCCCTACAAAAGACATGAATTCATCATTTTTATCTCATTGTGGTTTTGATTTGCATTTCTGTAAAGCCCAGTGTTGAATTTTTTTTTCATGTGTTTTTTGGCCATATAAATGTCTTCTTTTGAGAAGTGTCTGTTCGTATGCTTCGCTCACTTTTTGATGGGATTGTTTGTTTTTTTTCTTCTTGTAAATTTAAGTTCCTTGTAGATTCTGGATATTAGCCCTTTGTCAGATGGGTAGATTGCAAAACTTTTCTCCCATTCTTTAGGTTGCCTGTTCACTCTGATGATAGTTTCTTTTGCTGTGCAGAAGCTTTTTAGTTTAATCAGATCTCATTTGTCAATTTTGGTTGTTATTGCTTTTGGTGTTTTAATCATGAAGTCTTTGCCCGTGTCTATGTCCTGAATGGTATTGACTAGGCTTTCTTCTAGGGTTTTAATGTTTTAGGTCTTATGTTTAGGTCTTCAGTGCAGCTTGAGTCAATTTTTGTATAAGGTGTTAAGGAAGGGGTCCAGTTTCAGTTTTCTGTATATGGCTAGCTAGTTTCCCAGCACCATTTGTTAAATAGGGAATACTTTTCCCATTACTTGTTTTTGTCAGGTTTGTCAAAGATCAGATGGTTGTAGATGTGTGGCATTATTTCTGAGGCTTCTGTTCTGTTCCATTGGTCTATATATCCGTTTTGGTACCAGTACCATGCTGTTTTGGTTACTGTAGCCTTGCAGGGGTTGCAAACCTAGTATCTGATAAAACAGACTTTAAAGCAACAAAGATCAAAAAAGACAAAGAAGGGCATTACATAATGGTCAATGGATGAATGCAACAAGGAGTGCCAATGATTTTATATATATATATATATATGTGTATATATATATATATATATATGTGTATATATATATATATATGTGTGTATATATATATATATGTGTATATATATATATATATGTGTATATATATATATATATATGTGTGTATATATATATATATATATATATATGTGTATATATATATATACCCAATATAGGAGCACCCAGATTGATAAAGCAAATTCTTAGAGACCTACAAAGAGACTTAGACTCCCACACAATAATAGTGGGAGACTTTAACACCCCACTGTCAATATTAGACAAATCAAGAAGACAGAAAATTAACAAGGATATTTAGGACTTGAACTCAGCTCTGGACCAAGCATACCTAGTAGACATTTACAGAACTCTCCACCCCAAATTGACAGAATATGCATTCTTCTCAGTACCACATCACACTTACTCTAAAATTGACCACATAATTGGAAGTAAAACACTCCTCAGCAAATGCAAAAGAATGGAAATAATAACAGTCTCTCAGACCACAGTGCAATCAAATTAGAACTCAGGATTAAGAAACTCACTCAAAACCGCACAATTACATGGAAACTGAACAAGCTGCTCCTGAGTGACTACTGGGTAAATAATGAAATTAAGGCAGAAAGAAATAAGATCTTTGAAAACAGTGAGAACAAAGACACAACATACCAGAATCTCTGGGACACAGCTAAAGCAATGTTTAGAGGGAAATTTATAGCACTAAGTGTCCACAGGAGAAAGCAGGAAAGATCTAAAGTTGACACCCTAACATCACAATTAAAATAACTAGAGAAGTAAGAGCAAACAAATTCAAAAGCTAGCAGAAGACAAGAAACAACTAAAATCAGAGCAGAACTGAAGGAGATAGAGACATGAAAAGTCCTTCAAAAAAATCAATGAATCCAGGAGGGGTTTTTTTGAAAAGATCAACAAAATAGACCACTACCCAGACTAATAAAGAAGAAAAGAGAGAAGACTCAAATAGACACAATAAAAAATGATAAAGGGGATATCGCTACTGATCCCCCAGAAATACAAACTACTATCAGAGAATACTATAAAAACCTCTACACAAATAAACTAGAAAATCTAGAAAAAATTTATAAATTCCTGGACACATCCACTCTCCCAAGACTAAACCAAGAAGAAGTCAAATCCCTGAATAGATCAATAACAAGTTCTGAAAATTGAGGCAGTAATTAATAGCCTACCAACCAAAAAAAAAGGCCCAGGACCAGACGGATTCACAGCCAAATTCTACCAGAGGTACAAAGAGGAACTGGTATCATTCCTTCTGAAATTATTCCAAACAATAGAAAAAGAGGTACTCCTCCCTAACTCATTTTATGTAGTCATCCTCTTTTTAAAGTACATTCTTATCATGATAAATAAAATAGGAATTTCTTGATTTATTTTATCTAATTATTTTATCTTGCCCTAATCTCTAATCTCTATTTTTATTTCCTTCTGCTTCTCCCTCTTACTTCAATTGCATTCATGTGTTTGTGGTAGGCCCTTGAATATGCATTTTTGAAAACTGTAAAATTTTGTGGTTGTTTTTGAGTTATATGCTGTATATATAGTTTTTACTTTTGTAAATCCAACACTATATTATTAAGACCTATTCTTGTTATCGTGTGTATCTTTACCTCATTTTTTTTTCATGCTGCACAGCACACTATTACTTCTTCTTCTTCTTTTTTTTTTTTTTTTGAGATGGAGTCTCGCTCTGTTGCCCAGGCTGGAGTGCAGTGGCCTGATCTCGGCTCATTGCAACCTCTGCCTCCCGTGTTCAAGCGATTCTTCTGCCTCAGCCTCCCGAGTACCTGGAACTACAGGCACATGTCACCATGCCTGGCTAAGTTTTGTATTTTTAGTAGAGATGGAGTTTCACCATATTGGACAGGCTGGTCTCAAACTCCTAACCTTGTGATCTGCCCACCTCGGCCTCCCAAAGCGCTGTGATTATAGGCATGAGCCACCACACCTGGCCTGTATTCCATTTTCATAAACAATTGTGTGTGTGTATTACAGTGATAGATTCTTTGCCTCCTTCCAACTCCCTGCAACAACAAATGTCTCTAATGGATATCATATCCTTTCATGAGTTTAAACTTAAGTTGATTTGCCATGTGGATCAAGAGTAGGATTGCTGGTTCATAGGTTTGGATTTCATTTCACTCCACATTGCTCTCTGGATAGTTGCATCAGTCTGTACTCCCATCAGCAGTACATGTGAAGTCTAGTTTTCTAAATTTAAAAAAAATTTGTTATTATTTGAACATTATTTTCCATCTCACTAATGAGCACTCCTCAAATTTAACCCTTCTGCTGTTTATACCATATATTTAATCCTTCATTTCAACAGATATGTTTTCATACTGAAAAAATATTTTATGATTGCTAATTTCTTCTTCAGGTTTCAAATATTGTGCCTTATGTCTTTGAGAACATTTACTATACATATTTTTGGATTTATTTTAACTTCTTTTTTTTCTTCAGAGACAGTGTCTTTCTCTGTTACTCAGGCTGGAGCAAGTACAGTGGTGACAGCCTCCTAGCTAACTGCAGCCTTGACCTCCTGGGTTCAAGAGATTCTCCTGCCTCAGTCTCCTTGGTAACTGGGACTACAAGTGCATGCCGCCACACCTAGCTATTTTTTTTAATTATTATTTATTTTGTAGAGACAGGGGCTCTCTTGGTTGCCCGAGCTGATCTCAAACTCCTAGCTTCAAGCAATGCTCCTGTCTTGGACTCCCAAAGTGCTGGGATTACAGACGTAAACCAACACACATGGTCACATATTTTAAACTATTGTTAATTTTTGTAAATCTGGTTGTCTTCGATATACATGTATTTTATTTTAGAGTCATTGAATTCCTTTGAGGCCTATTTTTTCCTAGTAAGATTTATTATGCTGATTAAGAATACATGGCACTAAAATCAGGCTCAAGATTGACCCACCAGAAGTGTTTAGAATGAAGGACTCCTTAGGAAATAACTGGATTCTGCCACCCTTTGTTTGCCTTCCTCCTCCATAAAAGTTGGTGTATTCATGTGTCCTGGGTGGTGCTGTTTACCAAGACTGGTCTCCCTCAGTTTTAATCACCATCCTAACACTCATTGTATGGAGTAGCTGGGTTAGAGGAGAATGCCTAGGGTTCAGATGGTCTTTCTGCATTTGTCACTATTTCCTCATTTTCCAAGCTAGGTTGAGTCATATTCTGCCTGGCCGACTCCAAAATGACTTTAAAGGAGTTAGCAGTGGTCTCTTTTCAACTCTAGTTTTGCTAGAATGGGAGCTCCATTTGGTCAAGGTTTTGTCTTTCTGGCTCTGTAGTGTATTCTCACTATTTAGAAGAGTGCCTTGCACACTGTGGGTATTCTAACTATTGAAAGAGCAGAAAAAAATACAGGAATGCAATGAAAAGAAATGATGACCACTAAAAACTTCCGCCCCAGCATATTCTGGTTTCCTTACACTCAGTTTTCTGCTCTTTGCTGTCATTTTTTTCTCTACTCGCAGACTTTACTGTAGTTTGTAACTGCCAGGGTTTCTCACATCTTTTAGTATTAGATGCTGATTTCTGTGTCATTTCCAGGGTTGTGGTCACAGAAAGAAGCCCACATCATGTTAGTTCTCCATCTTACCAGATAAAGCTTAGCTTAATGTACTTCTATGCCAATTTCTTTGAATAACTAAACTTTCAATAATTTAATCAATCACTGATTAATCCAAGATTTGTCTCAGATGGGGCACAACTTCCACAACCTAATGTAGCTTCCACAACCTAATTTTTAATCCCCAAAAATGAAATTTACCGATTATTTTGTTAAATCATACAAATATAAAAATTCTGAACAGTGAAATAAAGAAAGTATCTCAAAAGTAAGAGTACTCTTGGACAACAATAGCTAAAAAAGTGTAACAAATGTGAAAATATGCAGGCTCTGTCTCTGACCTTTAATCATTCTATACTTCTGGGGAGCAGTTATTCTGAGACTCAGTTTTTACAGAAGTAAAACGGGAACAAAAACAGTTCCTCTGCCTGGCTCATAGAATTTCTGTGAGAATAAAAGACAATTAATCTTTCTAAAGATATATTACATATATTGTAAAGTACCACAATTATAAATACAGGAGAATACTTGCTTCTCTTTGTATCCATTTTTCTGTTTCCAATGCTTGTTTGGTTTTTAAAATTTAATAGTATTTTCCTGCTACTCAATGTTTGACTACTGAAATTCTTATATAAATGTTTTCTGCAAAAAAATTTTATGGACATAGAATAATAATTGTATGTGCTCAGTTGCTTGATTAAAATACTTTATTGTGATTATTTTGTAAAGAAAGGAATTGCACTATAATTTTGATTTTGTGCAAATTATAATAATTAAATATTTAGACTAAAAAAGATAATGCAAGAAGGCTAAGTTGTATTGTCATATTGTTAAGATTACTTTTTATTTATTGTTCCTAATCAGAAGTGAACCATTATCTATGTAAAAATAATTTAATTCAGAAAATTTTGGTCTGAAATTTACATAATGCCATCATTATCCTTTTTATGTTCTGGAAAATTTATTCTAAATTACCTAGAAAAAAAGGTTGATTCTATAGTGTTATTTTTTATTCTCTATATCTCAGGTAAGAATAAAGGGAAACGAGTAAGTAAAGGAAAAACAAAGACGAAAAAGGAAATTGTACTCAAGTCACATAGACACTGAAGTCTCAGATGTATGTGAAACTTTCTGTTTGGTAGAGGATATAGAAAAGAGAAAGGGATATCGAATTTCTGACAACCTACGTGCTTAGTGCTTTGTCTACCAATGTGATGTGGACATATTTATTTTTTCCTTGTGCTTTCTGCATTGAGACAAGTACATTATAAGCTTATCATACAAATGATTCAAAAAAAAATACCCGCCATTTATTTTCTATTAGTTCTTTTTCTCCCGAGGTTACTGCCGTACAAGGAGCTATTTTAACCTCCTCCTGTCTTTGCCAGTGAGAACATCTTGACATGACTCCAATTCCAATTCTGATGTACTGGAAGAATAAAAACACATTTATTTTAAAAATCTAAAGCATGCTAATGATGCCATAGAAAGACATCTTGCTTAAGATAAGCCCATTAATTTTACCTTTGTAAATATGTTTCAGCATGACTGTGTGATTAAGGCTTCATTCTGTGCAGACTACAACTGTAGCAACGGCAGCAGCCAAGAAAAAGTAGCAAAATATTTTTAAAAACAGAAGCAAACAGCAAGGCTTTCACAATCCATTGTTTAAATTCATCTTTCATATCTTGTTTTGTTACGTTTTTCTCTCTTACTTTATGTGTATAATGAAATACCATTATCACTGTCATCATCGCCAGATTAAAGCTTCGAGAAAGAAAGCCTATCCTAGAATTGATTTTTAGGCCATTTTACTTGAGATGATCGACAACAAGAGGATTTTCATTTGCTTTGTCAGTGTAAGCTGGCTGCTGTGCATCTGCAGTGAAGGCAGCACAGGTCTCTGTTTGCATTCTGCGGTTTGTTAGCATCAATGACCTGTCACAGAAAGGCTCTGCAGCACAATATTTACACAGATCATTAGCAGAGCAGACCCTGCTTGCCAGATCGCTAATCAGTTTTGTGACTGCCCCAGTTTCATCAAGACTATAAATAAAATAAGCCATCGGAAAAAGCCCCAAAATGGGCATTGTCGGAGCTGGTGACACTTCTGGCAGCTCTAGGCATATAAATCCTCTGATGATAATGCAGTGGTAGTGACAAATAAAAGACTGCATTTAAACTATGAGTCTGAAAATAAGTGTGTGTGTTACTGCAAGAGGACTTTCTTTTCTTTATACTCTGTCGATTTCAGCTTACTCTAGCCCT
Organism: Homo sapiens; assembly: GCF_000001405.40. NCBI lineage: Eukaryota > Metazoa > Chordata > Mammalia > Primates > Hominidae > Homo > Homo sapiens. The sequence goes on from NC_000002.12 coordinate 94,652,543, forward strand.
ATGGTGTAAACAAGCTAGCAATAGTCAAGTAGGATTTGCTTTTTTCTCCTTTCACTCAGGATTGAAATTTGCTTACTGCAGTTTGCGATGTAGAGTCCATGACATGTGAACCCATGGTGAAAAGCCACAAAAGAAGGGGAATTCGTAAGTGAGAGGACACGCTGGACTTACAGGCCTGTCTGACCTCCGTTGAAAATATTACTCACAGAATCAGTAGCATTCAAAATGCTGACAGAAAGATTGTAAGAGGTCAGCAAAGGGTGAACCTGTATGAGAGCCTTGGGACCAACCTTTAAGAGTTATGATAAGCTATTAGCTGTATGGTGGTCACAATTGAAATGCAAATGTTCATTTGTTTCTCTTTTTTTGATTTTTTGATATGTGCCCAAATCAATAGTGATTACTTTCTCCTCTGTTGTAGAAAAAAAGTATATAAAAGACTCAGAAGAGTCAAGCCCTGGGATGTTTTAATAAGCAGTTGACATTGAATAAAAACATTATTTGCAAAGAGAGTTTATTAAAGTCTTTCAGCTTTGCTCCCTCTGTCTCCTTTGTCACTTGACTCTTACTGAGAACCACAAGGCCATCTACTAAAGATTACATGGTAATCATTAGTAGACAGATGCAATTTTGTCTACCATGTAATCTTTACTTTCTGTTCCAGGAAAATATGAGTATTTTTAAAGTTAGTGGAAATTTACAGATTTTCTATACACAGGGCATTGGCAGGCCAGAGAAACGCTAATTAATTCACATCATAAATGTTTATTGTGCAGCTACTATGTGTACTGGATAGAAAGTAGTATCTGACAGACATGTTCCTTGCCCTCTGAAACTCAGTTTAGAAGAGAATACAGGTTCAAATATAATGAACATTTGTTTTATTTTATATTACGTAATATCTTTTTTTGTTGTTGTTTCTATCTTCATTTTCACCAGGGGAAGGGAATTTGTGTCTATTGGAACTCTTTTCCTATATTCATTTTAGGATTGCCATACCTCTGGTTTCCCAGGTATAGTTCATCAAAACTAGGGACAGATCTAGTCCTTATTGGAACTGCAACTTATAAAATCTGGAGTTCCTCTTTGGGAAAAAGGATATGCAGCCCTAGAAAATGAAAGAATCCAACTTTAAATAATCATCTAAAATTTTTGAAGAAAATGAACTTAGTAAGGTATATTTTTACTTTTTTTCTGAGTGAAAGATACCTTTTGTATCATACCAATTCCCAATAAGTTTCGTCCTTTTGTCTGGGTTATTTTCAGTTTTCAGTAAAATAAACCTGTGTACACCACAACCTCTAAGTACTTCCTTATGTACTTCCATAAATAGTACTTCTAAGTACTTCCATAAATTTAAACCTTATGGTTTAAATTTGGTATGAAAGAGGAAGCTTCTAAAAGTGTTTTCTATCTGCATGATGATTTATAGGCAAACATACTGGCACATATAGTTACATTAAAACTTAGGTATTATATATAATATAATAATATTATTATAATATAATATATTATTATAATATTATATATAATATAATAATATATTATATCATATTATATATATAATATTCTATAATATATATAATATTCTATAATATATATAATATTCTATAATATATATAATATTCTATAATATATATAATATTCTATAATATATATTATATTCTATAATATATATTATATTCTATAATATATATAATATTCTATAATATATATATTATGTTCTATAATATACATAATATTCTATAATATACATAATATTCTATAATATATATTATATTCTATTATATATAATATTCTATAATATATATAATATTCTATAATATATATTATATTCTATAATATATATAATATTCTATAATATATATTATATATTATATATTATATATATTTATAATATATTATATATTTATAATATAATATAATTATATATAACATAATATATTATATATATTATATAATATTATATATTTATTATAAATATTTTATATATTATGTTATATATAATTATATTATATTATAAATATATATATAAATATATATATAAACAAATATATATATAATATATATATTTATAATATAATATATAACATAATATATATTATAGAACATAATATATATATTATAGAACATAATATATATATTATAGAACATAATATATATATTATAGAATATAATATATAATAGAATATATATTATAATATAAAATAGAATATAATATATATTATAATATATTAGATATTATATTATATTAAAACAGATATGTTGGATTAATGAAAAAATTGAACAGAAAAATGTAAAAACAAAAGAAGATAAGTCAAATATTTTGTGAGAGTTCTTGGATGAAAAGTAGAAATTTAAAAAGTAAAGTTGTAAAAGATAGCAATGTCCAGTAAATGCATGCACATAAACATGAAATAACTTAAATGTCATTATGCTAATTTTACTTGCATAAACTTTCAGGACATGAATACAGATAAGGACATAATTACAGTAGTTAGAATGATTAAAAAATAGTGTGCCCCATATTATGAATTTCACACACAGTTTGATTACTGGGAGACATTTAGAGCAGCAGACTAAATGTATAGGTGCTATACTGTAAATTGTAAGTTGGATGGGAGGGCACCAACTTTGGTATTGGCTATAGCACTTCAATTAAAGAAAAGTGGCTGGACCTGGTGGCTCATGCCTATAATCCCAGCACTTTGGGAGGCTGAGGTTGAAGGATTGCTTGAGCCCAGCAATTCAAGACCACCTTAGGCAACAAAGTGAGACCCTGTCTACCGAAAATTCAAAAAATTAGCCAGACATAGTGGCACATGTCTGTGGTCCCAGCTAAATGGGAGGCTGCCTTGAGAGGATTACTTGAGACCAGAAGGTCAAGGCTGAAATTAGCTGTGATCATGCTACTGCACTATAGCCTGGGTGACAGACTGAGATCCTATTATAAATAAATAAAAAATAAAGAAAAGTGTCATTTACATATGTTTATGTTTTTTTAAATCCTGTTTGAGGTATTTTCTTATCACTGTACAAAGACACTAAACATATGCATTCTATAATAGGGTAATCAAGTAAAAAGAGAAATTTATTTTTTCATAGTATTTTTGTTAAAATTCATTGAAGGATATCTTACAGAAAATGTGACATTCTTACATTCCGATTATCAGGGCACAATTTGATAAAATTTTATCAAGTGAACAATAATCTGGTAATCAGAATGCAGATTAAGAAAGAAAACACTAAAACCTCATAACCCTACCTTCCCTGCACTATTTACTCTAAACTCCATTCCATCCATTAAAGATAATGATGACTGAATTTTTTTTTCTATTCTTCTGACTCTAGTTTCTGAGATTTTTTTTTTATTATACTTTAAGTGTTAGGGTACATGTGCACAATGTGCAGGTTTGTTACATATGTATACATGTACCATGCTGGCGTGCTGCACCCATTAACTCATCAGTTAGCATTAGGTATATCTCCTAATGCTATCCCTCCCCCCTCCCCCAACCCCACAACGGTCCCCAGAGTGTGATGTTCCCCTTCCTGTGTCCATGTGTTCTCATTGTTCAGTTCCCACCTATGAGTGAGAATATGCGGTGTTTGGTTTTTTGTTCTTGTGATAGTTCACTGAGAATGATGATTTCCAATTTCATCCATGTCCCTACAAAGGACACAAACTCATCATTTTTTATGGCTGCATAGTATTCCATGGTGTCTATGTGCCAAATTTTCTTAATCCAGTCCATCATTGTTGGACATTTGGGTTGGTTCCAAGTCTTTGCTATTGTGAATAGTGCCGCAATAAACATACATGTGCATGTGTCTTTATAGCAGCATGATTTATAATCCTTTGGGTATATACCCAGTAATGTGATGGCTGGGTCAAATGGTATTTCTAGTTCTAGATCCTTGAGGAGTCGCCACACTGACTTCCACAATGGTTGAACTAGTTTACAGGTGATGACTGAATTTTAACATAGACTCACTTTGCCTGGTTGTACATTGACGTGTGTGTGTGTGTGTGTGTGTGTGTGTGTGTGTGTGTGTAACTCTTATTTTTATATACTATGTTTTTTTGAGATGGAGTTTTGCTCTTGTTGCCCAAGCTGGAGTGCAATGGCTCAATCTCGGCTCACTGCAACCTCCGCCACCTGGGTTCAAGCGATTCTCCTGCCTCAGCTTCCCGAGTAGCTGGAATTACAGGTGCTCACCTGTAATTCAGGCTAATTTTTTGTATTTTTAGTAGAAACAGGGTTTCACCATGTTAGCCAGGCTGGTCTCGAACTCCTGACCTCAGGTGATCTACCTGCCTCAGCCTCCCGAAGTGGTGGGATTACAGGCGTGAGTCCCCACGCCCAGCCATTTTGACATAATTTTAAACTTAGAAAGAAGTTGCAAGAATAGTAGAAGAAAGTCCTATATACCCTTTTATCCAGATTTTTTTTCTAAATTACATTTGAATATATTGGTAGTGTGCTCTCTCTCTCTCTTCTTTCTATACTATTTGCAAATTGGAGCCATCTTATTATTTTAATCCTAAGTACTTCATTGTATATGTCCTAAAAACCAGAACATTCTCTTAGGTAATCACATTTTATTATATAATTCCTACATAGTTTAAAAAATCAGGAAAATTTAGACTATATTTTAGTGTTTTTTAAAAATATACACTAAGTATGAATTATTTCTTAATGGGTTAAACATAGACTTAGAACTAAAAAACTCTAACTAGGGCCACTCTTTCTTTATAGAAGTTATTGACATTTTCTCAAGGAGAACAGATGAAATCCTAGGGGGCATGCCTTGCAAATTCATCATTTAATATGAGAACTGCTACTGGAAGAGCAACAGCTATTTGGCCCTATATTTCAGTGAGGCCCTAAATGGCAACAATTTTAGAATTAATGGCAAATGTAGTCCCTGATTCTTTTTGTTTGTTTTTGTTAATAGACTCACTTCAGCGTCCATCAAATATTCCATTAAAGGTCGTCTTCTTGGTTTCTTGATGTCGTTGCTGTTGGTAATATTTCTTAATATATTAAGATGGAACAACTTACCATTCCATTTTGAGTCATATTTTAATTCATTAAGCTAAAATGTTTGAGTAAATGTAGGGCCTAGCGTAGTATTTTGCACAGAATACTTTAAGAAATACAGATGTTTAAAAAGCAATCTTGCTCTTAAGGACCTTCAATGCTAATAGAAAGACCACTCCTATAAGAAGAATATGTGATGTAATGCCAAGTGCACTAAGGATTTTGATGAGGGAAAAATTATTTCTCCTTGGGTTTATCAGAGAAGATCTTGAAAGAGCCGGCATCTGAGATGTGCTGTGAAGTTATGTAGGTTTCTACAGGTGATGATAGAAAAAGAGTGTATTGAAATGGGTATGTGTGTGATGCCACAAAGAAATTTTAGTAGAATTTAAGGTACTGAATAGTTTGATGAGAAGGTGGTTTAGCATGAGCAAGAAAAATGAAATATTACCGGAACAATTTTGAAAGGCTATAAATTACTGGCTAAAGAGTTGGATATTTCTCAGAAAATGTAGGGAACCGTGAACATTATTTTATTTTTTGAACAGGTGATGCATTTACATGATACAGAATTGGAAAATTCCACATTCTATCCTTTTCTGTTGTCTGCCCGGTTCTTGCCTCTTAACAACAGCTTCTTGGTGTCTCAAGTATTTTATGTATATATAAGAAATAACAAAATACATTATTGATTTCCTTTATTTGGACAGCATAACACGTATCCTTTTGGCACATTGCTTTACTCGTTAGCAATATATCTTGAAAAACTTTCCACGTTAATACATATAGAAAATTTTCAGTATTTTTACTGTTGCAGAACATCAAAGGGATGTGTCATGATTAAGTCATACTATATTAAAAACTTTGTTGTTTTCAGAATATTGTTCTTATATATTTTTCTGCAATGAATATAGTCATATATGTCGTTTTATATGTAAGTAGTTATTTAGGATAATCTGCCTAGAGTATAATTGATTGGACATGCACACATGCATTTTTTATTTGATAAATATGTACTAATTTATACTCCAATCATGCGGATGCATGAATGGTAGTACCTACTTCTCTATATGTTTGCTGAAGTTTGTGTTATTAAATATGCTATTCTAATAGGTGAAAGAATATTGATAGAGTTTTATTTGTAGTTTTATTATGGTTGAACTTGAATATACTTTTATATACTTTAAAGTCATTTGCATTTACTTAATTTTTTATTTTTATTTTATTTATTTATTTTTTTGAGATGGAGTCTCACTCTGTTGCCCAGGCTGGAGTGCAGTGGCACAATCTCGGCTCACTGCAAGCTCCACCTTCTGGATTCACGCCATTCTGGGCTCACTGCAAGCTCCACCTCCCGGGTTCACACCATTCTCCTGCCTCAGCCTCCCGAGTAGCTGGGACTACAGGCACCCGCCACCAAACCCGGTTAATTTTTTTTAGTAGAGACGGGGTTTCACCGCTTTAGCCAGGATGGTCTCGATCTCCTGACCTCGTGATCCAACCGCCTCAGCCTCCCAAAGTGCTGGGATTACAGGCGTGAGCCACCACGATGGCCTGCATTTACTTTCTGTCAATTGTTTATATACTTGCCTATATTTCTTTTGAGTTTGAGTCTTTTGCTGATAAATCTCTAGAAACACTTCATATAGTAAAGAAATTATACTATATGAAGAGTAAATATTATTCTTTGATTACTTGTAGTTTTAATTTGTTTACAATATTTCACTTGATCTTAGCCAAAAGACTGAGAAGTGAATGTTTACAATATTTTTTCATGAAGTTATTGTTACTGTATTCACATATACCCATTTTTTAATCTTTTAGCTTCTAGACTTTTAGTTATAATTACTTATACCTTAACCACTTAAAGGTTATAAAGGAAATGTCCTATGTTTACTTCTAGAGCCTTTGTGGTTTTATTTTCTACATTTAATGCTTTAATCTCTTTGAAAATAATCTTACACACAGTAGGGGATATGAATCTACCCATGTTATTTTTCCACAAAGTGGTAAGTCATATTTCTTTACTGATTTGAGCATTAGTATATACTTTTTGGGATATTCTGTTCTTTTTTATTCACCAATCTAGACTCTATTAAAATTCTCCTCACAGTCCTGCTTTAAAAAAAAACTTATTTTTTCTTTTATGCTGTCCTCTATCAGTCACATTTATTTACATCTTTGGCCCTTCTTTTACTACAGCTTATACCCTGCAAATAAAGCCCACCTAAACAATGAAGAGATTGTATAGTATATATTAAGAAGTAGATAGGTAGAAAAGTTTTCAGCTCTGCTTGATTTATGGTTCAGAGATCTCAGCAAGGAAGCACATTCTTTCTGCCTCTCCACCCTGCAGTTCACCTATTAGCTTAATCCTACTTCTGCTTCCCCTTGTAGTATGCAATGGCTGGTAAGAGCAATGAGCAGTACAGGATTTCTCATTCAAATCCAGTGAATACAAGGGAAAGAGTTTTCCCCTTTTATGAATAGAAGTCTTTCCTTCTTTATATTATAATAGAAACTATTTGCACTGTCTGCTTATTCCCAGATAACAATTTACAAACACAGGTATTGATTGATGTATGTCTGATTTTTTGAAACAACCAGGAGCAATGGGAAAATAATTACCCACATTGTCTAAGAGTAACTGAGGCCCAACTCTGGAACTGGGGAGTTCTGTTTATTTTATTCTGATATCCCTTCTATGGATAAAGCTGGTCTTTCCCTAAACACAGGGACTATTTACAAATAGAATGGATATCTGAATAAAATATGGATTCTGTTAAAAAAAAAAGAAAGATAAGGAAAATGTAAGAGGGTTAGGCAGCCAACTGTGTCCACTAGAAATTGTTTCCTTGAGAATTCCATCAGGGGCATTCTCTGCATTCTCTACTTTATATTTGTGGTTAATCCACTATTCTGTCTCTCAAAGAATGTATCTATGTGTGAACTGGTTTTGTTACTCTAATTTCTGTGTGTCCAGAATAGCAGCTAATTACTTGGTAACTTTCTCTAACCTAAGATTTTGAATAGCTGATAAGACATATTTCTTTTAATTGTGGAAATGAGAAGCTAATGACTTGATTATGATGTAAAAGTGAGTTACTGTGTTCACCCACATTTTATGTTATAGTCTATATTATGACACATATATCTTAAGATTTATTTGCTCAATCCAAAGCTATGAATAAAACGGTAAATACTTTTACTACAGGAGAAATACTTAAAGTAATATATTTTTTTTGGACGAAAAGTTACTTCATTAGCTCCAAAGTGAATTTTATATTTTTAGTACACTTAAATTCAGGTTTGCATATAAATTGAGTCTGTGATATCACCTCAGAATTCACTAGGAGTAAGAGTTCTTCTTTAACACAGCCTTTGTGAAGCTTTGTCTCTTACTCTTCCTCATTACTTCCCACTTGTTCTTTTGAAGCTGCTCTATTCTACAGACTTTTGAGGCATTTAGGGGCTGAATGATTCAATTTATTTGCTCTCGTGAGATAAAATTCCAGAGTTTTTTGAGTTTTCTTTTGTTTTTGGAAAACATAAATCATTCTTCATTGAGAAAGAAAAGGATGGGAAGCAGATCTGCTATCTAGGCTCTTCCTTTATATAGAGGACAAGGAAATAAAAGTCATATCCCTGTTGTTATGAAATAAATCAAGTTCCCCTGTAACCTATATGTTGAGTCTCTAACCCACAAAGTGACTGCATTTGGAGATAAGGCCTTTAAAGAGGTAATTAAGGTTAATTAAGGTCATATGAATGGGACCCTAGTCCAATAGGACTGGTGTCCTTTTAAGAAGAGGAAAAGACACCACTGAAGTGCTTGCATCAAGAAAAGGCAATGTGAGAACACAGTAAGGAGGCAGCCATGTGCAAGCAAAGGAGAGAGGCCGCAGGAGGAACCAAACCTGTTGACACCTTGATCTTAGACTTCTAGCCTCCAGAACTGTGAGAAAATAAATTCCCACTCTTAAGCCACCCGGTTGATGATACTTTGTTATAATAGCCCTAGCAGACTAATACATTTGTAAACATGCTAAAAGCAGACTTTTTAGCAAACAAGCTAGTTAAATTAGCTAGTGGGAGGGTTTTTATCTGCAGGGTGTTTTTAGCAGCATGTACTTGGTTGTTTAGCATCTCCTGTGTTAAAAAAAAAAAAAACAACAACAACCCTAGAATCTATGGATATATAGGGCATCGCTTCCTGGAAAATATTATGCATCCTTTGTGCCTATTTGATTATAAAATGGAAGTGTTTATTACTGATACTTTTTATCTTTTGTGTAAGTAATGTGCCAGAACTTATTTATTGTAGTAGGAAGAGATCCAGTGAATACTCGACCTCTCACCTTAGTTCTCCCTGGGCCTCCAGACACTAGACTTTTATATCCTAAAAATGATTAAACATTTCTACTTCATATGAGTCTAATTTGACTGTTGAATTCTTTGTACCATCTCACCGATGATAAAATTAGGAGTTATATTGTGTAGAATATACAGATAGGTAGGTTATAATTTTGCTATGTTAAGTTTATATAGAGAAGAACAAATGCCACTGGTAACTGGTAATGAAGCATAGAACAATGACTTTTCTACATATCTAATTCAATAAAAGAGTTTACATGTGGAAATTCAACAAAGTAACTATACTCTGGCAATGAACATCAACTTAACTGGTGGGAATATTTCCTGAGGTTGAAATACTTCAGTTTTATGGCATAATCTACCAAGGATGAGAGTAGTATAATCCACCAACTAAAATAAATTGTCTCCAGTTTTATTAATCAAATGAATATTATGTTGGAAGTGAGCATTTAATATTTATATAGTTATATACTTCAAGAGCTTCTGATTATATACATCAGAAAAATAAATTTTTTGATAATAAAATATATTCAAAGGAGCCTCCCAAACATCCCATAGTAACACAGCACATGATCTAACAACCCTAATAGTCACAACAGTCCACATAATGTCTCATTGTATATGCTTCTGGTTTTAATTTGAAAACAGCCTGTACTTTCTTATCCTTAGTAGACAGTAAAGAATAGCTGTTCACCATTTCAAGCCTCTTTATTTGTTTGAAAAATGCATTTGGTGCCAGTGAGATTTACATAGATTTTTAGTAATAAAAAAGTAAAAGTTTTTTCCTTAATGGCACCAATCAACCTCAGTTACTGTAAACTACCTTATGAAATACTTTTATAAAGTATTAGTAGTACGTGCTTTTAAAAGTTATACTTATGCTGTTCAAAGAGATTTTGAAAATACCTTAATGAAACACACAAAGTGATTACCTGTGTGTTAAAAGAACCATCCTAGATGGAAGAAACAATTTGATGTATGTGTTTGTTGTTAAGGATTTCTATCTTGCCCATATCTCTATCTTAACCACCCTAGCTGTATTGGTCTGTTTTCACGCTGCTGATAAAAATATACCCAAGACTAGGCAATTTACAAAGGAAACAGGTTTAATGGACTTACAGTTCCAGGTGGCTGGGGATGCCTCACAATTGTGTTGGAAGGTTAAAGGCAAATCTCACATGGCAGCAAATAAGAGAAGAGAGCTTGTTCAGGGAAAGTCCCCTTTATAAAACCATCAGGTCTCATGAGACTTATTCACTGTCACCAGAGCAGCATGGGAAAGACCTGCCCCCATGATTCAATTACCTCCCACTGGGTCCCTCAAACAACACATGGCAATTCAAGATGAGATTTGGGTGGGGACACAGCCAAACCTTATCATTTCACCCTGGCCCCTCCCACATCTTATGTCCACACACTTCAAAACCAATCACGCCTTTTAAACAGTCCCCCAAAGTGTTAACTCGTTTCAGCATTAACTCAAAAGTTCACAGTCCAGAGTTTTATCTGAGACAAGGCAAGTCCCTTCCACCTATGAGTCAGTAAAATAAGAAGAAAATTAGTTACTTCCTACATACAATGGGGGTACGGGCATTGGGTAAGTACAGCTGTTGCAAATGAAAAAAAAAAATGGCTAAAACAAAGGCCCCATGAAAGTCTGAAATCCAGCAGGGCAGTCAAATATTAAAGGTCAAAAATGATCTCTTTTGACCCCATGTCTCATATTTGGGTCACACTGATCCAAGAGGAGGTTCCCATGGTCTTGAGCAGCTCTGCACCTCTGTCTTTGTGGGACACAGCCTCCCTCCCAGCTGCTTTCATGGGCTGGCGTTGAGTGTCTGCAGCTTTTTCAGGTGCATGGTGCAAGCTGTCGGTACAGCTACCATTCTGGGGTCTGAAGGACGATGGCATTCTTTTCATATCTCCACCAGGCAGTGCCCCAGTGGGGACTCTGTGTGGGGGTGCCCACCCCACATTTCCATTTCACAATATCCTAGCAGGGGTTCTCCATGAGCACCCTGCCCCTACAGCAAACTTCTGCCTGAACATCCAGGTGCTTCCATACGTTCTCTGAAATCTAGGCAGAGGTTGCCAAATCAATTCTTGACTTCTGTGTACCCTCAGGCTCAACATGTAAAACCTGCCAAGGCTTGGGGCTAGCACCCTTGGAAGCCACGGCCTGAGCTGTACCTTGGCCCCTTTTAGTCATGGCTAGAGCAGCTGGGATGCAGGACACCAGGTCCCTAGACTGCATATAGCAGAGGGACCCTGAGCCTGCCTCATGAAACCATTTTTTCCTCTAAAACCTCCCAGCCTGTGAGGAGAAGGACTGCCACAAAGGTCTCTGACATGCCCTGCAGACATTTTCTCCATTGTCTTGGTGACTAACTTTCAGCTCCTTGCTACTTATGCAAATTTCTGCAGCCAGCTTGAATTTCTCCTCAGAAAATGGGATTTTCTTTTTTATCACATTGTCAGGCTGCAAATTTTCTAGACTTTTATTATCTGTTTTCCTTTTAAAACTGAATGCCTTTAACACCACACAAATCACATCTTTTTTTTTTTTTTTTTTTGTAGTCTCTGTCACCCAGGTTGGAGTGCAGTGGGGTATGATCTCAGCTCACTGCAACCTCCCCCTCTTGGGTTCAAGCAATTCTCCTGTCTCGGCCTCCCAAGTAGCTGAGACTACAGGCGCACACTGCCATGTCCGGCTAAAAAGTCACCTCTTCAATGTTTTGCTGCTTAGACATTTCTTTTGCCAGATACCCTAAATCATCTCTCTCAAGTTCAAAGTTCCACAAATCTCTAGGGCAGGGGCAAAATGCCACAAGTCTCTTTGCTAAAACATATCAAGAGTCACCTTTGTTCCAGTTTCCAACAAGTTCCTCATGTCCATCTGAGACCACCTCAGACTGGATTGCATTGTCCATATCACTATTAGCATTTTGGTCAAGCCATAGAACAAGTCTTTAGGGAGTTCCAAACTTTCCCACATTTTTCTGTTGTTTTTTGAGCCCTCCAGACTGTTCCAACCTCTGCCTGTTACCCAGTTCCAAAGTTGCTTCCACATTTTCAGTTATCTTTAGAGCAGAGTCCCACCCCACTCCTGGTACCAATTTACTGTATTAGTCTGTTTTTACACTGCTGATAAAGACATACCCAAGACTGGGCAATTTACAAAAGAAAGAGGTTTAATGATCTTACAGTTCCATGTGGCTGGGGAGGCCTCACAATCATTGCAGAAAGTGAGAGGCATGTCTCACATGGCAGCAGACAAGAGAAGAGAGCTTGTGCAGGGAAACTTCCCTTTATAAAATCATCAGATCACATGAAACTTACTATCATGAGAACAGCATGGGAAAGACCTGTTCCCATGATTCAACTACCTCCCACCAGGTCCCTCTGACAACACATGGGAATTCACGGTGAGATTTGGGTGGGGATACATCACTAGATAACAGCAAAGCTGTACAATTCTTAAACATTGTCATGGAAAAGTAATTCCACAACTCTACTTTGAACTATATGTGATGTTGTTTACATTCATCATACCCTCTTTATGCTAAACTAAAATATTTAGCTGTAATTTATGATAACTATTTATAGTTCCTCTTTCTTTCCCTCTCTGAACTTCCTGCAATACCCTGCAGAGTTGGTATATTATCTACCTTTTTCCTTTAATTTTACTATTTTTGTGAACAAAAATGTCAGAAGATGAAGTATTTTAAGTCAATTTTTTTTTAAATGGTGAAAAATTTTAAACACTGTGAGGGGCCAATAAAAGAGATTATTTTCATTGTGAGGGACATTTTAGCATGAGTCAAATCACATGACAGTCAATTTTGTTCTTTGATTAATGTACAGGTACAATGAATTTCAGTTATGGTAGAACTTCTCTTTCTCCTTTGACTTATTCTCTCAATTTTTGCACTCTCATTTTTGGGTTTTTTTTTTTTTGTAAAGAGTTTCTAGTAAGGACTATGTGTTAATCAGTTTTAAGAACACAGACTTTATCAAAGAAAATTATCTCTTTAAAATATTTGCACTAGTGGAAAATATGTGAACCACCCAGTCTTATTTTATTGGACCCCAAGTTAGTTTGTGTTTGTGTGTATGTGTGGGCATTTATCTGATATCAACCATTATCTTTTAACATCAGCATGAAACAACATGCTGGTCTGAAACATAAAAATATATATCACTCTTACCAAAGCCAGTCTGTATTTTAATAGCTTTTTCCTGAAAGTGGAATCATGTAGAACTTAAAAACAGATTGAAATGAAAGGGAAAAATTTGATTCTGTAATTAACTTACCATGTGACCTTCACCACACTGATGGTCCTTACAGATCTAAATTTCTATATCTGTAAAATAAAGAAGGTTGATTTTACATGATTTCCAAAAATATATCTTTTTTTGACAGTCGTAGAAATTTTATATAATTCTCTATTCTAGTCTACTGCAAAGGAATAGCAGCAGGTGAAAACTATAATGTTTGACCCTGAAGATTATTATGTGATATGTATAAGGGTCTTAATGTGTACAATTCCATTTTTAGGGGCTCAAGAGATAAAATTTCTTTTCCAAAATGGATAAATACAAAATCATTTTTGCAATAAAAATGTATCGTGAGGGAATCTTTTGAATCAATGTGATTACTTATTGTGGAAGATACAGGCCATATCGCATAGCGTCTTGACTCAAGGATCTTATCACTTAGTGAGTGAAATAAAACAATTACACAGATAACTGCCAGTAGGCAGCACTAAATGTCTTACGTGATGGATAGAGAGAGAGGTAAGAAGGGTCCAACCAAATGCTAAAATGTTAATAAAGCCCAGATCACAGGCGGTGATGATCAAATGAATTGAACACGCTTAGGAGAAATCCATGAAAGAAAGAAATCTGTATCCCTGGAATCTTTCCATTTTTGAGAATATATTACATTTGAATCTCTTAGGGATGTGTGGTTCCCCTTCCCTTTAAAATAGTTACAGTATAACTTTCATTAAAATCTTGGATTTTGTCAATCATAGCAGACAATAGCATTTTATGTCCTGTGAAGAATTGTATGCATAATTTTGGAAACAAGACAAAGGAAAGAGGCTCTCTAAGCTGTTAGAAACAAAGGATTTTTAAAATCTTTCTTCTCTCATACCTCCATTAAGGTTGTCTTTTCTCCTTTAAAGCTATAAGAAATATTCTGAATACTAATGTGACAGAACCAGATGCAATCCCCAAATATCATATTTACTTAATATAAATTCGTAGTCCTTACCTTTAAGGAGATTTGACAATTCACTTTGTCCTTTAGCCTTGGGGTAGTCAGGAAAGTTAGGCACAATGTTTTAATGCTCATTCCTTCTCTTTTGCTCTTAGCTATCATTAATCCCTAATGCCTGGAACTGCATAAATTTCTTCTACAAAGGAAGCCCACAGGTCGTTTTTATTTGGAGCACTTTTTTTTATATGCGCCACAATATATTCCGTTATGTATTACCTCATCTGAATGCAAAACTGTTTTATATGCAGATTTAAGGTAATGAGCAGTCAAGTTTAAAAAATGGTTCTGGTATCCTGCAGCTTCTCAATAATAATATACACTTTCATTCCAACAGAGAAGGATGGATTATGGGTTTTTCAATTTGCATCAGGCATATTAATTGCAGAGTAGGGCTTCCACATAAAATATCAATGTACTGGAACAAACTGTTAACATACCAGAATATGAACACTTACATTCATTTCTGGAGCTTTAAAAGGAATCATCCCCCTCCCCTGCTTTTTAAAATCTATACCTCTGGAGATGGTACAGTTTTTTAGTCAGTTAATGAGAACTATGTAACCACCATTTCTCCAAAAATCCCTAATTAGATTAAGTGCAATAGGGCTATTTTAGTCATTTCTGCTGGGGAAGAATACAACAAGCCATTAGGGAAAGAGAATAATTTAGAAGGTTTGAAAGAAACTTATTTTAGAGTTACTTTTAAGAAACATGACATGGAAGATCAACTTTACGTCTTAGTTGGAGGCAGGGAGGCATACTCAACTTTTATTTGCATTATATTTCTCAACTATGAAGAGAATACCTAAACTAGTAAAAGTTTAATTGAAAGTTTTATAAGTAATTTTCAGCTGACGTTTTGCACTATAGGTTTGATTGTAGAGAACTGGTACTTTATTTCATGGGAGTACTTGAATTATATATTCTCTTGTAAGCATAAAATTGTGAATGTCCATATTTTAAAAAAGCATTATAATAATAAATAAAAACACTTGTGTTTTAATTTGTCTAATACATTTGGTAACTAATATAAATTATAGATACTCTGGTTAGACTAGAATATAGATGAAAATATTTTTAAATATGTTCTCTTTTTTCTTTAATGTGAATATTTCTTATTTTTCAAAAAATAAAGCAAGAGGAAGAAATAAAGTTGAGATTTAAACATGGCTACATTTTTTTTTCCTGAAACTTGTACTTAATATGC
Organism: Homo sapiens; assembly: GCF_000001405.40. Classification (NCBI taxonomy): domain Eukaryota; kingdom Metazoa; phylum Chordata; class Mammalia; order Primates; family Hominidae; genus Homo; species Homo sapiens. Next base: position 94,668,453 of record NC_000002.12, read on the forward strand.
AAATGCTAAGTATTTGGTAAATATTCATTAAGTAAATATCAGACCTTTCACATTTATATTTCACTTTACATTTTTGATACATGATAAAATTTGTGATTTTATTATTTTCTAACAAAAATAGAATGGGGGCCCACTTTTCAAATCCGTTCTGCAAAAGACAATGTTTGAGTTTTTATACCACAGCTGTAAGTAACAAATTATCTCACCAGGGAAGAGAAGAAATGCTAACCACATAATCCAACAGGAGACTTGATTCATTTTGTGTCTGGAACAGTCAGTGCAATGTTACAAACTGAAATGAGTTTCCTTTTCAATCTTCAGGTGAAAAAAGTAGTGAGAATGTCCCGCTTTAAAAAAAAAAAATCAATGTAACCTTTTTTTTTTCATCTTCCTTGAGAAATAATGTGTGTTTGTGTGAGTGTGTTTTATTTTGCAGTATTAGTTTTGACCTCATTATGCTCATTATGCTGTTATAAGGCTAAGTATGTCATGGGTCAAAATGAAGGCAAAATAGACCTTTCTCAGCATTAAAGCACAACCTAATTTATGGTAAAAGTAATTTCCATACTGTTTTAAAGAAATAGCCCTGGACAACATGAATCTTCCTTTGCTGTAGCATGCTGGCTGAAAAACAGGTTAGATATGCATTCCATGAAAAGAACAGGGAAAATCACTAGAACTGTAAACTCTGCATTTGCTGGGTGCTAACATTTTGAGAAATGCTGAAAGTGTGTTATTTTGGTTTTGTATTACATTTAGTAGGTGTATTTTAAACTCAAAGAATTTGATTTCCAGTAAGAAGCCCAAATAAAGTGTTGCAATTGTTTTATTTAAGGTCAGTTCTTTCAACTAAACACCTTTTATTTCCAGATGTGTTTTCCCTCTTGTTTGAAATGCCGCATAACACAAAATGCTGCCTGTTTTGTGTGCTTTTTTTCTACTGCATGCGTAGATAGAAAATAGGTTCAAGTGCCTCATTTGAAAATCTTTTACTTAATTCCACCAATTGAAACGATGACATCATGTTTTCAGAGTTTACCTTTCTTGGTAAACATCACCAACAAAAGGTTAATGTTTATGAAGGACATCTTAAATCTTAATTTGATGCATACAATAATTTAAACTTTTATAAACTTTTACTAAATTAAATAAAAACTGCTTTGAGGTTAAAAGTGATAATTCTAGAGGTAATGATTAAAGGCACCTGCCCCTCCTCCTGATGCATCTACCTTCTGTATCCTCTGTTAAAAATCAAACGAAAATTAATCTCAGGTTCAAAGTGGTGTTAACTGTATTCAGGAATCTTATGATGTCCTTTACTTCCTTTGAAGCATTACCTGATGACCTAACTACAATTTCAGCATAGCTGTTGATTTTTGATTGTAGGTTTTATTTTGTTTTTTTATTTTTACATTCTTGTGGGGAGGGGGATTTAATCTCTTAAACTTTGTTGGCAAATTACATTGATGAATGTGTTCTGACAGGAAGCTTTACTGAAATGAAAAGGAGTTGTGTGTAAGGGTGGGAATAACTATTCTAAGAGCTTTTTCATGGTTCTCGTTGCCAGGGAAACCACTGCTTTGTCTGCACTTGTTTGGAATGGCTGCCTCATTAGAACTCAGGCTCCTAGACAGTCACTTGTAATACTGGTAAAATGAAAGGAATGAACCTATTTTAGTTGATTAACTTGAAATTAATAAAAATAGCATATTTAAAAGATAGATGTTTAAAAGCTAAACATAGAATTATGGGGGAACAATGAAGTTAATATTGATTAGGCCTATTCAGCCACTTGTGTGAGTGGAAGAATAATTTTATTTTTTACTTTCTCTTTGCCTTTTTACATATTTATGGGGAGTAAGCAAATGGACTATTATATGTTAATGCCACCAAATAAACTTGGGATATGATAGATCCTGATTTTTTCACAAATATACAGATTTTTTTCTTATGAATTCATTTTTTTTTCCTTGCCATGACTGGCCTGTGTCATGGCTAAAATATTATCAAAACAGACCGGATTTACTGGCTCTCAGGGGCACAAAAGGTAGTGAAAACTTAGATTGGAAATCCATCTCTGGGTAGTTTCATTTTTCTTGAAAGAACGAAAGAAGTAGCACACTAAGAAATTATATGAACCAATATTAAAAACAAAGAAGATAATATAACAGATTATTGCTGTAAATTTAAAGTATTTTTAAAAAGACAAGAAACAGGCATAGATAGAAACATCTCAAGTTCAAGGAGCTGAGACTAACTCTCAATATACTACTACTTCTTCCTTTTTTTTACTATAAGCCAAATTTCCTTTGGAAATTTATTGAAATTTAAAATGTTTGTTTTTAACTCATGACAAAGAGATGGAATCTTTTTATAAGTTTTTTTCTTCCAACAACAGAAGTTCTTTAAATTTCTTGTTCTATCATTCTATCTAAATATACTCAAAGTACTATAATCTTAAATATTATTATTTAATACTCTTTCCTAAAGGAACAAAGAAAAACAAAATCCAAAGATCTTTTTAAAAAGTCTATATTATTCAAATAAGTTCACTTCAAAAAATTGGCAATATTGATCTTTTATTTGTAGTACTATTTTAGGAAAAGAAATGTCAAAATGATATTTTGGACTTTGCAAGTCCTGTTTTGGTTAGAAATGTCAAAAACTTAATTTTATGTATGTTAAAACTTGAAATGGCCATTAGACATTCAAGAGAAGATGTTTAAAAGGAATATTTTATAAATGTAGGATTCATGGGATGTGGATTTTATTTGAGTGTGGAATAAGAGAAAGGTGGGGAGAAAGTCTGGGTTTAACATGACTCCCAGGCCTGGATGAGCAATTGTGTGGAAAACAGTGCCATTCATTGAGATGAAACTACTAAAGCAATGGTTTTCAACCTTGCCTACACATAAGCATCACCTGGGGAACTTTAAAACAATACAAATTCCTGAAATCTAACCTCAGAGATTCTTATTCAATTGAAATGGGTTTGGGTCTATAATAGTATTTAAAAATTGCTCTCCTGGTGATTCTAATATGAAACCACCTTTGAATACCCTGATACTAAAATTCATTCTTGTGCTTCCTAACTTTCAGGTTGCCTGAACCTTAGGGGCACCTGAAATATTTTAAAAATCTCAATGTCTAGGTACCCCAGATCAATTACATCAACATTTCTGAAAGTCAGTCTCAGAATTTTATTTTTATTTTTATATTTTTATTTTATGAGACAGAGTCTCTTTCTTCCTCTGTTGCCCAGGCTGGAGTGCAGTGGCACAATCTTGGCCCACTGCAACCTCTGCCTCCTGGATTCAAGTGATTCTCCTGCCTCAGCCTTCCTAGTGGCTGGGATTACAGGCGTGCACCACCATGCCAGGCTTAATTTTGTATTTTTAGTAGAGATGGGGTTTTGCCACGCTGGCCAGGCTGGTCTCAAACTCTTGACCTCAGGTGATCCTGTAGCCTCGGCCTCCCAAAGGTGCTGGGATGACAGGCCTGAACCACTGCGCCCAGCCCAGTCTCAGAATTTTAAATTTCCTCAAGTGATTCTCATGAGTGTCAGGGCTGGGGAATCATGATACTAAAGAAAGAATAGTTCAGGTGGAGAAGCTGCTGTTTGACAGAAACATGGTATTTGAGGTGGATCTGGAACACCATTCTGGAAGGACTTAGTAGGTTCTTAAATATGAATCTGATGTTATACAGCAAAAGTCTATACGGGCTACAGAAACATAATGTGTAATAGTGGAACCCTGCAAGAGGAGGGAGTCATGAGGGTGCTTACAAAGAAGGACGAAAAAGGAGCAAAGAGCAGGAGGTTGGGAAACAGTGGCCTTTGAGAGGAAGGAAGGAGAAAAAGAACCAGAACGGAAAACTGAGAAAAATATAGAAATGGATTTGGAAAGGATGTCATAGAAAGCAAGGCTTTTAAAGAAAAGTTGAGACTCAGTATGAAAAAATAATACAAAAACTAAAAATAGTTAACTGGACTTGGAAATCAAGGGAGATATTAGTGCCCTTCAAAAGAACTGTTTTAGGGGAGAAGTAGAAGTAGAAAGTATTTGGAGTACATGAGAGAGGAATGAGAAACCATTGTCTGAGTTAGTAGAACAGTGGTTTCAAAATACGGCTGCGTATAAGAATCACATGGGAAGGGGCGGGCGTGGTGGCTCTCGCCTGTAATCCCAGCACTTTGGGAGGCCGACGCGGGCGGATCACGAGGTCAGGAGATTGAGACCGTCCTGGCTAACACAGCGAAACCCGTCTCTACTAAAAAATACAAAAAATTAGCCGGGCAAGGTGGCGGGCGCCTGTAGTCCCAGCTACTCAGGAGGCTGAGGCAGGAGAATGGCGTGAACCCGGGAGGTGGAGCTTGCAGTGAGCCGAGATCGCGCCACTGCACTCCAGCCTGGGAGACAGAGTGAGACTCCATCTCAAAAAAAAAAAAACCCATGGGAAGTTTAAAAACAAACAAACAAAAAATAAAAGAAAAAACAACAACAACAACAAAAATTATGCCTATCACTGTACCCTAGACCAACGGAATCAGAATTTCTTGAGGAGGGAAAAGGACATCAGTGTGGCTCAAAACCTCCCCAAGGTGACTCTAATGTGCAGCCAGATTTGAAAAACATTTCATAGAATATTCTTTTCAGAAACTTGACTGAAAATGAAAGGCGAGGATTTAGGGTAGTTTCTAATCGGAGGTGGAAATTGTGAGAGAAAAATAAGAGACTTGACTGTAAGAACTATGACAGAGCCACCGTGTCTGAACATTAGTTGAAAATACTTGAGATCAGAATTCAGGTTATGGTAGAAATGAAAGTATAGAAATCAAAGTCACTGGTGGAAAAATCCCCTCTAAAAAGAAAATGGTGAAAAGCTCATCCTGTGGGCCTATAGAAAAAGATGTGAAAATGAGTAAAATTCTAATTCGGTTGCTTTTCATTTGTTATATAAAGAGATACAGACAGGACATTGAAGGAATCTTACTAATAACCACAATTTCCCATATGATTATATTCACTCTTTGCATTTGTAGCGGTGGAAATGTGAGGGACTTGAGGTGCTTGGTATCCATTTGGAATAACTTATGTGGGAAATGGAAAAGATGACTGATAAAGATCATGTTTAACTAGTTCATATAGACCAGATGAGGTTTAGAGTGTCATAATCTACACAAATACGTGGTTTCCTCTAATGGCATTCTGATATCAAGATACAGAAAGAGAAAAAAAATTGGTACAGTGATCCAGTACTTGTGATCATCATGGAAGGTAGAACATAAATGAAGAGATTTAAACACTAAGAATGCGGGCATGAAATTTCTGTTTAAAATGGTCCATCATTTGTTTAGATGAAAGAAAAACTATGGGGGGGTGCTTATAAACTGAGATAGATAAAAAGGGAAGAATCTGAATCTTTCAATTGTACAAAAAACAGATAGATACAGAAGTACAATCTTCTTTTAGTATTTGTGAAGTATTGGTTTCAGGACCTCTCAGACATTGAAATCTGCAGATGCTCTAGTCCCTGATAAAAAATGGTATAGTATTTACATATAACTCACACACATCCTCCTATATAATTTAAATAACCTCTAGATTACTTATCATGCCTAATACGATGTAAATGCTCTGTAAATAGTTGTTATGCTGTATTTTTTGTATTATTTTTATTGTTGTATTGCTATTTTTATTGTTTTTTCTCAAATATTTTCAATCTGTGTCTCTTTGAGTCCATGGATATAGAATCCACAGATAGGAAAGACCCACTGTAGCAAAGAGGTGAGCAGGTAAAATAATAAATTAATTTTACTAACAGTCTTTTAGAGATTGAAGTTCTAAATTTGAAATAGTTTGGGATAAAGAATAGTCCAAGAATGTCTAGGAACACCATAATCCAAGATAATGGTTCTAGGATGTAAAGTATGAGAGAAAATTAATACATTTAAACCAAAGAATTTAGAATTTATATTACTGTACACTTATAAACCTAGATACTATTCATGATAAAAGCATAATTCAGTGTGAAAAGAAATAGTAAATGATCAATGAGTGGGGCAGTGGGGGAAGGAGAGAGAGAGGAGATAGGAGTCAGGGGAATGTGAATAATCTGGGTTCTTGATGTTTCAGCTTCCGATAGCACCACAGCTTCCTGCAATGGATTATATACTGCCACTAGAAAGATCAAAAATCACTGGGAGAAGCCATCTTTGGTTAGATCTATCTTTCTGAGTTTAGAAATATCCATAAAATACTGTCTTTCTCATGGAATAACAGTAACTCAAAGCAACTCTGGATTTCTAATTCAAAACTACTCTAGGTTTCCAGCAATAAGAAAAGGTGTTCCCCCCTCCACCACCACTTATGTATGAGTTTCACTGATGGGAGTTTACAGGGCTTGATTAAGTAGGAGATTTTGATAATATATCTTAAGGTATTAGAGTGATATGAATTTCACTAGAAATATTGATAGTTTTGTTTTATTTTATTTTATTTTTTGAGAATGAGTCTCTGTCTGTTACCCAGGCTGGAGTGCAATGGTGCAGTCTCGGCTCACTGCAACCTCCACCTCCTGGGTTCAAGCAATTCTCCTGCCTCAGCCTCCCGAGTAGCTGGGACTACAGGTGTGCACCACCATGTCTGGCTTATTTTTGTATTTTTACTAGAGACGGGGTTTCACCATGTTAGCTAGGCTGGTCTCAAACTCCTGACCTCAGGTAATCCACCCGCCTCAGCTTCCCAAAGTGTTGGGATTACAGGTGTGAGGCACCACACCCGAACGATAGTTTTATAAAACCTGGATTTAAGGCAGAATTTAGAAACAGAAACTCTAATAGGAAAACCTTTTTCTATATTATTATTTTTTTTTAATTTAAAAGTAAACTTTAGTGTCGAAAATGCAAACTTGGGGAGGGCAGAAAGATCACACATAAGGCTGCCACTTCACACCTGGAGGGTTGCATGTTGGCTGGGCAGAGGCACTCCTCACTTCCCAGGGGCTGTGTATGAATCACAATGTAGGGGATAAAGCCGTTAGATAAAAATCTTGAAAGTAAAAGTGGATAAGAGAAAAATGCAAAAGAGTTTAGAGTGATGTGTGAAAGAATTCAATAATAGATTATCTTTTACAGACAAGAATGAAGATAAAAATATGGTTTCAAAATACTTACCATAAACAATGTATGGATTTGTGTAACAGGTTATTGTATATGATAGTTGAAAGAAAATAATGATTTGAGATGGGAGGGAATCATTTTTATTAAGACATAATAATTTTGAATTTAATGGCTGAACATTTATGTGGCTTTTAAAGAGTCAGTGCATTTCCAAAGTGGTACTGCAATATATGGAAAATGTCAGTACTGGAGACGTTGCATGCCATCCATGCAGAAGTGGACATTCAAATCTTAAGAATGGATGAGATCTCTCAAAAGGCAATTATAAATGATGACAGTAAGAGAACTGAAGAACGTTGAACCATGGTATTAAGGGGACATGTAGCATGGCGTGACAAGAGAACATAGTCTTAGAAATCAGACTGAATTGTGTTTGTATTGTGGCTTCGGGATTTACTATGTTATCTTGGGCTTTCCTATTAAATGGACAATTTCATTGTATTCTTAGTATAAATTAGAAATAATAACTTTCTAACAGGATTGTGGAAGTGTGTGTGTGTGTTTATGTGTACACACAGAGAGAATATAAATAATTATTAAATAAACATTTCTATTTTATGGTAGATTGTAAATAGAAACTAAGTCAAAAGTTAAGTCAAAGTAGTCAAGAAGATTATAAGGTATAAGGAGATTTCAGTATTTTAGAAACCGAGAGAGAGGGTTTTAATGACAATGGTTGGTCAGCAGTTTCAAAAACCACTAAGAAAAATTGCTCCTGGAAGATAAGAGAATGAGTCTATCCCTTACAATAAGCCTAGGATCACATTTCTTAACTTATTCCTCTCAAAATTGAAACATAAAGTACTTCTATGCATATTGTCTTATTTGCCTTATGTAAAAGAAAAAAGGAAGCAAATGGTTTCCAAATGTTTAAAAACATATATTGTCTCTCTCCCCATTCTTCCCTTTCTCTCCTCTCTCGTCTCTCTTTTCTCCCCTTCTTTTCCTCTCCTCCCACTGTATTTCTCCACATTTTCTAGACCTATCAGTTTTACAATAGAGAAGTTGCATTTGAAGATGTATTAGAATATTTCCAAACGGGATTGGTCATGAGAAAAACTAATATATGGGATCCCTAATGCTGACCCAATTAAATTTGTGGTTTTGGCATAGCAAGGTTTATTGATTGATCAATGCTGTGTGTATGGTGGATATGCTTGCCTTGTCTCACAGAAAGGCAAACAAGCAGCCCATTATATTAAAGCATGTGGATTACGTTTTAGTCCCTATGGAAAAATAATATAACTTCCTTGTTCTTACTCCAATCTTTAAGGATCTCAAATAAGAGAAAAATAATTGCATAATTCATCGTCTTTTGTGATTTGAGACATACATGATCATGTTATTGGCAGAAAATGAATTGGTTTTATACATTTTGTTGATAAGTGTTCCCAAACATTTGTAATTAGTTGACCATATTCTTGTTTCTCCACCTTCAGAAGAACTGGTTATTATGATTGCTTTTTAGGAAGGTGGTAATTACAAAATAGAAATGAGCTGAATGAAATTAAAGAGAAACTGAAAAAAGAAATTCCTTGCGAGGAAATAATTTCATTTGAACGAGTACAAAGTTCTTTGCAATTCTTGCTTAGCTGAAGTGTATTTCTAGTTGTGTTTCCAGATTTATATCATTATGAAAATAGCCACTTCCTAGGTTCTCATTTTTCATATACAATGTTCACTAGGAATAAATTTCTTCCCTGGATTCAATTTCTGAATATTCACAAGGTGAAAATTGTGTTCACCTCTTTTCAGATGGAGATTCTCTGAACTGTAATTGGGTGACTATTTCATAGATCAAATCTCAGCACATATCACTTTAAAATGATATAGTGTAAAAGGGCCCAAATCGTGTGTGTACACCTAGATGTGTGTGTGTCAGCATGATGTGGAAACTATGTGGATAGATAAATATCTAAAATAATAGGTATATAGATAGCATGATGTTCCAATAATTACCAATAAGATCGTGTCTTCAGTGGAGAGTAATACATACCAAATTTTTAAATCTTTAATTTTTTATTTTCATATCTGATTATTTCTACTATGATCTCTTTTTTATCAGAGGAGTTACTAAAAATATGAGTAGATAAGAATACATTTGAATTTGTATGTGTATGATAACTTTAAAATTTTGCCTACTTTATAGATTTCTCAGTTGGACTTATATTAAATCTCTATTTTTGTTTTTAACTTGGAATAAAATCTCTAAGACACTAATTACTAAATTGTCAGTATTTATAATGTAAACATTTTAAATCCCCTAAATGTCTACTACAGAAAGAATAAATGGTGATGTGTCTGTGTTATGGAATATCCTGAAAACCATGGAAAATAATAATAAAGCTCTACATACATTGACATGGAAGGAATAAATTAATAAATTGTTTCACTGAATGAAAATCATCCAAGTTGTGTAAATAAAAATATGTACCTGTAGGGCTGCAACATTATGCAACTCAAGCAAGTATATAATTCAGCAGTGCTATTAGGTATGCATTATAGATATTTTTGCATACAAATATACAGTGAAGATAAATAATTAATATTTTAAAAATGTATATATGTTTATACATATGTAGGAAAAGTTATGAAAGTAAATACTGCAAATTACTAACAGTGGAAACTCTTTAACAGGTAGGTGTGAGGTTAATTTTGCTTTTTATTTTGCATTACACACTTTTGTATTGACTGAATTTTAAAATTAGATTTGCATTACCATTTTTTCCCTAAAAATATAACTGTAATTGAAAACCTAGTTTCTGAATTGTACATTCTGTTTAACTCATGTTCTTTCTCTTTAATCGTCAATTTCTTCACTGACATCACAAAAATACTAGGAATTTTCCAATTAAAGTACCAAAAAATAAAAATCAGAAAAATAAAGAAGTATTTTAGAACCAAACCTTCTCTAGAATAAAGTGTCATCACTCTTTATTCTAGGCCTCGAAATGAAATGGCACAGACTGTCTTTGTCTCCTCTCCCGAAGATGCTTGGTTTATTCAGTAATCACCTCCCAACTTTGCAATGGCTCAGAAAGATAGCCTTTACTTTGCATACCTTCTAAAATACTAGCCTGATTCAAGTATTTATCATTCTTGAATTGTAGCTAGTAACTTCTTCACTGGTTTCCTTGCCTGTAATTTCTTACCTTTGCAGTCATCCCCAGATATTGCCATAGGGCTATCTTCCTAATGCAGAGATCAAATCATGTTGTTATACTTAAAATATTTTTGGCTCTATCATCCACAGAGTATGTTTCAGATTTCCAGACATAGCATCATGACCTTTCATGTCCTATTGCCCGATTGCTCTTTTAGCATCACTTCAAACTTCACTGTTTTTTTTTTAATATATATAACTTTTAAGTTAAGGGATAAAGGTGCAGATTTGTTACATAGGTACACTTGTGTCATGGGGGTGTGTTGTACAGATTATTTCATCACCCAGGTGTTAAGCCTAGTACTCATTAATTATTTTTCCTGATCCTCTCCCTCTTCCCAACTTCTGCACTCCAGAAGGCCCCGGTTTGTGTGTTGTTCCCATCTACGTGTCCATGTGTTCTTATCAATACCTCCCACTTAATAGTGAGAACTCCAAATGTCCATAAATATAATATACCATTTTATGCCTTTAAGTCTTGTTGTTTACATCTCTTATTCTTCTAGTCTTTCAAGGCCCACCACAAATATCACGCTTATATCTGACAATGGAAAGAAATATTCCTGCTCTCCTAGGGCACTTTGCTTTACCTATATTACAAATCTTATTTCATTTCTATTTACTTTAGTTAGCTTTCATTTGTTTCACTCAGCACAAAATAATGTAGTCTTGAAATCAGGACCCACCTTCGATTGATCTCTGACCTAGAGTCGTTATCTGAATTCAATATATTTGTTTGTCTTGCTTTTAACCAAATATATTTGGAATCCGTTTATCCATACACTTATGAGGAAACAGTATTGAAAAGGCTGCTATCCATTAATATGGCTGTGGAAAAAAAATGTCACCTTAGTTCTATTTTAAGATAGGAAAAAGTCATCTATTTTTAATAGATTTGATAATACTTTTATGAGTTTAAATCTTACTGATGCTGTACGGTTGTGCTATCCAATATGGTAGCCAATAGACAGATGAGGTTATTTACATTTGTATTTAAATTAATCAAAATAAAATAAAACTTCCATACATATACCATTTTATGCCTTTTATTCTTCTTCCAAGGTTTCAGTATATTATAGAAATTTTTATCACAGAATTTTCCGTTTAAAAACTCTGCTCTAAAGTTTAATCTCAAAATATAAATTACTCCTGCGCTAACTTGGTAAAATCCTGATACAGAAATGACATAGTTTACAGTAGATTTTTTGCATTGTTTTGATCTAAGTTGAATATAGTCACCAGGCAATTGTTACAGGGAGTCATCATTTCTTTTTTTTTTTTCTTTTTTTTTTGAGACGGGGTCTCGTTTTGTTGCCAGGCTGGAGTGTCGTGGCGATCTTGGCTCACTGCAACCTCCGACACTCTCAGATTCAAGCGATTCTCCTGCCTCAGCCTCCCGAGTAGCTGGGATTACAGGCACCTGCCACCACGCCCGGCTAATTTTTTTTGTATTTTTAGTAGAGACAGGGTTTCACCGTGTTGGCCAGGATGGTCTCGATCTCCTGACCTCCTGATCCACCCGCCTCGGCCTCCCAAAGTGCTGGGATTACAGGCGTGAGCCACCACGCCCAGCCTTATCATTTCTTTAACACTTTAAAACTTATTCTAATGAACTCAGTTGATTGCATATACCCCTTTACCCATCCAGGTCACATGAATCACTGTACTAGAATCAGCTACTCTAGGGAAAAGAGGAGAAGAGGTTGTGCATGTTTGTGGAGTATGTATTATTAAACAAAAGTCCCAGTTCCCTGTGGTAGCAGATCTGACCATTCTGACCATCCTGTGGCTCAATTTTAGGAAATAATGTCTAAGAAGGAATCAAGAATGAATGGATGTACTGCACTCAAAATATAAATTTGTTCTCATCACTAGTGTGGATGTGTTCCATCCTTACTCAATAATTGTATACAGTGTCATGCCTTCAAACCTTACATAATGGTCTGTACTTCATTCATTCTCATCCTTCAAGGTTCACCTTAAACTTTTTTTTTTCCTAGGTTTTCTCCACACTAGCTAGGAAGTTTGCATGTATAGAATGTAATGAAAAAATGAAATTTCTCTATGCAGGAATTCGACGTTGTGTGTTGAATCCTGTGATAACAGCATTTCTTAAGCAGACTCAATATATATTTGATCACCTAACATGAAAATTGAAACTGGCATCTGTTTGTAAACCACCACTTTGCTGGCTCAATTTTAGACCTGCAAAGGAATTTGTTGCCCTTTTGTTAACTAGATAAGCTATATATTTCACTTTGAAAAGACATGTCCCTGCAACTTTGATGGTGAGATACTGCCTCATAACATTCATTTTTCTCTATTAAGGTATTATAGTTTTGATTTAATAATTTTCAGCGGAGATTCATTTAACACTAGAGTGAATGAAAATCTAAAAGAGGATCAAATGGTTATTAGTGGAAACATAATAACATTTGCCAATTGACTTTCAGTAATGGAGAGACTCCTCAGTGGGAAGAAATCTTTCATGTTGTCCTGATAGAGAACTCTTTGCATATATAATCAATGAGGTATGGGCATAGCTTCATCTTTGGTATGAATAAGAAAAAAGTTGTCGTAGAAAGCTATAGAATTAAAATTTATTTTTCAGGAGTATTGTTTGCTTCTTTCAAAAGTGGTGGTAAAAATGATACAGGGGAAGATACCCTCAAATAAATTAGTATAACCAAGTAATAGTTTTTCAGAAATAGATTAGAAAATATTCATCCCCCAAAATTAATGTTTGATAGTTACATTTATCAATTTCCTTTCTACGATGCTAATTTTAACATCACAATGCTTTCATTAGTGCATTATATAAAATATCAGGTATATGTAAATTGCTGTTGTTGCAATAAGGTTTTGTTGTTTAAAAATAAGATATCCATTCAATATACGTGTATTAACACTAACCACAGCAAAAAATCAAAAAGAAAAATTAAGAGCACTTTTTCTCTACTCCCCTTGAACACACTTATCTCTTATGCCTTAAATTAGATTGTATATAACAATTCTAATATATTGGTATCTATATAATTATATAACTTAATTTTAATCAGGGAAGCAAATGAATATTCCTCATCATTTTAAACCTTTTTATTGTTATACCATTTCGTTTTTCCCTGTTTTTATGCTTTTGCATGTTTAACATAATATGAAACCTCAAAAGATATCTCTGGGCAACTTCTGAAGATTGCTATGTTAGGATTGCTAAACAAATGTATTCAAATGCATTTTCATGACTGAATTTTTAATTACGCAAGTTCAGTGTTAACCTTTTCCTTGCTTCTTTGAAAATTGTTTTAGGATGTTTCTGAAAATAACATCATCCAGATTAAAATGTTGAAAATACCCCAAAACATATAAGGCTCATAAAGAGTGTGGGATGTAAGCGTGCCGGCTAATCTAGTTCTCTTTCTCATAAAGGGCAATAGTGGCACTTAAGAGCCAGTATACCTATTCCTTTTCATTGTAATAAAACCATTCCTGAAAGTGACTTTTTCCAGAGCAAATGACTCTAACATGTTGTACTTCAGAGGTAGATTGTCATAACTCACTAAAGAAAGTGACCATTGTATATCTTAATAAAAAAATTACCTGTTTATTCAAGTATTTTTTTTTTCAAGCTGAAGATATTTTCTCCTGCCCTCCCAAAACTTAGCACAACGTTTCAGTAGAAAGGGGTATAATCTAACTGCTGTCATGGCCAACAAATGGAAAGGAATGCAGAAGAAATAAAGAAATGTGTGTTTTTCTGTTCTAATAGAGAAACAAGTTAAATACATTAAATCATAAAAACAAAAACAAAAAACACCCTGACAATATAAAACACTTATGAAAAGTCTACTGGTTAAAAGTGAAAATTTTGAAAGCAGTAGTTGTATATAATCAGTGAATATGCCTTGCTTCTTTTCAAACAAGTGGTTTTTAAAGGTGTATTGCATTATGATCACATAATATGTATTTATTTCATAATTTATATAAGTCTTCTTAAGCTGAATCACTCAAATACAAAAACTTGGGCTTTATTTTAATATTTTTGTAAAATGGTTTTTTCACATGGATTGCAAATATCATATAAACCGATGTTTAACATGAATATATTAAAGATTTCTTTGGATTATAATTATATGAAAGAGTTATACATTTGTGTTCTCAAGACCTTTGTTATACATTGTATAATGACACTTTCTACCAAATATGAATGAGAAATAGTAAATAACTATTAAGGCAAAAGACCAGAAGAGGAAATCTGTAAGGAAAGACAATATAAATATTCCTAGTTTTTAAATTAATTTTTAATTATGTTCTTTCTGATGACTTAAAACAATGAGGGTCTGCACAACTGTAGTCTGAATTCAGTGTTATCCTCTTTTGTTAAATTGAAAAAGAGGCAAGGATAGAAAAATCATTCACTGGCTAGAGAATGCTTCTGGTCAGGTCATGGATTCATGCTGTTTTCAGTATATAATTTCATTGTCAATTGAAATAAAGTGCTAATTGAGCACAATATTGATGGGTGGTTCAGAGGTGAGACTAGTATAGTTCTCTAAAAGGGATTAATAATAACCACTCCTGTTGCAGCTTCCACCAACATGTCTAGGAGAGCCATGCAGAAGGCAATTATCTGTTCCTCAAAGACATTTCTCCTGGTGCATAAATTATCGGGGGCCTAGACTAGCGGCCCTATAGACCCAACCAGTAGCTCTTTCTGTCTCAAAGTGGTTTATATCATGAATGGCCTTTGTTCTGATTTGGTCAAAATCTTCATATACTTTGAAACTGTTATAATTTAAAGACTTCACAAAGGGACACAATACTAGTCTCTCATTGCGTTCAGTTCTGTAAAGGCATCTACTGTGTTACTGCTGGATAATAATAACCTTCAAATGATTCTATAATTTTAATATGTTCATCATCACAAATTTCAAACTTTGGTTTAGGTTTGCCTTCTGAAGCAATACTGAGTACATTGTTTCCATTTTGACAAGTCAAACAACCTTTCAGATATTTGGGGAAAACTAAGTTCTGTGGTTGATTGATAACTATAATTTTTGTACCCCATATTCTTCTTCATTTTGCATTGTCTTTTAACGTTTCCTTTGGAGACCTTATCCCAATGCCAGGTGCTTCAGAGGAAGTTTTCTCAACCTCACCACTATTGATATTTCAGACCAGATAATTCTTGGTCATTGGGACGTGTCCTGTGTATTACAGACTGCTTAGGAACATTCTTGGGAGTGTTTGTGGTGGTATGAAAATGTTGAGAAAACTGTACTTCCCAATTTCCCAAGCAGTTGGGAGAAGCTACTTGATGCAACTCTGGCAAATGAGAAGCAAACAGAAGATACTAGCCGATGCCTCTGAGAAAGCTCTTTAAAGGATATAATCACTTCTTGTTTGTTCTTTCTCACTGAATCTTATTCCGTAAATGCAATGTCAAGTGATGTGACAACAGTGTTATGCTTCAAGCCCAAGCAAGACTCTAAGAATACTGGAGTGAGAGGATTCCACCAGTCTTGGTCCTTGAATCTTTCTTTGCTCATTTTGGCACTCAGTCTCCAGATATCTTGTTGGGGGAAGGATAGTGGCAGGAACTAACTTTTTTAATCTACTAGTTTTATTTTGTCTTCTATAAAGAAATTGAAATCTACATAATCTCTAACTAATAGTAATAGCTTTGCTTTAGGAAAAAAACAAGTGTCCATATTATAAATATCTCAAGCTTCTTCTTATGTTCAGCTGTTTTCAAATGTATTTTTTTTCAGTCATTCTTATTTATCATTTCTCAACTACAATGGGCAAGGTACCCTACTAAGCTCCAGAGATAAAGATAAAAGAAACAATATTATTATTTCCTCAGAAAGTCTCTGAGGATAGTGAAGACAAAACTAATGGAACTGCTAGTGTTTTGTGATAATTGTGTGTAAACTATCAGGAGAATAGGAGAATATTAGACAAGATAGGAAATGAATCTCAATAAAAAAGAAAATATAATAAAATGTCACTGTTAAATCGTTTAAAACATATGATAAAGGCAGGAGGAGCTATTGCTGACAAATTCCTAATTTTATATCTGTTACCTCAGCATCATATATGAAGACACAAAACAAAACCTGAGTTTTAAATTTCCAAAACTATCTGTTGCCTATCCGCATGATTTTTCTTTTACTGTGTCACAGACTAGTATATTTTCAAGTGCCTAGCTAGGCTCAATTTTATTTTTGTTTCAGTTTTATAATATTTAATAACATCTTTTCTCCCCAAAGACCTTTGCTTAGAAACCAAGAGATACACCATGAGGAGCAAGTGTTGTGCTAAGTACCCCACCGTGGCGCGATCTGTGGGCATGCACCTGCCTTCCTCCCAGTGTGCTGATTGCATTCCTCTCACTCCCATTGTCAGATTTGCTTCATGAGCTCTAGACTGTGTCATTAGTTATGACTCATCAATTGTGGCATAATCATATCAATTCCAGCCCAGTGTCTTCTGTTCTCATTTAAATACAAATTTTTCTTCTATTGCCAAGCTATCAAATATGTTTCATTCACTGAGTCTTTGTAATAAAAGGTGAAACAGCACAGTCTGCACTCAACAGCCAGATTTTTTTAAAAAGGTTGTAACATTCAAATGATTTGCAGGCATTTTTCTAACACATTCTTTATTTTTGAAAACCTAACATCTATGACACCACATATGTATATCTGCTGATTGTAGTTAGCAGTCTCATTCAACACTTATTAAAAAACATGAAATTGTCAATCCTATCAAGTTGTTTTTTGGTTGTTTTAAACAGCTTCTTAGCCATCTTGGAACTGACCCAGAGTGTAAAGGTCTTGAGGATTCTCTTCATCAGTATTACCTGAATACAAGCCTTCTGAAAGGAAAAAGAAACTCTAGCTTTTCAAACCAGAAAGTCTAGTAAAATTCAATATTGTAAATTGAATTTCTTTATTTTTAACAAAATATAATAAATGGTAGACAAATCCATTCTTACAGTTCTATTTACAATCCTCTTTCAGTTTTATCTATGTAAGCACCACCATGTAGGTTTATTATATTTTCTGTTCACGTTTTTTTTCCTACATTTTATTAGTTGCATTTCCCCCTACATTTTTATTTTAGTGCTGACCTTCAATTCCTCAGGGGTCAGTTCCTTGTACATAAATAATACTTCCATGTTTCATGAGGTCAGTTACCGCTCAAATCGGCACAAATGGCAGAAAATAAAAACAACAGAATCCAAAACTTCCCCCTGAGATTTTATCACATGTTATAATTTTAGGATTCCCACGTAGGTAGCTTTTACTTTATTGACAGATTGAAGTTTAACTGTAGCCAATTTTAAAAGACAGAAGTACGACTGAGTTATCATATAGTTCAGTGACAAATCATATTAACATTATATTTTGATATATCTCAATACAAATACAGATAATTCTCTGATATCTTAGACCCATCTCAGATACTTTTGTTTCTACATTAAAAATAGAAATAATTCAGGAAAATAAAATTGGTGAAAATTACAAAGCAAATATCCAATTTTTTCGAAAGAACAAACTTGTCTCTAATTGTCATTCAATGCAATTTCATTTTTGTCTTCTGTAGTTCTTTAAATATGTATTCAGGAAAAGTTTCCAGATCTGTAAAAAAATATAGCAGCTTTCATGACTTCTTTTGGTTATTGGTATTTAATAGATAGTTATATTATGTTGTAAACCACAATTTTATTTCAGAAATTAGAATATGAATTTCTATATTTTAATTAAAATATAATCCAGATATGTTTTCTCCCCTACCTCTTTCATCTGTAGGCTGTGGGAAGGGGTCATTCTTGGTTTCTTTTCCTTTCCAGCGGTCTTCACCTTACTTACCCCCTCTCCTATTGGATAACTGCTTCTACTGACCACTCTAGGACTGAAGTCTGGAAGTAGGAGTGGTAATGAAGAGAGAAATTTCTTTCTTAACTGATAGTAAGTGATCATTTAATCTACAACTGTCAATTCCCATGAAACTTTTCACTTTCTAGAATAAGCTTGTCCAACCCGCAGCCCAAAGGCCACACACAGTCCAGGACAGCTTTGAATGAGGCCCAATAGAAATTGGTAAACTTTTAAAAAACATTATGGGATTTTTTTTTTGGTGTTTTTTTTTTTCTTTAGCTTGTCAGCTATCGTTAGTGTTAGTGCATTTTATATGTGGCCCAAGACAATTTGTCTTCTTGCAGTGTGGCCCAGAGAAGCTAAACAATTGAACACCCCTGTTCTAGAAGTTCATTCCATGCAATGGACTCCCACCCAAGTGTTCTTAAAGAACACTTGGCTTCAAGCCATCTGCCATCTTTCATTGCTCATGTGGATCATTTCCGATCTGGGCTAAAAGGTAATGCATTCGTGGGCCCTGAAATCCAGAAAGTGAAACCCCGGGTCAGCTACTTAATTTGCAGGATCCCTTTTACAAACAAAAGAAAATATAATAGAATTTTTCTTCCTATGGTTTCTTTCTTGACCTGTCATGATGTTTTTTCTTTGCTCTTAATTTCACTCTGCCTTGGAAACAGGGATGCTCACAGAGCGCTCAAAATTACTCAGGATATGACCCTGAGTCTCCTTGTATTTGGACTCAGACCCCTGCTGGGTAAGAGGTGGTGTAGTGGTCTCTAGGTATCAGTGGGGGAGCAAGATGGCAAAAGGTGAGATCACATGTGAGCTGAGGCCCCATGCTCCTGGCTCATGCTCCATTGTCCCATCAGAGTTCACTTACAAAACACAAATTCAAAGATAAAATTATTAAGGATTTCAAGACAGTAACAGTAAAGTTTTGAAGGATCCACTGAATGTGGGTTCTTATACAACTACAGTGGTCACAAACCCATGAAATTGACAATCTAAATGTATTAGCCGCTGTTCTTTAATTTACCAGCAAAACAGCTTATCAGCCTTTGTCTTTTACTCTTACAATTCTGGAAAATAATTAATTAAACATCAGACTCCTGTGCCACTCCTAAATTTTGGAGATATTCATCGAGCTTTATAAATACTCTCTCCTCACCTGAGAGAAACATTGCTATCCTCCCATCCAATGTGGCTATTCTAGAACACCTTTCCCAACTAAACATTTCATAAGAAAGAAAATTCTTATTTTCCTCAATTCTGACAATTATTTCTGGTGTTTTGCGTTGTGTCATCTTGAGTAGGCAAAAAAGTACATTTTTTTTCAAGATGTCCTTCTCTGTATTTTCCAAAAGAGGAACTCGTACATAACTGGGAAAAAGGAAGTAAGGTGGTGGCCTTTATTCTCTGAAGGTCATCATAATCAAATGCAGTATCCAATCAATGCAGAGGTTCCAGCCAGCTTGCAACCTGTCCTAAATCTGCTCTATTCCACGTTCAACACCTTTGCCAACTGTTGCCTCTGTCCATCAACAGCAGCCCAAGACTCACCAAAAGATTCTTAGATGTGAATCCACAGAGGTGGTAGCTACACAAAATCACAGCCTCTCAAAGGGCATCCCAGGAGCAACCCTTACATAAAGAGATATGTTTGGTATTTCATATTGACTTGTTAGTGAGAGGTCCTCTGATTCTTGAACTTCCCTTTCAGACCTTGAGTTTCCCAGCTACTTGTACAGCTCTACACATCTACTTCCTTTAATAAGTCCTTTATCCCATAAAACACATTATTAACTTTGCTCCCCTGTCTGACTCCTGTCTGATATATCATTTTGTACTTGTATTTTGAGTTAAGCAAGTTCTTACCAAGTAATTTTAAAATCTACATCTTGTAATTCTGTTGATTTATTTCCTATGGTCTTAGTCAAATTTTTGATTTTATAATCTAACTATACTGGCACTAATTCTTTATGCTGTGGTCATTGTATCGGGGACAAAATCAAAGTGTCATTCATCAAAAAAGCAATGTGGAAAGGAGTAAAGAAGTCCCTGGAAATACTAGGTGCTCATATTGTAAAAATTTACCTTGGGCAGTTATCCCTAGGCTTTCTACAAAAAACAGGTTGACATTAGATCTAGCAGTTTAATCTGTATTGTCTTTGATTTGTCACAAATGTGTGTCATGCCTATAATTCCCAGAAATTACACTGCTTCAGCCTCACTGATAGTAAACCTGTGTGCTCATAGCTCTTATGATATATATCTAATTAGTGCCTGCAGGGAAAATACCCCTAAAGGTTCTGTCCTATGTTCTGATAACGGATTCTTTCACTGTTACTTCCATGAAAGACGTTTTCTTCTCTTACAATAAGAAGACCAGGATATTCTGCCTCACTATCAGTTTGTGTAGAGGTTGATCTGTTCTCCATTTTAGAAAATCAGCAGTGGGACCAATATTGCTTCTGAAACTGTGATATATGCACTTTGCATTTTATAATTTTATTCATTCTGAGAACATCAGACATAAAAGATTTTGCTTCATCATATATCCCCTGACTTTCTCCCCATTTTTTTTTATTCCTTCCTTCAGCTTGACTCAAGCTATGCACACTCTGGGCTTTGAAGACATGGCCCAGCTTTGGTCTCTGGGGACTGGTTGTGCTGTGCCAAACATTTCTTGTGCCATGGTCCCTCTTTCCAGAATAACTTGTTTTTTACTTTTATTATTGGAAGTGATTGATTGTGCAGAATCGATATAATTTCCTGATTAAATGTTTGGTAAGATTTAGCAGTGAACTTATCTAGCCCTGGTGCTTTCTGTTTAGCAGGGTATTAATTATTAATTCAGTTTCTTTAATAGATAAAGGCCTGTTCAGATTATCTATTTCTCCTCATGTGAGTTTTGGTTGATTGTGTCCTTCAAGGAATTGGTACATTTCACCCTCGTCATTAAATTTTTGTGCATAAAGTTGTTCATAATATTCCTTTACTATCCTTTAATGTACATGGGATCACTAATGATGTCCTCTCTTTCATTTCTGGTATTAATAATTTATATCATCTCTATTTGTTTTAGTTAATCTTGATAGAAGTTTATCAATATTATTGATGTTTTCAAATAACTAGCTTTTTTCTTTCATCAGTTTTTTTTCTATTTAATTTTTGGTTTTAACTTTATTGATTTCTAATTCAACACAATTTTGAAAATGCATAAAGGAAAGCACAGTATTATAAAAGGTACCAATTCTGTTGAAACATACTTAAATATTTTTAAATAATTTTTAAAATTATACTAAAAGGTTTTTTCTAATGCATTAATAAGACAACATGTATGAACTATAAGCAATAAATTTTATTTGTTAAAGGCAGATTAGTGTTAAGGTATTCTCTTTAATTTGAAGAAATTATTAAACCATGAGGTAAAATTTGATAAATCCTCATATATATCATGTTAGATATCTAAATGATTTATTTTTGTTGTTTCTTTATAATTTAATTTTATTGTTTGTCTGTTTACCAATGTTAAATATATTGATTTGTAAGGATTTACTCTTCCAAGTGTAACTAAGGTTTTCATAATTCACACTAGATGAAGGCAGATGTCCCTCAAGAAAACTTCAAATTTTACAAGATTTTTTGATGAAACTCCAACTAGAGTAATTTTTTTCTGCTAAGATTTAAAATGGAAATTCTTAATATTTTGCACCTTGGAAGAGTAATTTCTAAAACCTCTGTGTGATTTTCAGCTTCCGATTAGGATGTAGAAAGGTGAAAAGAATGATGCTCCCACCCTTAAGGTGAGAAATATTTGAATTATCTACAAAGTCATAAGTTGTTTTCAGCCCATCAGAGATGAAGTTGCATGGCAACCAAGTAAACTGATTCCAGAGAGGGACAAGCCCTCAAGGATGGAAAGGACACACAAAAGTTTCATCTTTGACCAATCAAAAAATGAAGAGGAAGTCACCATATAATCATATAAGAAATCAGCTAAACTTTAATAAATTCTTAAAGGCTAAATGTGGGTAAATTGTGAGTTTAGAATAGCAGGAGGCCTCAGGCACAAGAAATGGTCATTTCTTAAACTCTTTTACACGGACCTTTGTCTGTTGAAGGGAAAGACTGGGAACTGGGCAGAAGATGAGAGAGACCCTGCTGCGTAGTGCAGGCTTCGGGTAATAATCAGTTGCTGCTGGGGGACAGGCAAAAAGCCTTGCCCACTACCCCAGAACATTCTTTCTTAGGAAGCAAAAGCTTTAAGCCACTATAGAAGAGACAGCACAACTGTCATTTCCACTAATCACAGGCAAAGATGCACTGAGGCTTGGGAACAAGTGGAAGAATGCATCCTATATCTTTGGAAGAGTGCTAGGAAACAGTTGTGGCTAAGATTCTATACCAATAACAAGAAGAAGCCTTTAACTACTATAGAGTGGTAAATATTTCCACCCAAAACCAATCACAGATCCAAGACAGAGTTTTATTGTCGTAGATGAGTTGGACACAATGCAAGAACACTAAGAATGCCCCATTTTGAGAAAAAAAATTCAGCTTAATTCAATGACAGTAGTCTAAAACCAACACAACAAAAAGACAGAAAAAGGAATGAAAACTTGGACTTTTTTCACACAGGACATACCTAAGATTGAATGAGGCTGAGCCAGGGCAACATAAAACACCCCACTTTTTACCTCTATGCCAAGCCTGATACCAAATAATAAGCATCAGCTGTCTACGTATTGAGTAAGGGAAAGAGGAAAGACAGAGAACACCTCGGCGGTGCAGGAAGGTAAGGATGCTGAAAGCTGAGAGGGGAACAGAGGTACTAAACAAAATCCTCCAGCACCCCAGGACCCACCTTAAACCCAGCCAACATCAGCCATTCCTATGGGAATTTGAAACCTGTGTGGACTGAAGGTAATGATAATCACAATAAAATCTATATCTAGCTCAAACCCCTTACTCTCGCTCTCTCATACAAATCATCGGACAAAATGATGTGCTCTTTTGCTGGCATAAATATTATTTTAAAAATAATTACTGCTACCTACTTGATTTTGGAATAAAACATATGCTAGCCTTAGCTAGGCAATTTGTTTTTCTATATTCAGAAGTAGCATAATAAATAACAGATTCTTAAAATTCTGATAGAATTTACTTATCTGAGGATTTGAAGGAATGATCTTTAATAGACTAAGAAATAATTATTGAAATGATTGTTAGATACTGCCTGTAAAATCCTATATTCTTTATCTTTAGTTCCTATTATTAATATTTCTTAGTTGTTACAGTCCTTACATCTTTCTGTCTCTAGCATTCACATTTATTACAATGAAGCTATTTTAATACTTAAAAATTTTTAATTGTGCATATTACACAGTCTCTCTTATTGTCTTGATTAACCTTCCACAGGTTTCTGTATCCTAAATGTTTTCTCAAAAACTAACTTTTGGTTAGATTAACATTCTTTGTTGTTGCTTTAAAGATTTTTGTTCATTAACTATTTCTATTGGGTTTCCTCCACTGCTCTTTCTCCAATTTTTAATTGAAAAATAGAGCTCATATAATTTTAATCTTTAATAATAAATATATTTCAATGTACATATTTTTACCTGAAATTATATTATGTCATGTTGTCATGTAAATATTGCCCCTCTAGTTTTTTAGTATTTAAGCCTGGTGTGTTATAAAATAATTTTAATGTTAGTAGTTATATACATATATATCTTCTTTTAAATTTTTACTTATGTCAACAACATCTTTTGGCTCTTAATTATTAAAAAATTTATAAAAGTCAGGATCCTTTAATTACTGCTTTTAACTCATTTGCATTTATTGTCATTATTGTTACATTTAACTTAGGCCAATTTATATCATATTATACATTTAGTCACATTTTTTGTTTGTTTCCTTTCCCCATTTCTTCTATTTTTTGTCTATAGAATAGCTCACTATATTAGTTTAACAAGTATTTAAATTTATCTCTGTGGTAATTATCTTAACATTTTAAATAAGAAAATAAATATTACTTTCTTAAACTATTGATATCTGCACATTGTATCTAAAGATACATTTGCTTTGTCATAGTCATGTGTTTCTTAGATTTCAATTTCATCTTTCTCATTATATAGATAATTTCTATAATTTCAATTCTGAATTGCTTTTGTTTTAAAATTTGCATTCTCTTTATTTTTTTCCTTGTTTTTCTCTTTTCTCTGAACTATAAACTGACTCTCTACTCAGCTCTCTTCTTATGAAAATTGTATAAAATATGCATGGAGGTATCAAAAAGATTCCAAGGCATTAAAGATTACAGGGCTAAAATACCGAAGAAAACAGCACTTCAGAGAATTGAGAAGAATATTGACTATTCCTTGACCCACGAAAGATTTTCTCACATGTATGTGGCTATTGATAGACCAAAAACCTAAGCAGAAATATTCATAGTCTTATAGTTTTAAGAGAATAAAATATATGGCTCAAGACTTATCAATGAGAAAGGCCGATTTCTACACCCCAGGCTTCATTTGACACTTCAAAGGTTTAGGAATATTAATGGAAATAAATAGATTATCATTCACAATAATTGCAGTTCGGTCTCAAACCAGCTTAATCACTGATTTTATGAATATGATCTGTAACACACCTTAGATAACCCTCCAAAAAACGGAGTTAACCAGAATTAACTATTAGCTGCAATTTCATTAGAATATTAGAAATATTAAGGGCAAAAGCCACATTTAAATAGGTAAACTTAACATTTTTCAAAAATGTTGGAAGCCAGGCATGGTGGCTCATGCCTGTAATCCCAGCACCTTGGGAGGCTGAGGTGGGCGGATCGCCTGAGGTCAGAAGTTCCAGACCAGCCTGACCAACATGGTGAAACCCCGTCTCTACTAAAATACAAAAATTAGCCGAGCGTAGTGGTGGGCACCTGTGATCTCAGCTACTTGGGAGGTTGAGGTGGGAGAATTGCTTGAACCCAGGAGGCGGAGGTTGCAGTGAGCCGAGATCGTGCCACTGCACTCCAGCCTGGGCAACAAGAGTGAGACTCTCTCAAAAATAAATAAATAAATAAATAATTTAAAAAAAGATGGAAAAACTATAAGTCACAGTCTCAGGAAGTGCCAGAGTGAAGCATGATAAATACGGAGACAACTACATAGCTCATATTAGAGAATTAATGACAAAGAGACTATCTCAAAAATAGTTCTAGAAAAAGGCATATTACCTTCAAAAAGTGGCAATATGACTTAGGGATGACTTCTCAAATGGAAGCCAACTGGTAACTAGAATTTTATTCCTAATAAAATATTATGGAATATAAGAAAAAATCATGTTCAGGAAAACAAAAAATAAGGGAACTATCTATATCATCTATACATTACACCAAATGAAATAATAATGTCAAGCAGAAGAAAAATTATTTTAGATGTAAATGTAGAAATTTAGAAATGAAATCAAGAAAAGGAAGGACAAAACATCTGGATAAATCTAAATAAATAGTGACTATATAAATAAAATGCGTCATATAAAATTTAAAATAAATATCAACAAAACTACCTAACAAAATATCAAAATTATTATAGGATCTTCATAGTCTAAGAAAAGTAATGAAAATTTTACTTTATACTCAGACACTAATAAGTCAAGGAATCATGAAATAATATCTAGGGCAAAATCAAAAGATACTTAAACTTATAGGAGATTATAAGGGCATATTGGAGAAAAAAATGCTTAATTGCAAAAAAAGGCAAGAAAGAGCAAGTCGAAAATACAACAGATGGAAAAATAGCAAAGTGGTAGACCACAATCAAAATATCTTGAGCTAAATATAAACGATTTTCATACTTCCGCTAATAAAAATATCTAAAATGAATTTTTAAAGTAATTAAATGTTTTTTATTAAAAATAAGAACTGAGGAAGTCTGAAAAAAAAATGTAAAAATGGTCTGTTAGGCTGACATAACCAAAAGAAAGCTGAGATAGATGTACTAATATCAGATGAAATAAATTTAGTGGCAAGAAGCAGTACTAAGACAAAAGAATACCTTTCAAAATGATAAAATGAGCAGTATTCCATGATGTGACAATTTAAAATTTGTATGCATGTAACAATGGGAGAAATATATGCATCCATATCATACTGGGGACCTCTGCCCACTTTTCTTACACTGTTGGAAGAAGTAGAAAAAAATGTAATTACGAATAATGAAGAATTAGATATCTCTGTTAGCAAATTTGATCTAATTGATATATATAGCATAATATTAAACTCGATAAACTTAAAATTGAATGTAATGTGAATGCACATTTAATATTTATTCAAATGCTGTAGGTTGTGTCATAGATCAAGCCGTGACAAATTTTCATAATTGAAAATAGAAATAATACATTTTCTGACATCAGTTAAACTGTTAGAAATCATTTCCAAAAGGACAACTTAATCCACAAATATTTTAAAATCAAGCAACATATTCCTAAATAATTCACAAGTCACAAAATTAGTCTCAATGGAAATTAGAAAATATTTTAAGAAAATGAGAAGAAGCCGGGCGCGGTGGCTCATGCCTGTAATCCCAGCACTTTGGGAGGCCGAGGCGGATGATCATGAGGTCAGGAGATCGAGACCATCCTGGCTAACAGGGTGAAACACCGTCTCTACTAAAAATACAAAAAATTAGCTGGGCGTGGTGGCGGGCGCTTGTAGTCCCAGCTACTCGGGAGGCTGAGGCAGGAGAATGGCGTGAACCCAGCGGGGCGGAGCTTGCAGTGAGCCGAGATCGCGCCACTGCACTCCAGCCTGGGGGACAGAGCGAGACTCCGTCTCAAAAAAAAAAAAAAAAAAAAAAGAAAAGAAAAGGAGAATAAATGTATGAGATATTGAAACTCAAGAAAATGGATATCCTTGGTTATGCAAAGTCATACAGATTGGTAAAATGGTCATTGGAGACTCAGAGCGGGGAGGGTGACAGGGGAGTGAGGGATGGAAACTTGCCTAGTGGGTACAGGGTACACTATTCAGGTGATGACTATATTAAAAGCCCAGACTTCACCACAATACAATACAACCATGTAACCAAAAACCCTTTATCCCTAAAGCTATTGATTTTTTTTAAAAAATTATAGCCTTAATGGTGATATTGCAAAGAATAAAAGATTAAATGCCAGTAGTCCAAATACCCACAGGTTGAAAACAGAACATGCTTAAAAATGGTACATTTAAAGAAGCTGAAAACCAAACAGTAAACCAAATCCAATGAAAATAGAAGTCATACAAGAGATATTAATGGAAAATAATACATTCAAAAAGAATCACATAATCAAGGGGATCAAAAAAAGCCAAAAGTTTTTCCTTGTAATAATGTTAAAATAACCTTTTACAAAATTCAGAGACCAAAAAAAAGTGTGTGAGAGGGAGAGAGGGAGGGAGGGAGCACAGTAATATAAAAAGAAAAGGTATTACTACTGATCCTATAGAAGAAAGAAATTCAAAGTTATGAGCTACATTATTGCAGTACATATTTGACAGTTTAAATAAAATTTGTAAAAAACTTGAAAAATGTCACTTACCAAAACTGACATGAGAAGACATAAAAATCGGAATATTCCTGTAACTATTTTTAAAATCCATAATAACTTTTTCTCATATATGTACAAAAGTTCTAGGTCCAGATGTTTCACTAGAGAATTCTTCAAAACATATTAACAGGAAAGAAAACTAACATTATTTACATATTTCCCCTACTGAAAAATTTCTCAGCTTGTTTTATAAGGTTACCGATAATTTTAACATAGAAATGTGACAAGGACATTAGAAGAAAAGACAGTAACAGGCCAGTCTCTCTTACAACCTAGCTAAAAATAATTTAAATTAAATATTATACATAAAACTCAGCAATATATAAACCACAAACAGGCTGGGCTTGTTACAGGGATGAACATGTTTTCATATTCAAAATTTTAAAACTGCAGTGTGTTTTCTTAACAGAATAAAAGCCAAAAATTATATGACATTCTCTATAACTAAAAAAAAAAAAATTCCAAAGTCTATGAGTGACAAAACCTATTACCTAAGTTGCAATGATGAAAAAATATTTAAATTATTAAAGGCTACTTCCAAAATGACTGTGATGAACACCTCTGTAATGGCGAAGTGTTGAACATTTTCCTACTGACATTGGGAATGAGAAAATGATACTATGATCAACTTTGCTCAACCTTACACCTGACAAAATTGCTAGTGAGAAAGTAAAGAAGAAATAAAAAAGATATAAGAACTTGAGGAGAAGCAATTAAGCTAATTTTTCACCAAAAAAATGAACAATTTACAGATAAACTATTATATGAATACATTTACAAGGTATGTGACTATAAGATAATATTTGAAATCCATTGCATTTCTTTTTTAAGGAAAGAAGAACTTCTAAAATTGAAATTTGAAAAAAAGATACCTCTAACAATAACATCAGAAATATCAATTATACAGGAATTAATTTACTAACTACAATACAAAATCTGAAAATGAAAACCCAGAAAGCATTATGAGAAAATTGTTGAAAGTCAGGACATTAGTTACCCGGAAAAGGTAGGCAAATATTATCCTAGGAATGAGTTTAGGAGAATTCTGGGTTGTCAGTAATAGCTAGTTCTCTAACTTGCATGGTTATTTATGTTTATTGCAAAATAGTAGCTTACTTTTTAAATTTTATAATATCCATTGAATGTTTATTATGATATACCCATTGAGATCTATGTTTATGATTTGTATATTTTTTAGGGGTGTGAAACAACAATAAAACATTTATTAAAAAGAAAATTAATGAATAACAGTAAATTTTTTATGACATCAGATGATTTGTACATCTGATAGTTCTTGACATACCATCTATATTTGACTTTCTTGTTTGAATAGTTTCTCTAAAAATGTTTTTAGTACCCTGCTTTGGGTAGCAAACCACTTGAGGGAGGATGAGTCTGGGAATATTTTTTAAAATGCTCTCAATGTTCAATAGCATTTTATTTGCATATAAAATTCTACATTATAGCTGTTTTCCTTCTATAATTTTTTTATAAAATATATTTCCATAGGTTATTGGGGAACAGGTGGTGTTTGGTTACATGAGTAAGTTCTTTAGTGGCCATTTGTGAGATTTTGGTGCACCCATCACCCTAGCAGTATACACTGCACCCTATTTGTAGTCTTTTATCCCTCACCCCCTTCCCACCTTTTCCCCTTGAGTCCCTAAAGTCCATTGTATAATTCTTATGCATTTTCATCCTCATAGCTTAGCTCCCATTTATGAGTGAAAACATACAATGTTTGATTTTCCATTCCTGAGTTACTTCACTTAGAATAATAGTCTCCAGTCTCATTCAGGTTGCTGCAAATGCCATGAATTCATTTCTTTTTATGGCTGAGTAATATTCTATTGTGTGTGTATACACACACACACACACACACACACACACACACACACCACAGTGTCTTTATCCACTTGTTGTTTTATGGTAATTTGGGTAGGTCCCAGGTTTTTGTAATTGCGAATTGTTCTGCTATAAACACGCATGTGCAAGTATCTTTCGTGTAATGACTTATTTTCCTCTGGGTAGATATCCAGGAGTAGGATTTCCGGATCAAATGGTAGTTCTACTTTTAGTTCTTTAAGGAATTTCCGCACTGTTTTCCACAGTGGCTGTACTAGTTTACATTCTCACCAGCAGTGTAGAAGTGTTCCTTGATCACCGCATCCATGTCAACATCTGCTGTTTTTTGATTTTTTGCTTAGGGCTATTTTTGCAGGAGTAAGGTGGTATTGCATTGTGGTTTTGATTTGCATTTCCCTGATCATTAGTGATGTTGAGCATTTTTTCATATGTTTATTGGCCATTATGTATATCTTCTTTGGAGAATTATCTATTCATGTCCTTAGCTCACTTTTGATGAGGTTTTTTTTTTTTCTTACTGATTTCTTTGAGTTCCTTGTAGGTTTTGGATATTAGTCTTTTGTCAGATGTATAGATTGTGAAGATTTTCTCTCACTCTGTGGGTTGCCTGTTTACACAGCTGATCATTCCTTCGGCCTTGCAAAGGCTTTTTAGTTTAATCATTTCCAACCTATTTATCTTTGTTTTTATTGCATTTGCTTTTGGGTTCTTGTCATGAAATCCTTGCCTAAGCCAATGTCTAGAAGTGTGTTTCCAATGTTATCTTCTACAATTTTTACAGTTTCAGGTCTTAGATTTATTTATTTATTTATTTATTTATTTATTTATTTTTGAGATAGAGTCTTGCTGTAGCCCCAGGCTGGAGTGCAGTGGTGCAATCTCAGCTCACTGTAACCTCTGCCTCCTGGGTTCAAGCGAGTCTCCTGCCTCAGCCTCCCAAGCTAGGATTACAGGCACATGCCACCACGCCTGGTTTACTTCTGTATTTTTTTAGTAGAGATGGGGTTTTGCCATGTTGGCCAGGCAGGTCTTGAACTCTTGACCTTAGGTGATCCGCATGTCCCAGCCTCCCAAAGTGCTGAGATTACAGACATGAGCCACAGCGCCCAGCCAGATTTAAGTTCTTAATCCATTTTGAGTTGATTTTTGTAGAAGGTGAGAGACGAGGATCCAGTTTCACTTCCTACGTGTAGCTAGCCAATTATTCCAGCACAATTTGTTGAATAGGGTGTCTTTTCCCCAGTTTGTGTTTTTGTTTGCTTAGGCAAAGATCAGTTGGCTCTTAGGTATTTGGGTTTATTTCTGGGTTCTTTTTTAATATGCCATTACCTTCTTGAAATCCAGTTGCAGTAAAAGTTTGATAGAATGCTTTGGTCCTCTGCAGGTGACTACTTATTCTCAGTTACTATTATCTTATAGTTAGAATTTTGTTTTGACTTAACCGAATTGGCTTAGAAACAGAAGGCACGTTCTTTTCAAGAGCATATAGGATATTTTACAAAATAAAACAACCATATGCTGGCTGTATAGCAAGTCACAGTCAATTTCAAGGAATTTAAATCATTCAGATTATGTCCTCTGGCCAAAACATCTGGAGAAAAGCACCATATTTTGTTTCTTTTTTTAAAATTCTGTAGAGCATATATGTATAATTTCTGTTATTTCTGATAAATGTAAGATAGTGTTAAATTGGTCTAGTACTTCTTTTCTGTCCTCCTTGCACAGTCACCCTTACTGTTTTTGGATTTCTTGTGGTTTGTGTTGTGACACAAGCCTAATTTTTCCTCAGGTTTTAAAGCCTGCTACTTGTTTCTGAAGTACTGAGTCATTGCTCAAGCTAATATTTTAATATATATATCCATATCTTATCATTTCACCAAATTTAGATAGTTAAAAATTTTCAAAGTTGACATTGATACATTTCTTCCAGTAGTTACATTTATTATGCCTTAGAAAGTAGTAAGAAAAGGACTAAAAAACAGACTGGAATTTGGCAATTCAGGAATCAAATAATTAGGTTTTAAAAAGATATTGTCGATTCTCCTGCCTCAGCCTCCTGAGTAGCTGGGACTACAGGCGCCTGCCACCATGCCCGGCTAATATTTTGTATTTTTAGTAGAGACGGGGTTTCACCGTGTTAGCCAGGATGGTCTCGATCTCCTGACCTCGTGATCCGCCCGCCTCGGCCTCCCAAAGTGCTGGGATTACAGGCGTGAGCCACCGCACCTGGCAGAGCTTACAGTGAGCCGAGATCGCGCCACTGCACTCCAACCTGGGCGATAGATCGAGACTCCGTCTCAAAAAAAAAAAAAAGAAATAAAAATAAATAAATAAATAAAAAGATATTATCTAAAGAAATGTAGACAAGCATGACATTTGTCACTACAATGCTTATTCTTCACAATTTAGACATTGATTAGGTAAGGGTTATGAGAGCAGGAATGAAATAGAGACAAATTAAAATAATATTAATGTAAACTTAAGGTTGACTGTAGATTTCCAAACCAAAGAAACTGTTATTTATTATAATGAAAAATGAAGAAAAGGTGCAACTTTGTGAGTGAAGTGAATTTACAATAGATGAAAACACTGAGCCAAGGGAATGTCTCCCAGACTCAAAATAATGAAATAAAATGAGCCAGTGAATATAACAGTGAAAACTTCAAAAATTTGAAGCAGAACTGTAAACCTGCAATGTCACAGAAGACAAAGGCTTCCATGAGTATTGGCTATAGCAAATAAGCAATTACTTATGAACATAAAGAATAACTGACTTGGGACAGTAATGACTATTATTTCCTAGTTCCTGAATATTTCTGACAAGAAAAGCAATAATTTGGATCAACAGTTATATTTTGATAAATACTTTACTTTCTAATTCTACATATTTCTGCATTTTAATTTAGGTGGGATGGCTATAGTAATTTTTAAACTACCTATTATTTCCTTTCTATCTAGTTGAATTGTTTTTGAAGTCAAAGTCAAACCTCTTTTGACTTTATGTATGCCATCTAGTTCTTACTGAGGAGCATCAGCATGCTGCCGAAACCTCTATTTAAATTACCTATTTTTAAAGTTTTTCTAAAATCCTTTCATGAATATTATTTCTTTTTGTTACTACATCACACTTCTCAAAAAATTATATACCAAGAAATAGAGCTGGGCACATGCACAAAGCAATGCAGTAGTATTAAGGAAGGAAATTGAGGAAGAAATACATATATGTAAAACAATCCTTCATTAAACCAAGATAATTAAAAGATAGTCTAATGAAATTTTAAAATCATATATTACTAGATGATGACTGGAAAAGAAAACCTTTTGAAAAATAAAGACTCATAATTTTGAACTACTTTATATTGAATTAGAAGTTCAGTTAACAATAACCAACCAAGTAAATTTTAGTAATTGAAATGAAGTACCAGAAGGAATAAGTCAAGAAAGAAAGCAGAGAAAATTTAGGATAATTAAAGAAAATTATGATTCAAAGTTAAATAAAATTTAGGCATTGAGTCTATGTAAATGGAATAGAATTAAATAGTAAAGAGAAGAGAATGTAAGGAATAACAGATAAAACAGGCACAAGGCTGGTCGCGATGGCTCACGCCTGTAATCCCAGCACTTTGGGAGGCCGAGGCGGGCATATCACGAGGTTGGGAGTTCGAGACCAGCCTGGCCAATATGGTGAAACCCCATCTCTACTAAAAATACAAAAATTAGTCGGGCATGGTGGCACAAGCCTGTAATCCCCGCTACTGCGGAGGCTCAAGCAGGAGAATCACTTGAACTAGGGAGTGGAGTCTGAGGTTGCAGTGAGCCGAGATTGTGCCACTGCACCCCAGCCTGGATACAGAGTGAGACTTCATCTTAAAAAAAAAAAAAAGTAGCTTAATGTTATATTTTAATATCAAATGGAAGATACAGAAAAGAAGGATTTTTTTAAAGAAAAAATAGTTTTATGAGACCTCTTTATAGCCCACTTACAGAGTAAATATGTCAAAGAAATGTTTGCCATTTGGTTGTTTTTATGTTTTGGTCCTATTGTTCAACAAGAAAAAGGAAAATAACATTTGCACAAAACAATTGTACAAGTCATTTTACATGAAAATTCAAATTATAGTTACCAATTGACTTTTACTTACAGAAAAAGAAGTTTAGAGTAGTATAAAGTTTTGATAATATGGGAATATAACTGTAAGTAAATGTGTTGGTTAAGCTCTATAGAAGTGGTTCATCCTTTGAGAATGTCAATAAATGCTCCAGGAAGAACTTTTTTATTTAGGAAGATAAAAGATAAATAAACTAAAATACTAAAATATGAACTAAAAACAAAAGTGTGAAACAACTAAAAAGTGGAAAGGAATAGATTAGTAAGTGGAGAGGGAGGCAATTTGATGGGGATATTTGAAAAAATTGGAGGATACATGGATTGAGAGAAAGAAAATCCAGGTTGGAGGAAAACTTTAAAAACACTTGAAAACCACATAGAAAACACGCAAGAAAAATATGAAAGAAAATATAAAACCACAACTGAGAACTATAACTGAAATTATAATCATTTTTCACAATATAATAATATATGTTTTTACAAACCCTTGGAATAAAGTTTTTTAAAATTTGAATTTATTTATATAGAGAATGATAATACACAACCTTACAACAAAATATATAATTTAAAAATCCTACCTATTTGATTTGAAAGACTTGTAGAAATTAACAAAATTATTACATAGGTTTGATTTCTCATATTTTTTACTTAACATTAAACTCAGTTATTTTCTAACAGTTTTGTACATCAAAAGTCCAGGCAGACTCCACCGGTTTTTTTACTTGGGAACTCACAGGGTGATACTGAAGATATGGCTAACGTTACGTTTTTATCTGGAAACTAGGGGAAAAGTCACCTCTAAGCTCATTCATGTTGTTGGAAGAATTCAGTTTCTTGTGGTTGTAGCACTGAGGCTCACATTTCCTCTGGATGTCCACTTGGGATTGCACAAGCTGCTAGAAGACACCCTTTGGTTCTTGCATGTGGCCCCTTTCTGTCTTCAAAGGCAGCAACAATACACTGAACCCTTCTTGTGATTCAAATCACTTTGACTTCTTGGGCTGCAAGCCAGGTAAGACTCCTTTTTTCCTTCTTTTAACTTTTATTTCAGGTTCAGTGGTACATGTGCAGATTTGTTATATAGGTAAACTCGTGTCATGAGGCTGTGGTATACAGAACATTTCATCACCCAGGTACTAAGCATAGTACGCAGTATGTATTCTTTCTAAATCCTCTCTCTCCTTCTGCCTTCCACCTTCTAGTAGGCCCCAGTGTTTGTTGTTCCTGTCCACGTGTTCTCATTATTTAGCTCCCACTTATAAATGAGAACATGCAGTCTTTGGTTTTCTGTTCCCGCATTAGTTTGCTAAGAATAATGGTCTCCAGTTCCATCCATCTTGCTGCAAAGGACATGATTCCATTCTTTTTATGGCTGCATATATTCCGTGGTGTATATGTACCATATTTTCTTTATCCAATCTACTGTTGATGGGCGTTTAGGTTGATCCATGTATTTGTTATTTTGAACAGTGCTGCAATGGACATATGTGTGCATGTATCTTTATGGTAGAACAATTTGTTTTCTTTTGAATATATATCCAGTAATGGTGGTGGGTCAAATGGTAATTGTGTTTTTAGTTCTTTGAGGAATCACTACACTGCTTTCCACAATAGCTGAACTAATTTACACACCCACCAGCAGTGTATAAGTGTTCCCTTTTCTCCACAACCTCACCAAAATCTGTTTCTTTCTGATTTTTTAATAATAGCCATTCTGACTGGTGTGAAATGGTATCTCACTGTGGTTTTGATTTGCATTTATCTAATGAGTGGATGTTAAGGTTTTTACATATGCTCGTTGGCAGCATGTATGTCTTCTTTTGAAAAGTGTCTGTGCATGTCCTTTATCCACTTTTTAATTAGGTTGTTTTTATTTTTCTTTTTTGGCTTGTTAATTGGTTTAAGTTCCTTATAGATTCTGGATATTAGACTTTTTTCAGAAGCCTACTTTGCAAAAATTTTCCCCCATTCTTTAGGTTGTCTGTTTACTCTGTTGACAATTTCTTTTGCAGTGCAGAAACTCTTTAGTTTCATTAGATCCCATTTGTCAGTTTTTGCTTTTGTAGCAATTGCTTTTAGCACCTTCATCATGGAATCTTTGCCAGTTCCTATATCCAGAATGGCATTTCCTAGGATATCTTCCAGAGTTTTTATAGTTTTGGGTTTCACATTTAAGTATTTAATTCATGTTGAGTTGATTTTTATATATGGTATAAGGAAGGAGTCCAGTTTCAATCTTCTTGCATATGACTAATCAGATATCCCAGCACCACTTATTGAATGGTAAGTTCTTTCTTTATTGCTTGTTTTTGTTGGCTTTGTTGAAAATTAGATGGCTGTAGATGTGTGGCATTATTTCTGGGCTCTCTATTCTGTTCCATTGTTCTATGTGTCTGTTTTTGTACTAGTGTTGTGCTACTTGGGTTACTGTAGCCCTGTAGAAGAGTTTGAAGTCACATAATGTGATGGTTTCAGTTTTGTTCTTTTTGCTTAAGATTGCCTTGGCTATCCAGGGTCTTTTTTGAGGGCTAGGTGAATTTTAAAAATAGTTTTTTTCTAGTTCTGTGAAGAATGTTGTTGGTAGTTCGATAGCAATAGCATTGAATCTGTAAATTGCTTTGGGCAGTATGGTCATTTGAATGCCTAATTTATTGAAGGTATTTAACATGTAGCAGTGTTGAATGCATCTATTGTGATAATCATGTGGTTTTTGCTTTTTATGCATCTATTGAGATAATCATATGTTTTTTGTCTTTAGTTTACATGATTAATCACATTTATTGATTTGCATATATTGAACCAACCTTGCATCTCTGGGATAAGGTCTTCTTGATCATGATGAATTAGCTTTTTGATGTCCTGCTGCATTCTGTTCGCTAGTATTTTGTTGAGGATTATTGCATCTATGTTCATCAAGGATATTGGCCTGAAGTTTTTTTATTTTTTTTATTTTGCTGTTTCTCTGCCAGGTTTTCATATGAAGATGATGCTGGTCTCATAGAGGATGATGCTGGTCTCAAAGAATGAGATGGAGAGGAGTCCCTCTTCTTCAATTTTTTGGAATAGTTTCAGTAGGATTTGTACCAGCTATTCTTTGAATATCTACTAGAATTCAGCTGTGAATCCATCTAGTCCTTGGCATTTTTTTTGGTAGGCTATTTATTACTGATTCAGTTTTGAAGCTCATTATTGGTCTGTTCAAGGATCAATTTCTTCATGCTTCCATCTTGGGTGGATGTATGTATCAATTTTTCCTACATTTTCTAGTTTGTGTACATAGAGGTGTGTAAAGTAGTTTACGGTGATTATTTTTTTTTCTGTGGGATCAGTGGTAACATCTTCTTTGTCATTTCTGATAGTATTTATTTGGGGCTTCTCCTTTTCTTACAAGTCTAGGTATCCATATATCTATTTATTGATTTTTTCAATGATCCAACTCTTGGATTTGTTCATCTTTTATTTATTTATTTTTTTTATGTCTCAAGCTCCTTCATTTCAGCTCTGATTTTTGTTATTTCTTTTCTTCTGCTAGCTTTGAGGTTTGTTTGCTCTTGCTTCTCTGGTACTTCTAGATGTAATGCTGGGTTTTTAGTTTGATATCTATCATTTTGATGTGAGCATTTAGGGCTACAAATATCCCTCTGAATACCACTTTAGCTGTGTCCCAGAGATTCCTGCTTGTTTTATCTTTTTGTTATTTTCAAAGAATGTCTTGATTTCTTCCTTAATTTTATTGTTCACCCAAAAGTCACTTAGGAGCAGGTTGTTTAATTTCCATGTAATTGTATGGTTTTGAGTGATTTTCTTTGTACTGAATTCTGTTTTTATTGCACTTTTTTTTTGTTTTTTTTATTATTATACTTTAAGTTTTAGGGTACATGTGCACAATGTGCAGGTTAGTTACATATGTATAGGTGTGCCATGCTGGTGTGCTGCACCCATTAACTCATCATTTAGCATTAGGTATATCTCCTAATGCTATCCCTCCCCCCTCCCCCCACCCCACAACAGTCCCCAGAGTGTGATGTTCCCCTTCCTGTGTCCATGTGTTCTCATTGTTCAATTCCCATCTATGAGTGAGAACATGCAGTGTTTGGTTTTTTGTCCTTGCAATAGTTTACTGAGAATGATGATTTCCAATTTCATCCATGTCCCTACAAAGGACATGAACTCATCATTTTTATGGCTGCATAGTATTCCATGGTGTATATGTGCCACATTTTTTATTGCACTGTTGTCTGAGAGTGTTGTTTGTGTGATTTCAATGTTTTTTTTTTAATTTGCCGAAGATTGGTTTATGTCTGATTGTGTGTTCCATTTTACAGTATGTGTCATGTGGTAATGAGAAGAATGTATATTTTGTCATTTTTGGATAGAGTGTTCTGTAGATGTCTGTTAGGTCCATTTGATCAAGTATTGAGTTCAAGTCCTGAATATCTTTATTAATTTTCTTCCTTAATGATCTGTCTAATACTGTTAGTAGGGTGTTGACATCTTCCACTATTATTTTGTAGAAATCTAAGTCTCTTTGTAGGTCTCTAAGAACTTGTTTTATGAATCTATGTGCTCCTGTGTTGGGTGCATGTATATTTAGGATAATTAGGTCTTTTTGTTTAATTCAACCTTTTACCATTATGTAATGACCTTCCTTGTCTTTTTTGAGTTTTGTTGGTTCAAAGTCTGTTTCGTCTGAAATTAGGATTGCCACCTCTGCTTTTTTATGTTTTCCTTTCGCATGGTAGATTTTTTTACATCCATTCATTTTGAGCCTATGGGTGTCATTGCATGTAGGATGGGGCTCTTAAATTCAGTAGACCATTGGGTCTTTTTCTTTATCCAGCTTGCCACTCTGCCTTTTCATTGAGGCATTTAGGCCATTTACATTCAAGATTATTATTGATATATGTGGATTTGATCCTCTGATCCTGTTCTTAGCTGATTATTATGCAGACTGGTTTGTGTGGTTGCTTTATAGTGTCACTGGTCTGTGTACTTAAAGGTGTTTTTGTAGTGGCTGATAACAGTCTTTCCTTTCCATATTTACTACTCCTTTCAGGAACTCTTGTAAGGCAGTCTGGTGGTAATGAATTCCCTCTGAATGTGTTTGTTTGAAAAGGATCTTATTTCTCCTTCACTTATGACGCTTAGTTTGGCTCCATCTGAAATTCTTGGATGAAGATTTTTTTCTTTAATAATGTTGAATATAGACCCCCAATCTCTTCTGGCTTGTAGGATTTCTTCTGAAATTTCTGCTTTTAGCCTGATGGGGTGCCCCTTGTAGGTAATCTGCCTTTTTTCATTAGCTTACTTTATCACTTTTTCATTCATTTTGGCCTTGGAGAATCTGATGATTATGTGTCTTGGGGATGGACTTCTTTTTTAGCATCCTGTAAAGGTTCTCTATATTTTTTGAATTTGAATGTTGGCCTTTCTAGAGAGGTTGAGGAAGTTTTCGTAGATGATATCCTGAGATATATTTTCTAAGTTGGTTGCTTTCTCCCGATGTGTACAGCACACCACAGCCACCATTTAGAGAAAAATCCCCATTTCTTGCTGCTATGGGCCCTTGACCCCCTATTCCCCAACAAGCAGAGCCTCTACCTCAAGCAAGCAATGCAGCTGCTTCACCCTCTGGCTGAACACTCCCAGTAGCAGCAGCTCCACATTTCTCAGAGATGGAGCTCCTAGGGGCAACCAAAAGTCCCTCTGCCACTGCCTCTCCAGTTTAACTTCCCTGTTTACCCTTGGACTAGGGAAGAAGCAAAGACTCTGAGTGCTTTATCCAGCAAGTTGTAGTTGCTCTAAGGAGAGGAGGCCAGTCTGTCTCCCATGGATCCTACCCACATTCTCTGCTAGTCACCAGACAGGATCCCCCCAGCTTGGGCTCACAGTACAGCTGCCCCATGCCAGGCTGATCATGCTAATTGATTGCACTTCTGCATCTTTCTGCAATGGAGCCCCAAGTGACGAGAAAAGACGTTGAGCCACAGGGTCTCCTTCTCTGCTGCTTCCAAGCTGGGGAAGTAACATAAAGCCTATGATCATTTCAGAATTATGGTGTGCAGCCTGGATGCACCAAGCCAAGATCTGCAGCGAGCACTCAAGTGGGAGAGGAGCCTACACTGACTTTCAAAACATTGAGAGGAAGCGTAGCTGCAACCCATGAGGAAATACGGAGGAGCCACATGACTGAGCAGGAGCCTACACAGTGACCATTACACTTCAGCACCAGCTACTAGATCACACCCCAAAACTTCAACACCAATAATACTTTGCTATCATACCCCACTGTGAAAAGAAAGACAAGAATTTAGCTACAAATAAAGGCCCTGAACAAAGCCTCAGGACTCTGAAAACATGTAGGAAAGAAGTCTACTGACTGTACTCAATTTACACTGCAATTAAAGGAACACCCACACACACACAGATGAGAAAGAACCTATGCAAGATCTCTGGCAACTCAAAAGGCCAGCATGTCTTCTTTCCTCCCAAAGATCACACTAGTTCCCCAGCAAGGGTTCTTAACTAGGCTGAGATGGCTGAAATGACATAAATTGATTTCAGAATATAGATAGGAACAAAGATCATTGAAATTCAGGGGAACATCGAAACCTAATTCAAGGAAGCTAAGTGTATTAGGCTGTTATCACCCTGCTATAAAGAACTTCTGAGACTGGGTAATTTATAAAGGAAAAAGATTTAATTGACTCACAGTTCTGAATTGCTGGGGAGGCCTCAGAAAACTTATAATCATAGCTGAAGGTGGAGGAGAAGCAAGTACCTTCTTCACAGGGTGACAGAAGAGAGAGAGTGAAGGGGGAGGGTCACTTTTAAACCATCAGATCTCATGAGAACTCACTCACTATCATGAGAACAGCACG
Source organism: Homo sapiens (assembly GCF_000001405.40). Lineage (NCBI taxonomy): Eukaryota > Metazoa > Chordata > Mammalia > Primates > Hominidae > Homo > Homo sapiens. Next base: position 94,709,128 of record NC_000002.12, read on the forward strand.
GGGAAACCACCCCCATGATCCAATCACCTCTCACCAGGTTCGTCTCTCAACAGATGGGGATTACAGTTCCAGATAAGATTTGAATGGGAACACAGAGCCAAACCATATCACTAAGAAACAAACACAAAAAATAATTCAGGTGCTGATAGGTGAAATAGCCAGTATAAAACAGAACCAAATTGACTGGCTAGAGTTGGAAAACACACCACAAGAATTTCATAATGCAATCACAAGTATTAACAGCAGAATGGACCAAGTTGAGGAAAGGACCTCAGAGCTTGAAAACTGGCTCTCAGAAATAAGACAGTCGAGCAAAAATAAATAAAATTTTAAAGAGCTCATTGTATTAGATTAGGTACACTTGGATAATCTTCCTGTCTTCACATCAACTGATTATTAACATTAATTACATCTGTGCAATCCATTTTGCTATGTAATACAATATAATCATCAAAGTAACACTGGGAGGCTAAGGTCATGACCATCTAATATTCTGTATACCACACAATCGTATTGCTTTCTGAGGTCATTGAACACTTTCAGAATTCATGAAAGTTGGATATTCACTATAAATAAGATAGATATGGCTAGCAAGAAGAAAAATATAGGGATTCTATACTTAAAAGTTACAGCTATTTCCATTTATATAATTAATAGTCACAATAAAAATTTAAATGTGAATAAGTGAATAGCAAGTATAGACAGTTTAGCAAAATAATGAGAATTAGATATATTAAAGAATTTTTAAGGTAGTCTCAGGAAAAGTGTAATATTTGTCATTTATCCTGAAATGTCAAAAATTTTCCTAAGCAGAACTACTCACCACCGATTTCTCAGTTTCATCCCTGAAAAAAAAAAATCATTCAAGTGGATTTATTTTGGCAAAGTGAAACTGTGAATTGCTTGGCTCCAAAACAGCTGCCCATACTCGGCAGGACTGCATTCCCACACTCCATTCACCCCTACCCCATCCCTTCCAGGAACACTTGGACTAGGATCCAGCTCTAGACCTGCAAGAAGTTGTGTTCCAGCTCTTAAATCATTAGTAGGACCAGATTTTACTCAAAAAACTATTCTAGCATTTGAAATTATTTCCACTGCTTTGTTGCTTACACTGAAATCGTCCCTCAAAAAATATAAGAAATAGAATATGAGCCCTGCTTATTCTTTAGGACAAAATTTAGGATGGTGTATCTAACAAATGGATTGTGATTATGAAGATGGTTTTACATTTGTCCCTAGATTCTTCTGTTTTTCTCAGGCCTCTATGAATCTTTCTCTCTGAGAGATCCCGACTTGCTGAGAGCAAGAACTATTGAAAGGAAATGAAGTAAATAACTGATGGTTGCCCATGGCAATTAGGAAAATAAAGAGCAAACTTCCCTCTTTGAATATTACTTAGTGTCAAGATTAATTATAATCATTGACTATACAAGTCTAAATATTTGGGCACTTATATTTTTGTAGTTAGGCATATGATATTACAAAATAATTTTGAGAGCTAAGAGACATATATATGTATTTTAGAACTCCAATACCAGTAGCTTTCTCAGTAGCATATAGTTTTCCAATCTGTTGGAAAAAGCTTGGCTTCAACTAGGAGAGATAAGTAATAGAGCTAGAGTTCCAATTCTGTTCAATATGAATAATAATATTTCACCAGTAAAAATTAAATATGTATAGTCATGTGCCCCTTAGTAAAACTGATATGTTCTGAGAAATGCGTTGTTAGGCAATTTTGTCATTATGCAAACATCATAGATGTTTACAAAACCTTGACCACATAGTCTGCTACACATCTAGGCTATATGAGATATAGCCTATTGCTCCTAGGCTACACACCTGTACAGCATGTGACTATACTGAACACTGTAGGCAATTGTAACATAACGGCAAGTATTTGTGTATTTAAACATATCTAAACATAGAATAGGTATAGTAAAAGTACAGCATAAAAGATGGAAAATGTTACGTCTGTATTGGGAACTTACCATAAATGGAGCTTGAAGACTAAAAGTTACTCTGGATAAGTCAGTGAGTGAATGGCGAGTGACTGTGAAACCCTGGGACATTACTGTATACGACTGTGGATTTTATAAAAATGATACACTTAAGGACCATGAAATTAACATTATCTTACTATACCTTTTAATCTAATATATTTTAACGCTTTTATATGTTTCAAAGCTTTGATTTTTTATAATAACATTTAGCTTAAAACACAAACACATTGTGCAGCTATACAAAAATATCTTCTTTTGTACCTGTTTTATAAGATTTTTTCCTTTTTCAGCTTTGTACACCTTTTTGTTAAAAAGTAAAATGCAAACACACACATTAGCCTAGGCCTACACACGATCAGGATCATCGATATAATTGTGTTTTACCTTCACACCTCGTCCCACTGGAAGGTCTTCAGGGGCAATAACATGCATGGACCTGTAGTCTGCTGTGATAACAATGCCTTCTTCTGAAATATCTCCTGAAGGACCTGCCTGAGACAGTCTTACAGATAATTTTTTTTAATAAATAAGAGTATGCCCTAAGATAACATTAAATAGTAAAGTATATACATAAATGAGTAACATAGTAATTTATTATCATTATCAAGTATTATGTGTTGTACATAATTATATGCACTATTCTTGTCTATGATTGGCAGCACAATAGGTTTGTTTATATCAGCATCACCAAATGCACTTGAGGAATGCATTGAGCTTTGAAGTTATAATGGCTATTATGTCACTACATGGAAGATATTTTTCAGCTCCATTAGAATCTTATGGGACCACTATTTTAAATGCAGTGTGTCATTGACCAAAGCATTATTATGTGGGGCATGACTGTAAACGTTTCAAAGAAATTGGTTTTCCCTTTCATTCTATTACTGTTCCACCACTAGCTGTTTTGTACGTTTCTCTTTCTGTGCTGTTCCTTAAATTAGAACTCCTCTAAATGTATTTCTTTTATTTATCCTGTCCCAGAACAATCTCATTAACATTCCTTGGAAATGTTTCCTCTCATCAGGAATGCTCTTCTGAGGCCTGTACCTGAATGACCATTTGTCCCCATTAAGACTCATTTGGGGGCAAGTAACATAAATGGAAAAAAAAAGTAGACTAAAGTAACTAAGCCCAAGGGTAGTATGATTTAAGCTAAAGGTGATTTCAGGCTCCAAGTAAAGTAATCAGGGTTCAGCTTATCTCCATTTGTTAACTCTTCTTCTAGTGGGTTGGACCCATTTTCAAAGAATCCCTTCCCTTACATAGCAGTCCATATAGAATCTCACTTCAAATACAGTTTAAAGAAAAAAAAATTTTATCTTCAAAGGCAAAAGCAAAGTCTGGCACCAGATTTCCATTGACCCAGCCTGGATGCTGGTATTAGATGCTCTATTACGCTCAAGTGAGATAAATAGCCATTTCTGGCCCTCTTTTTAGTTGTTTACAATGCCCCACTTTGGAGAAATGCTGGAGTGCATTTAAGAAGGTTCTATTCATGAATAGAAGAATCTCAGTTGTATAGAAAATGATTTATTTGAAATTACCTGCTATAAAAACTTCCCAGGCTCATTGCTTTTTGGATCAACTCTGTCTCTTCTACTTCCTTGTATTGCTGTCTGGAAGAACCATGGCTCACAATGGTGCAGAACTTTTTATCCTGATATCTGAAGTAAATTGATCTGAGTTTATATTAGGTTGGATCTTAGTGCCCATATTATCTACTGGGAGTTTCCCAGCCTGGTATGATGGAGCTTAGAAGAGAGTAAATTAGCTTTTACAAGTCAGTCTCTCAATATTTATTTAGTGAGTGAGTGGACAAATGAATGAATATTTCTTGGAGGTATTATTCATTTTGTGTTCCCTTCATACTTCAAATTATTTTTTACCTTTAGTAAGAAATGGATACTGACATGGCTTTAATGAATCTCCTCCAGATTTCAAGTGTTGCCAATGTGATAGTCCTAAGAGGTCAGGCCTTTAAGAGGTGTTTAGGCCATGAGAGATCCTCCCTCATGAATGGGATGAGGTGATTTATAAAGGGTCTTGACAGAGAGAGTTGGTTCTCTCTTGCCCCTTCCACCTTCCACCATGTGAGGATGCATCAAGAAGACCTCAGAGCCTGGTATCTTGATCTTGGACTTCCTAGCCACCAGAATGGTAAGAAGTAAATTTCTGTTCTTTATAAATTACTCAATCTATGGTATTCTGTTTTAGAAGCACAAAATGGTCTAAGACACATAATTTTACCCTTTCTAAATCCAAATTGAATGCAATTTTATCATAAAGTTTTATCGTTTCTCTAATAAAAATGTTTTTAAATTTTTTGAAAGTCCACAAATGTATATATATTTACATGCATATCTATATGAAGGTCAAACTTTGATTCTGCTTTGTTTCGGCTTTCTTCTTTGTATTACTTTTCTCCAAAGGGTAAAATACACACTTGTTTTATTCTCTTATTCCTACAGCACCTAACATAATTCTTACTAAAAAATATTATTTAATGAAGAAAATTATTATATAATACATTTTGTTGATACATTATTTTCTACATATTATGTGTCAATTTTGTTCCTTACTGTCCTCAGCTGGAATCCATTTGAAGAGACAGAACTGTATTGTGTAGATTCAAGCAATACATAGTAGGATACCATACATACTGTAGGGTTTGGCTCTGTGTCCCCACCCAAATATCACCTTGAATTGTAATCTCCATAACCCTCATGTGTCAAGAGCAGGACCAGATGGAAGTAAGTAGATCATGAAGGTGGTTTCCCTCATGCTGTTCTCATCACAGTGAGTGAGTTATCTTGAGATTTGATGGTTTTATAAGCATCTGACATTTCCCCTGGTTGCACTCATTGAGTCTTGCCACCCTGTGAAGAAGGTACCTGCTTCTCTTGCCTTCTGCCATGATTGTAAGTTTTCTGAGGCCTCCCAAGAACTGTGAGTCAATTAAACCTATTTTCTTTATAGATTACTCAGTCTCCAGTCTTGGGTATATCTTCATGGCAGTGTGAGAATGAACTAATACTCATATAATGGATAGTAACAAGTAAATCTTTATTTACCACTTATTAGAAGCTTGACTTAACCAATTATCAAATTTTATATAAGCTTTAATGTTATTGGGAAATATCCTTTTCCTGTAAAAATAAATGAGATTACCTACCTGAAGTACCTTAGGCCTTTCTAATATTTTCAATTTTCATTAAATGTTTATTTTTATGTATCTATAGATATCTTGAATATGTATTGTAAATATTATATGTATGTAGAATATATGTATTCTAGTATTTCTTCCAGATAGCACTTAAAAACCAGTGTTTGCATTTTTGCATGTGAGCAAGCAATTCCTACTTACAATGATGGAAGAAATAGATACCCTGGAAGAAGGGAAATTAAATTCATACTTTCAAAGCATCCTTCCCAACAAATCAAATTCATCTTTTGCACAGAAGGAATAATTAGATGAAGATATATTTTAAGTCAGATTGTTAGTATTTTGGCCACATGGCTACATCAGAAGTGTAGTTTAGAATTCCGTTCATTTTTATTTTTTAAATCAAAACACACATTGAACTGTACTTAATTTTTAAATGCAAAATACATAAAACTCTTGCATTTCTTGGAAATAAATTCTCTTTATTCTACTAATAAATAAACATTGTTACCTCCATTGAGGCAAATGACAGAAATTCTTACAATTGATTATCCTATATGGGTATGAAAACTTTAACATGCTCCTCTAAGTAACTGAATACTACAGAGTGATTTTGGATCAATGTGGCCTTATTTTGAATATAACATACAAAATCATTGAGTGTTTTATGATTTATCTTCATTTTAACTCAAGCTTTGGGATATATGAAGACAGAAGATAAATCAAAATGTGTCATGTATTATATTTTCTGAAGTTATTAATATATATTTAGCAAAAGGTAAAATAGCACAGATATACCAACCAAATTTTCATGTGAAGAAAATATTTTATATAAATAATGTTTCTTCTTTTATATGAAATCACTGCAAAAATGAGAAAGCTACTTTTTATATTCCCCAATGAATATTCCCCAGTCCTGTGATTCCAAGTTCAGTAAAATTTAGAAAATTATGGCCAAGAAATTTAGTAGACCGAATGTACCTTCACTTTCTGGAATGTACTTGTAACCCTACATTCACAGTCAGAAATTTGCTTGAATGAAAAAGTGTTCAAAGTAATTATTATCTTGTATTTGGCTTCTCTGGGTACCTGTTTGGCTTTTATTTCTAAATAAAAAAACAAAACATGCACAATGTAAATATTTTTAGTTTGTAAAATTTTCTTTCCAATTACATATTTTGAGATGTTGTATATACTGTAACATTTTGAAGTAATTTTGCCCAAATTAAGAAAAAAAATTCATTCATCTTTTTATCTTCTTTTTATTTTGGTTCACTTTTCACCTGGGTATTAATATGGATGTTGCAGAAAGAATAGCTCCTATAAATGATAGGTTGCTGTATGGATATGCAACAAAACCATCTTTATTTTACAGAAAGGTCTCATTACTCTAAAGAAGGCCAGTGAAGAAATTTATATTGACCTTTTGGCATGACCTTTCTAAACCAACTGTTCCCTAGTACATAAACTAGTGAGTTTACTGCATAGAGACACCCAAAGGAGTAAAACATGAAGTGGGAGACTTTGGCCCTATTAGAAACCTTAGGGCCAGGTTCTGTTCCTTATCACCTATGAGATTTCCCTTGTTAATGATGCTGAGTTGGGCATATTTATTTTTTAGCCATTTCATCAACAACTTTTGCTTATGACTAAGGATGTCATTTCTTGTTCCCATTACATGGTGTTTTAGTACATTCCTGCTGCTTTAACAAAATATCTTACTTTGAGTAATTCATAGTTTATAAAAATTCCTTATACATTCTTTATAGATTCTGACAATTCCATAAGTGTCATGAATTTCAGTAGGGAAGTGACTTTTCAAAGTGAGCTCTGGACAGGTAGCCATAAGTAAGACTACGGTGGCACGGATATGCTGTGCTTTGATCAGTTGTGTGGTATGCAATTTTTATTATAAATATCACTGAACTCCATATGACAAAAATTACTCATCAACTTTTATTTTTTTTTGAGACGGAGTCTCGCTCTGTTGCCCAGGCTGGAGTGCAGTGGCGCGATCTCGGCTCACTGAAACCTCCGTCTCCCGGGTTCACGCCATTCTCCTGTCTCAGCCTCTCCGAGTAGCTGGGACTACAGGCGCCCCCCACCACGCCCGGCTAATTTTTTTGTATTTTTAGTAGAGACGGGGTTTCACCGTGTTAGCCAGGATGGTCTCGATCTCCTGACCTCGTGATCTGCCCACCTTGGCCTCCCAAAGTGCTGGGATTAAATTAGATGTAAAATGTTGTTCAGGTTTATTAAATAAAGAAAGAAAAAGATTGTTAACTAGATGTCTTATTTTGTTTTTCTCTGACAACAGCTGTCTTGTAAATTGGTATATTTAGATCATGCACATTTAAAGTAATTATTGGGCTGGTAAAAAAGTTGGGCTGGTATTTATTATGTTTATAACTATTTTCTATTCATATCATTTATTCTTTGCCTCCCAACAATCACTCTTTTTCTTATTTCTATTGTTTTAATTGACACTTAAAATAATCCCATTACATTTCCTCTCCTAGCATGTCAGTTATACTTTAGAACAGTTTTAGTGATTTATGTGAGTTTGCAATACACATTTTTAACTAATCTCAATCTACCTTTAAATAAGACTTTGAATAACTCAACACAAATATCACTTTACAAGAGTGTTACAGACTCAATATTTGTATTCCCCTATTCCCCCAAAATGTGTATGTTGAAACCTAATCCCTATGGTAAGAGTATTTGGAGATGGGTCTGTGGGAAGTGATTAGGTCATGAGGGCAAACTGTTATGGATAGAATTAGTGCCTTTACAAAAGAAACCCTAGAGAGCTAATTTGCTCTTCTGCCGTGTGAAATCCCAGTGACTGGACCGTCCTCTGTGAACAAGCCCTTGCCAGACACTTAATATGCACATGGCTTGACCTTGGACTTCCCAGTCTCAGAACTGAAAACTGCATTTTTGTTGATTATAAGCCACCTAGTGTATGGTATCCTGTTATAAAAGCCTGAGCAAACTAAGATACAAGTAATCCCAATTCCTACCATTATTTATGACACTACTGCCATTTATTGTATTCATTTATATACTATATTCATTCAATACATTGTTACAGTTATTCCTTTTAAACAAAATATTATCTTTTAGGTCAATTAAGAATAAGAAAATAAAACATTTTATTTTAGTTTCATTCATTCCTTCTATGATATTCTTCCTTTCTTTATATAGACCAGTTTCTGACCTATACCCTTTTTCTTCTCCCTAGGAACTTCTTCGAACATTCCTTGCAAGGCATGTCTACTGACCATAAACTTTCTCAGTTTTTGTTTGTCTGAGAAGGTCTTTATTTCTTCTACACTATTGCAGGATAATTCTATTAGATATAGAAATGTAGGCCAGATGCGACGGCTCACACCTGTAATCCCAGCACTTTGGGAGGCCGAGGCGAGCAGATCACGAGGTCAGGAGATTGAGACCATCCTGGCTAATACAGTGAAATCCAGTCTCTACAAAAAATGCAAAAATAATTAGCCAGGTGTGATGGCATGCGCCTGTAGTCCTAGCTACTCGGGAGGCTGAGGCAGGAGAAATTGCTTGCCCAGGAGGTGGGGGTTGCAGTGAGCCAAGATTACACCACTGCACTCCAGTCTCCAAAAAAAAAAGAAAAGAAATGTAGATGGTGTGTGTGTCTCTGTGTGTTTCACTTTCAACACTTTAAGTATTTCCCCCCACTCTCTTCTTGCTTTCATCTAATGAAAAACCAACTGTAATTCTTAGCCTTATTTATTTACAGGTAAGTTTTCTTGTTTACCCTTGGCTCCTTTCAGTATGTCTCTCTGTCTTTGATTTTCTTTGGTTTAAAAAATATATACCTAAGTATAGATTTTTGACATTTATTCTGCTTGGTATTCTCTGCACTTCTTGAATCTGTATTCAGTATCTGCTGTTAATTTTGGAAAATTCTTAGCCATTATTACTTTAAATATTTATTTGGATCTGTTCTTCCTTTCTTTACATTCTGGTATTCAGATGTACCAGCTAATATTCTACTAGAAAGAAAATAAAATATAAAATTGAGTAAAATAAAACAAAATAAAATAAGGAGTAGCAACACAATGCATTAAATTCAATGCAACGGATTAAATATGTTTTGATCTGTTAAAAAAAATCAATCTGAACAATGATGTGGTTTACAGTTAGTATGCAATATAGAACTCTGAATTTAATTTTTTTATTTTTCTACAGTGGTTTTACAGTAAAAATAATTTGAGTTTAAGTTTGGATTGTTACTTTTAAAAACAGAGCTAATTAGCATTGTTTATTACTTTCTCACCTTAATTTTCTTATATATATGTGTGTGTGTGTGTGTATATATATATATATATATATATATATAAAGAGATTATAGATCTGTAATGCTTAGCATAAGTCCTGGTAAATTGTATCTATTCAATGAACATTTGTTCTCCCTTTAATTCCTGCAATCTAGATGGTGGTTCATGGATATAGTTGCTCGCTAATTTTTTGAGCATATTAAGGACTTAAAAGCTAATGATGGTGTGTTGTTATGTCAAGGCCAGCAGAGCATATCACTTTAAAAAACTGGCAATAGAAACTTCTCTTTAAAAATTGTAAAAGTAAGTAAAGTTTAGAAACCAACCAAGTACGAGCAATGCAATGTTAGCATCTCATTGGTTCACACCAGTGAAAAGTATTTAAGAACAAAGAAATAGTATACTGTACCACACAGAAACTTGCATGCAAATGTTTATTGCATGTGCAGCTATATTCTTACTTACTAAAACTTAGAAGCACCCAGCTTATCCTTTAATAGGTAATCATTCCTTAATTAGATAAACAAACTCTGCTATATCCATGCAATGACATAATTATCAGGGGTAAAAAAATAAGCCATCCAGTCATGATTAGACATGGAGGAAATTTGAATGCATATTTCTATGTGAAAGAAGCCAGTCTGAAAAGTCTACATATTGTATGAGTCCAAGTATATAATCTTCTAGAAAAGGCAAAACTATAGAGCTAGTGCAAAGTTTAGTCATTACCAGGAGTTGGGCATGTGGGGGATAAGTAGGTGGAGCACAGGGAATTTTTAGGGCAGTGAAATTATTATGTATGATTCTGTAATGGTGGATACATGACATCATGCATTTAGCAAAACCCATAGAACTGTATAATAAAAAGAGTGAACCCTAATGTAAACTCTGGTCTTTAGACAATAAATGCATCAATGTTGGCTTCTTAATGCAATTTCATTTTAAAATATAAGTTTCCTTATTTTTTCCACATATTTCTTAGGGGAAAATTTTAAATAATTTCTAGCTTCACTGTTTTCTAATGGATAAAAGCATAAATTAAATATGCTTTTACTACTGAGAGGATATGACATTGTAGTAACAGATTTATTAATAATCAAGAATGTATTAACATATTTATATAAGGTAACATTCTGTGTATTTTTGTTTCCAAATAACTCAGAATTGACAAAATAAAAATATAATTATTCAATGATGAATATCACAATGAGCAATATTGATCTATTTCATAATTAAACATTTCATCCTGTCAATCACAGGGATACTCAGTTCAAATACATCAAAAGAAAACATTCTTCAGGTAAATTGAAATTACAATAGTTTCAATTTGTACAAAAGTTTAGATGTTGATAACAGTTTCAGAGCCACTTCTCTGTATAGAAAAGCTTTCTGGGGATGTCATGGTTGTAAATGAAAACAAAAATACAGATTTATAGATAACAAAATGAAGAGAAATCTGTTATAAATATTGATTGTATGATTATGAGGTCTTTAGAAATTACAAATTATTTTATCACTATATTTTAAGTGTAGGATATACTTAATTTGAATAATAATATTTATTACATATGAGCTTAATTGTGTCTCTTTAAAAGACACAATGAAGTGCTAAACTCCAGTATCTTAAAATGTGAACTTATTTGATAATAGAGCTATTGCAGATGTCACTAGTTAAGATGAGGTCAGGTGACTGCTGTCCTTATAAGAACTGGGCACAGAGATACAGACATATAGGGAGAATGTCCTGTGATGACAGAGTCACAAACTGATGCAGTTGCATGCCAAAAGATGTGCCAAGAATTGATAACTGGCACCTGAAGACAAGAGGTAAAGAAAGATTCTCTCCTTCAGGTTTCAGAGGGAGCATGGTATTGCTAACATCTTGATTTTGAATTTCTGACCTCCAAAACTGAGAGAATAAGCTTTTGATGTTTTAAGCTACCTAGTTTGTGGTATTTTGTATGACAGTCCTAGAAAATGAATACAAATAGTAAACCATAAGCAAAACTACAAGCATGGAAATTTACCTTAATTCACTTTCTGCATAACACTTATGATTCAAAAATTGATATTATATTTTGTATTTTTAATTATCTTTCTCACGTAGGAGAACATAAACATCCTGAGGGCAAAATCTTTATTCAGTTTTTATTTTACTCATAACACTTAGAATATCAAGTGGCAATTGATGTGTTTGCTAGTCAGGATATTATTCTGGTGAATACTGTTCATTCTACGTAACAAGAAACCACTGATGTATCAGTGGTTTATGAAAGGTTTAGTTTAACTGATGCTACCTATCCAAAACAGGCAAAGCAGTGGGACTTCCCCTTCCTGCGAGTCAGGTAAAATATTTGATACATGTTTTCATAGCCACAGAGATGGGGGGAAACAGAACATGGCAAAGAATGACTGGACTCTAAAAAGTTTTATATTCTGGATTAGTCAGAATTTCAACAGAAAACAGTTGGTAAATACAACTAAGAATAATTTGAGGAATGCTTCCATACGAAGGAAGGAGCATGAAAGAATTGTAAGCAATAAATCTGGAACTGGCATTCAGTGAGGATAAAAACAAACCCTGGAAAAAGAAGGAGTAGAAGATCAGACCACCTGGAGAACAAAAGTGACCTTCAGTAAAGAGACACATGTAGGGAAGACAACCTCATGGGGAAGAGACCAATAGAATAAACACCGTGACCCTTGTCTCCTCTTCCTTTCTGCCTTCTTACAGGGTTCTCCACAGGCTGAACCTAACCTAAAGCCAGAGGGTGAGGGAGCCTCCTAATGTATTCGTGAGAAGTCAAAAAAAAAAAAAAGGCCAATGAGAGTCAGGAAGAGTAGAAAGAGTTGCATTAGAAGATATTTTACACATTACTTTCCTTTTTTTATGTTACCATTATAAAGTGATATATCTAGAAGCAATCTTGCACATCAATCTTTATCTACATCTCAGATTGTGTAAACTTTATAGCTTACTGTTTTCCCTCATGAAAAGTAAAGTATCCCATTGTAAGAGTAAGACACTATACAACTATGTTATATAGTGTTAACTTCTGTTAATTGTTTGTAAGACAAATTATTGGGGTGATTACATGAAATAAGGAGGTCTAAATTAAACTTTCAATGGCAGAAAACCAGCAATATATAAGAAACAGAACAAACATTCTTAATGTATTTAATGTATTTCAATCTGTGTATTTAGCATCTACTTAAAATTTTTTAAACAATTTAACTCTAGTTTTTAATATAGAGACCATTACACCATTTCTTCTTATATTTTTTAAATTATATTTTATATCATCTTTATCATTAGGATAAGCAGGGGAGAAATGTTGAATATATTGATTGATGTATCTGATATATACACTCATGTGCCACATAATTATGTTTTGGTCAATGACAGACCATATATGTATGATGTTGGCCTCATAAGATTCTAATGGCCCTGAAAATTTTCTATCATCCAGTGATATTGTAAGCCACCTAACGTTGTAGCAAAATGTATTGCTAGTGTTTGTGGTGATGATGGTGTAAACAAATTTGCTCTTCCTTCGGTGATACTAAAGTACACATGCAATTGTGTGCAGTACATAGTATTAGATAATGATAAACTCTGTTACTGGTTTATGTGTTTTATATAATACACTTTTTATCATTAGAATTACCCCTTCTACTTATGGAAAAAAAGTTAAAACTCTACAGTAGCCTTAAGCAAATCTTTCAGGAAATATTACAGAAAGAAGCATCATTACCATAGGAAATAACAACTCCATGAGTGTAATTACTTCTGAAGCCTTTTCAGTGGGACAAGATGTGGAGGTTCAGACAGTAATATTGATTATCCTGACCTCATGTTGACATAGTCTAATGTGTTTGTTTGTCTTTTTTTTTTGCTTTTTGTTTATTTTTACAAGAAAGGTTTACAACATAAAAGAAAAAAAAAAGAAATACTGAAGTGGTTCCCCAAGACACCAATTTAAAGTGTATATATGCAGTGCAGGGTTACTGGACCAAGGCACAGTGTAAACAGGGAAATTTTATTTTTTGTTTTCTTTTTCCTAAGATGTTCCTTAGTCCCAGTTACATAAAAATGTGTATTACAAGCAAACAAAAATTAACAGGAATAGAAATAACTATAAAGTATATTCACATTAAAATCAGCTTTGCTTTATCTATTAAAGGATGTAACACACTTGTGGTTTTCAGGACCTTGTAACTCCTGGTTTATTGGAAAGCACAGAAATTCTTCAGAGCCTCAAGAGTTGTGTTTAATGCATTATTTAAATAGTGTCCAACCACTAGTTAGATAGCTTAGCACTCAAATAGCTTTTGAAATCTCTGTAGACTCACCTCAATTGAAGAGTCCTGATAATTTACAGAAGTGTGTAGTGCACTAAGAGATCCCTGATGTACGATGTCTGCCTGTGGAGTGTTTTATGTGTTGATCCACTGGAGTGTGTGTGTGTGTGTGTGTGTGTGTGTGTGTGTGTGTGTGTCTGTGTGTAGGTGGGTGAGTATGGGTGGGCATGGATTGTGTGTGTGTGTGTGTGTGTATGTGTTTACACTGTTGTATGTGTCTGTTGGGGTGCCGCCATTTGGGATTTGGAAGAGTGAGGACCATAAACTTGTCAACATTCCTACATGCCTGCTTCATAACAAGTGTACTGAACGTGGCCAAAATAAGTAAACCAAGTAAACAAATTAGACATTAATTAAACTTAATGCTGGGCAGGAAAGAAGTATTCAAGACCAGGTAAAATGAAGAAATATAACCAAATGAATGAAATTTTTAGATTGATTCGTAGAGTGAGACAGGAATATTTTTTAAAATTTGTAATTTCTAATGACTATCAGTATATAAAACTAAGAATTATATGACTCTCAATTGACTAAAAACTACTTAAGATTTGAGCTAGTGAAACAACCATATATGATCTTCTATTTCCACTTTTCTGTCTCAAGAATGACTTGTGAAAATGTTTTTTTTGAAATTTTACATTCTTATCTTGAAAGAGCTTCACAAAATTTACATGAGAATCTGGATGCTCATAAGAGGTCTGATTTTTTAATGGCATGTTTGTATTTCTGTTATGAACATCAATGTCAAGCATTCGTTTCCTGAGCTGTTCTCTACAACACAATTTAACTTGTAATGGACACTCAATAAATCGTTGGTTGGATATGCAAATCAACACCTTAGTTCCATCAATTTTCATTTCATATAAAAATGCCTGATCTTCTATACTCATCAATGAAACAGAGAGAGATGAAGGAGGGAGAGCAGTTGAGACTGAGAGGATGACAAGCAGACCTCATTCTGCAGTGGATTTCCTACACTCTCCACTTCTGAATGCTTGGAAACACTTGCCATGCTCAAAAAATATTGGTATTTCCTAGGCAGCAAATGGGAGTTAAAGAAAGTCCATATTTCTATATTACAATAACTTACACTATAATACACAGACAACATACATTACTAAGCTATTTCAATTCATAGAAAATGTACATAAATATAGGTGAGCAAGGTGTAGGAGAAGCGTTAGTAATCAAGCTGAGTGTGATTGTGAGATTAAATCTAATATTATACAATTATTGTATAATTGTATCAGTTGACATATCTGTTGAAACAAAAGGTGGGAGAGTTTTGCATGCGCTTCCGAAATATACTGGATGATGTTAGGAGAGAGGCGGGTCAACATGGCTAGGCCAGAAGTGTTTACTAATTGAGGCTTAGGAAAGTTAAGTTCCTAACCAGAGACTGGGAGATAGAGGCGCTCAATTGTATAACATTTATATTTAATATATATTTAATAATATATAGTAAAGTATTAAAATGCCAATTTTAAGTCTTTTCACTTTCTTCTTAAAAACAGAGGTTTTATTGCGTTTGGTCCACAGTCGGTATTTCACATTATCTCATAGCGTAGGGCCCCTGGGGGGAGGGCTCTGCGCAGTACTTGGCGTGGCCTGGGGCCGGGGGAGATAGAGCAGTAGACCTGGTCAGGCCCGGAAGGGGAGAAGGAGGGCCGGGACTCCTTAAGACCTACTGAAGGGCTGGGCGCGGTGGCTCACGCCTGTCATCCCAACACTTTGGGAGGACGAAACAGGCGGATCACATGAGCGCAAGAGTTCCAAACCAGCCTGGCCAACATGGTGAAATCCCGTCTCTACTAAAAATACAAAAAATTAGCCAGGCGTGGTGGTGGGCGCCTGTAGTCCCAGCTATTCTGGAGGCTGAAGCAGGAGAATCGCTTGAGCCCGGTAGGCCGAGGTGCAGTGAGGCAAGATTACTCCAGTGCGCTTCAGCCTGGGCGACAGAGTGAGACTCCATCTCAAAAAAACAAAAACAAACAAAAAACCCTACTGAGGGCCACGGAGGTGGGGGAGCTAGGATGGAGATGGCTCAGGCTTAACCCTGACAACTCAAAATTCCACTACCTTGTACGGGCCTCAGTTTCCTCACGGGGCCCCAGCGTAGGTCTGAGGTCTGTTGGTCTGAGGGTCCTAGGGAAATCCAGCCACTCAGGAGCCTGAGATATTTTAGCATCGTGGCTGGGCCCCCTCTCCCAGGGGACTCATTTCCTAGCACCCTCTCCACTGTCCCCGCCCCATTCCTCGGGGAAAAAAATTTTTTTTTTATTTTGTTAATACTTCCTGAAACTTTTGCAGGTACAGAAACCACTTACTGATAGGCTGAGAAAAGGGGGAAGAGGAGAGGCAACCAGAAACCTTCAGGGACCCGTTCCCTCCATATCCAGGTCTCTTCTCTCCAGCACAGCTCAGCCCACAGCCTGGACATGCCAGCGGGGACCTTCACCCTACACGCATCAGGATACGGCCTTGATCCCTTCCGCCACAGCCCGGTGGCTCAGTCCTGAGAAGGAAGCAAAGCAAGGGGAGGTGGGGAAAAAACCCTGCTGCCTGATCCCACGCTGCCACTCAGACCCTCAGTTGACTGGCAGCACTGAACAGCTTAAAAAAAAAAAGATGAAAACACAGAAAAACCCAAACACCCACAAGGGGAGACCATGTGTGGAGAGAGCGTGCTGGGAGCCTCAGTAGCCGGTCTCCTCCTGGTGGTAAGGGAGATATTCAGGGGCCTCCCCTGGCCCCGGGAAGTCACCGGAGCCCGAGGGAGCGCCATGGGCCACTGGGCCTCCCCAGTAGTACTTGGGGTCGTATATCTGTGGGCCCAGGCCGAAGGCCTGGCTGCTCTGATGAGCGCCCTGACTGTATCCCATCTTCAGGGACATGGAGGAGTTGTCACACTTGTCGATTCCCAGCTTGGTGTCATAGATGTACTCATTCCTCCTATCTAGCTGTAAGTTTGTATTTGTTAACCAACCTCTCCCTGTCCTCTCCTCCCTGTTGCTCTCCCCAGCCTATAATAACCAGAATTCTACTCTCCACTTCCATGAGCTCAGTTCGTTTTTTTTTAGCTCCCACATATGAGTGAGAACATGCAAGATTTATAATTCTGTGCCTAGGTTATTTCACTTAATATAGTCTTCCAGCCTGATCCATGTTGCAGCCAAGGACAGGATTTCATTATTTTTACGGCTAAATAGTACTCCACTGTGAATAGATACTACATTTTTAATCTATTATGTTTTTGGACATTTAGGTTGATTCTAAACTTGGCTACTGTGAATAGTGGCTGCTATAAACATGAGGGTGCAGGTATCTCCTAAATATGCTGATTTCCTTTCCTGTAGATAAATGCCACGTAGTGGGACTGCTGGAAAAAGAAAAAATTCTTTTTCTTTAAACCTGATCATGTCTGTCCTCATAAATGCATGTTACACCCATCTCTCGCCATCAATGCCACCCCACCCCGAGCAGTTTTTCACTCTTCTCTTCCCTCGTTCTCTGCACCCCGTGTGCCTCCATACCCCAGCCTCAGGCCTTTCTATACCACTTCCCATTTGAGGCACTGTGTTTTTATTCAACTTTGGTACTGTCCTTTGAGAATCTTCAACGTGATTTGGATATGGCACTTTTTATCAGGATGTTACGTCAGAGTTGATAAATTCAAAGTAATATCGTTCTTTTTCCTGCCAAAGTCAGCTCCTCCTTTCCACTGCACTTTCCTGCCGATGCCACCACTCTTTCTCCTGTTGTGTAGGGAGAACACAGGTCACCTCCCTGGCATGAAATGTGCAGGTGCTCAATAAAGATTTGTTGAGTACATGAATGAATGTTCTTAGAGGACACCCTTGTACCTGGACTGGTCATTACATAGGTGTAAGTTTTATTCTCTAAAAGGGGTGAGTGAGAGTTTATACTAAGGTTGTAAGCATCCCTCAGGGCAGACTCTGGATATATAATACAGAACTGCTGAACTTGTGGAATGTGCATGTTTAATACTGAAAATATTTAATGTCACATGTGTAAGACTTTTGCCAACTGGAATCTGAACATCAACAACTTTGAAGGGCTTATTGTACCTTCTCAGCACAAAAATACTTTCTACGAATACACAAATTTATGTGCAAACGTATAGAAAATTGACTTTAAAGTGTACAACAAATTTATTTTAGCAATTGGGCCTGGGGCACCTAGAAGGAGAATGAGATTGGAGTGGTAGGGGTGGAACATTAGCTAATAATGCTTTATTTTATTAAAAGTAATTACTGAAAACCAATGCAATAAAATATTAACATGTTAATTGAAGGGATTGGGAGTATAGTGCTTATATTCTTCTTTACATGTTTTAATATCTTTAAAATTCCTTTTTTTGCTTTTCGTAAGGAAGTCACAGTTTAATTGGCAGTATATCTCTAATGGTACATGAAATAATGTCTGATTTCTAAACATTGACATTCTACATTAGATGAAATATATTAACTATTAAGCTTTGATATTACACTATAAAATTAATTGAAGAAAGCCACCCCTCTTTTTTCTTTTTTTTTTTAGTTATTATGTGCCCCATATGATCTGCAGGAATTTTTTTACTAGGCTTTGATCATTTTAAATAAAATCAGAATTTGTTCAAGTTCAGTTAACACTCAGCTGTGAACCCTATGGTACTGGGGTCTTTTTCAATGGGAGATCTCTAAGCATTATTCCAGATTATTCTATGCTAATTGATCTATTAATAATTTATAATATATTAGGAAATACATTAAATTTCTTAAAAAGAAAAAGGAAAGAAGTAAAGGGAAACATTTATTACAATTTAAATAAAGGAATTAGCAGTTGAAAACAAGAAAACCTGTTCTGAGCATCCATACTTCTCGGCAACCAAAACAATCAATGAAATCAATGCATTGGGTTAAACAGTTCCCAATTGCCCACTATGTTACCAGGAGAAAAAAACCCTTTATCATAGGGTTAAACTTCGGGAAGGATTTTCCATAAGGATCTTAATATAAAGGTTCTTGAATGACATAATGTATAAGGTCTTTGATAGCAACGCTACCCACAGGGCAAAGATGTTTTACTAGTCCTGTTGGTGTCTCAAATTGGCTCTCGGTAAGTAATCTGGACATATCGTGAAATTATAATTCTGTGTAGACAATTCGACTTACCAGGTTAGAGTGATGCAATCCAAATAGATGGCTTTCTTCTGATCTCGCTTAACAGAAATCTTGAAAAATCTGGAAAAGTAAATGTTTAATATACCCTCAGTTCTCAACCATTCTTCTTCCCCTGAAAGACAACATCACAGGCAGGACATCCTCCCAAGGGTACATGCAATATTATGTACAGTTCCCACGTGAGAAAGCACATCATAATCTTAGTGAGAATGATGTTCTCATAAGGTCAGTTATACTCAGTGTGCATAGTTGTCCAAGTGTGAGTATGAAACCAAGTCATTCGCAAGTACCACTAGTCTGATTATTAGTAATAATAATCCACTTGTGACATAGTTTTTCTTTGCTGAAATAAAATATTGTTTTGACACCATGGTTGAAATGTTGGTCTTAGGTCAATGCTCTCTATTATCTGTTGTTGTTGCCAAGCCTTTGAGAGGTGTTTTATGTGGGGCAAAATGTCCCTTCCTGTGTCTTTGGTCAAAGCAAAGGAGGAGTACAGATGACTGAGAGAGTGATCATGCTGCTGTGCTCACCTATGCGGTAGACCTTGTTCCTGGGTTGGGAGATGTTTTGTGATCAGGGTGCAGTAGAAAGAGCACACTAGTAGCAGTAAAGAGAGGTGACCCTGGCTGCAGTTCTGCCTCTAACTTCCTGAGTGACCTCAGGCTAGTCACGCAGTGACTGCTCCCCGCATTTCTTTTTGTAAGCTGCAAGGATTGAATCAGACAATAGCCTCTAAGTTTCTTCTGAACTCTCATACTCAGGGATGCCAACGATGTTGGTAATAAAATAATATGAACATGCCAAAAAAATAAAAATAAGGAAGAGAAGTAGGTATGTAACTTTACTCTGGGACTCCTATGGTATCTCACAACACCATGCTTCATGAACCCCAGAGAAAGCAAAAAATCCAGCTAGTGTTATAAATCCTGATCAGCTGAATTCTTTCACATGTTGCAGGCTGACTCAAGTTATTCATCGCAGAGGCCAGCAGCTCCCTGATGCATCCTTCCTTGTCTCTGGACAGGGTAAAAATAAGAAATTGGCCATTGTGAGACACTCTGAGTTTTGTGGGATTGAGCAGAGCATATTTTATATTCTTCTCTTGGAACTGCCTCTTGTTGGTAGTAAATGGTTGCCAGCACTGTTGTTTCTCAATAGACAAGTCCTAGAAATAAAGATAATTCAATTTTCATTCACTCTTAGCTCTTCTGCTACCAGTGTTCTTCTTTGACACTGACAGGGCTGCACCTGTCTTCCTGGCCTGACATAGCACTTGTGTGGTTTGCCACTTGCCAGAAAATCCATGAGTCATTCTAAAGACCTTTTGCCCAGCAGAGACCACTCCAATGAGCACAAATTGTCTAGTGGTTTTTTTTAGATGGTCTTCCTCCTTGGCTCATTTCTCTCCAAGAACGAAGATATCAAGGTGTTCATTTAACAGCAGCTCGTGAAAGACAATCCAGCTTGGTTTAAATCTTTAAAGGTTTTCATTATAATAGAAAATATAATAGCAAGAGTAGCATCCTCTGTTACATTGAAATTAAATTACAATTCTTTCACTGTTGGGGTGGCAAGTATAATTCCTATCACTTCTTTGGAAAGCAATACAACTTACTAAAGATCACCAAAATGTTTATACTTTTTGGAACCAAAAACCTCACTGAAAAAAATTTATTCCAGGAGTATGATTCAACAGAAAAAAAAAAACCAAGTAATATACATGTGCATGTTTCTCCCTGTGAAAACAACAGCACAGAATTTACTAGACAAGTTTTGAAACAGTTGGCTATGTGGTAACATGGAACAACATTCTCCTATAATGTTGAAGGATAAAAGCTTAGAGAATAGAGTATATTCTATGACTGCAACTATGAAAGAAAACATAGATCTACATAGGGACAAAGATGATAAACATGCGAAAACAGGTGTTAGATTCATGGATTATGTGTATTTTTCCTGCATTCAGATTTATCTTTATTATTGCTTTTTTATGTTCCCCTCTCCTCCCCCCAAAAAATCCTAAAGATCTTGAATATGCCCCTATCAGTATTTAACATTTCTTCTGAAACTGAGTCTAGATACTCAATCTGCTCCAGTTTTTTGAACAAGATGAGTAGCAAAGTTATTCTTTCCATTTTTTTGTTTGTTTTTTGTTTTTTTTACAGCCAGACACAGGTCTTGAATTGTACAGCTGACTTCTTTGTTTGGGATACGTTACTTTCAATCATTTTCCTGATCCTCTGCATGATTTACAGAAGCCGAGTGGGAGGCTTTAGCATTTCCATGGTCCTCCTTCTCCACTATCATGAGATTCTTAGGTGAATTTTTTTTAGAGCCATTATTCTCCATTTATAAAGGCAGAATGCAGTGGCAGGAGCTGGGACTCTGGGAAACCAACAGCCAAGAATTCAAACTACAGCATACTATGAAACACTCAGATAAGATGTCCCCATCATATTCTATTATTGGGCAAAATAAAATGTAAACCATGTGCTCAAAACAGCAAATATTGTGGGTGACAGTGACACTGGTATTCGGAAAGATGAAGAAATGCAATTAAGAAACCTGACAAAGAAGTAAACATGCCATGTAGCTTACAAAAGACCAGCCACATTGTGTGTATTTTAATATTGTTTAACAGTAACACCTAATAAAGAGAGCATCATGATTGTGTGAACTCATTTTCGGTCATAATGAATGCTACAAAATTAACCTCCCGAGTTTAAATAGGCTACAACGTCTTGGGAAATATGCAAGAAGAGTTATTTGATAAAGGTGACAGATTTTCACACCTGAAAATAATGTTTTTCTCCCAGCCTATCTTGATCAACAGCCAGCAGCAACACATTGCAGATATAATCTCAAGACCTTGTGGCATGTACTTCTCACTACATGCATAACTTACTATGGACAGAGGATCATGGAGATTTTGAATATAATTTCCCACATGACAGGAGATTAAATAGACCACATTGGAAGAAGCTAGGTCTCTGGAGAACCAAAAAGTAAACTTCAGCCAGTTCTGGAAGCAGATAAACAGCAAGAAATATACTTTCAGATGGGCTACTTTCTCAATAGTTCTTTCTCGCAAGAGCTCTAGGGAAAGTACGAGTTACTGGGTAAGAATGTAATAGAAAAGGGGCCAGCCTTGGAAAACTTTGCAATGGAAGAAAATCAGTGTCTCCTCATTTACACCTTTCTTTCTCCTCTTCCTTTGTAATGCCACCTTTCTTGGGATATTCCTTCCCCTAGAATACCCTGCCTGTCACCCCACGAGAACCTGCTCTTGAGACTGCATTTCTAATACCTATAATGAGATGTTATGTCAATGCCTTATCTTTCAGTGTGTGTATATACATATTAAGCTTTCTGTCTATGTTGTGCTTTCTCATGCAGAAATATCAGACATTAATGAACCAGTAAAGAAGATACTGAGGTGCAGAAGAGCTTTCCCAGTGTCCCAGGAGCCATTCTACACAGCATCCTACAGAATGACTGTGGATCTGCTGTGCTTAGTTTCTTTACTTGTGAAAACAGAGTAATAGTAGCACCTACCTCACAGGGTTGTTCTGAAGATTAGAGGGGTTCTTTCATGGGAAGTTCTAGAGCAGTGCTTGAGACATGGTAAGTGCTCAACATGTGTTCATTATTATTATTATCAATATTTGATGTAAAAGCCTTTCTGAAAGAAATCACACAAGAACATGATCAGTTAAAAGATATATATGAATGAAAGTATGTTTGGCGCTGTCACAACACAGAGTGGCATAATGGTTAGGAACATAGGCTTTGGAAGTCAACCTTCTGTGCTCAAAGCCTAGTGTCACCACACAGCCATTGTGGGACACTGGGCCTCAGATTTCTAGCCTGAAAAATGGGGGAACAATGTCTGTCATATAAAGTTGCTGTAAAGATCAAACTAGATAAGAAATGTAAAATACTCAACAGTGCCTGACACAAAATAAACACCAATTAATGGTAGCAGGAAGAAAAGAGCACTCTTCACCAACATTTTACCTTCAGAAATTGGTTAAGAAGAAATGAGTGCTTAGGAACCTTCCTGTTAGAGCTGGGAACACAAATAACCCCAAGATATGACCCAACTGAGAAATGAGACACGAGAGTCAGCAGGTCTCAGGACTAGAGAACATATCATAGATCTGGGGCCAAGGGGACCTCCCAATACCCCAGTCTTGAATTAGCCAGATGTGCCTTTCAGTCCTTGGCTGAGCTGGACTGAGGCCTCCTCCAAAGGGAGAAATAAATGCACATCCTGAAGAGAGCTGACTCTGAAAGAGAGAGAAACCCACAGAGGCTGAGTTTCACCAGTACAGCTACTTTCAAGCACATTCCTCAGTTAAGTCATTTCTCTTCCCAAGGGGAGGACTGAATGAACTTATGGTGAGAGGCCGAAAGCTTTTCTCCTTTATTTTTCCCTCATGGGAGAGGATGGAAGTGCTATCCTTTCTGTGGGAACCTGCAGACTATGGACGTTTCCCCCAGCAGTTGGCATTGACTGATTTATCTGCATGTTTCTCTGTTCACATCCTCTATATGAAGAATCGAAGTGGGAATAGCCCACCAAGTAATCTGATAGTACCAAAGCACTATTCTAGTTTTGTATAATTTTTAAGTCTCTTCTTTAAATTTTTTTTTTTTTGCAGACTCCATCCCAGACACAGCATACCAGAGTCTCCAAAGGGCTAAGCTCAGCAATCTATTCTCAAGCTCCCAACAGGAGTCTTATATAGTCAGGCAGGCAATGATCATATATGGGGACCATTAGAAATAATCTAATGCATACCCTCTGAACTTCAAATTTTTAGTATTCTCATTTTCTGCTCAAGCTCAATTTCAACACAGTTCACAGTTTCTCATATCCACCATGGCATTCTGCCAAGGAACTACAACTCGTGTTCTCTAAACCCATCTGTTCTAAGAATGCTGGGCTGGTTATCAATTTCTAATGTACCTGCTTAAACTTTCCTCTCTCAATGTGTCCCTGACTGAACTGCAGAAGACAGAACAACTGTACTAGCCATCTCTTTCTGCATATCCCATGTCCCCACAGAGGCCACTATGTCTTCATAAAGCTAACTGCCACGATTTTCACAAGTGATATTTTTCCTTCATGATTTTCCATTTTCTACTTGAGCATTAAAATACCAGGGAGAAAAGGAAGATAATCGTTTAGCAGCTGGGAAAACAAGATATGTGCCCCAGCACAGTACATGCTAAGTATTCAGAATGTATAGTTATAGTAGATAACTATAAATTAGATAACTATTAAAATAGTTATATTAGATAAGTAATATTTTTCTCATCTTCAAGACTTAAAAAGTTAACTGTTTTAAGTGGTATTCAAAAAAGGAAGGTACTCACTCACATCAACCCAATTAAAACCACATTTCTATAGCTGGATGTAACAATCTTAATCCAAATCATTCACCAAAGTTGTTTAACTTTCTTAAAGTAAGGCTCTAGACATTTGCTTCTTTACAAGTATCTTGCAAAGCCATTATGGGGTAGAAGAAAAGTTTAAATGCACCACATTTTCCTACTGCATTGTAACTAAAATTACTACTCACAGGACGTGTATAGCTTCTGCATTTTGGTCCATCACATTTTCCACCATCAAATGAGTGTACTCTTAAGGTTCTCACTTTATCATCAGCATAACATATTTTGCTTCCAGAATGCCCAGTAAAGCTGAAATTTTTCATTTAAAGTGATAAAAAAAGTTCCCCAGATATCTACTTAACAATTTTAGGTCTGAGTTTTAGCAAGACAGTTTAATGCATACACAATGAAAACACTATATTTCTCACTCTCTCTCACACGCACAGATTAAAACCCCAAAGTTTTCACTATATTTCCTCTTTCTTATACAGCTCAATTTTTAACATGCAGCTTCCTTATAATCTAAAAATAATTTTAATATGATTATCATAAAAAATATTTTAAAACAGAGATGAAATGTATAAAGGCAGATATAGATCATCCATCGTTACATTGGTTACATCACATTTCTTTAGAAACAGAACTGTTTCTACTCCTGTAGACAAAATTTTCTCTCACACATTTAAAGTGAGGTTAGTGCTGACATAAAATTATCGCTCTACTCACCGTCTGAGTGTTTGCACTGTGTTTGAAGTACGTTTTCTTCATTTTCACAGCCCCACCACTCTTGAGAGTATGAGTCAACAGAAGTTTGCAGGCTAAAACCATTCAATAATATTTTCATCAATACTGGAATGATAGTAAGTAACATTACACAACATCAGAGGCCAAAAATTTTTCTTTGTTGAAGCCCAAGATTTTAACTTATTCTTCATTACCTGAAAATACTGCTCATTTAACCTCTTTAGGAAAAAAAAAAATATTCTGTAGATGAATAATTCCTGCCTTAATGCTTCACCCAAGACAGTTCCTTCATACTTATCCTCCGACGCTTTGTTCTTTTCATCCATTTGATGTAGCAGGCAACAAGAATCACCTTTCCTTTGGTGATCTGACATAGCGATCTCTTATGTTTTTGCTAATTGTTTGATAAATATTTAGTAAAATTTTCCACGGTATGTATGCACTGTTTTTTGTAGTTCCAATTCTAAAGGTTTTATTCATGAATGAACATTGTCATCCTAAAAGAACAATTTCTCAGTGCTTCATAAACAGCTCTAAATGCTGGTTGCTTATCATCATAGTAAACACCTCTGTTCCCGTGAAAAATAAAGATTCCTTCTTCTGCTTCTTGGCAACTGCTTCCATATAGACAATGATCTGGATGACACTTCCATTGACACGGAAAGACAAAAAGCCTTTCTGGATTATGAAAAAACATGATATCCAACAGATCTTGATCGCCCATGTAATGTTTAACTTGTACATTTTAAGCCATGTCATAAGTATATCTCCTCATTGTAGTCACACAGTTGTCATATTATTCTTGAAATACTTCCTTCTCATTCAAGTCATGTTTGTCAACATAACTCCAGAGTTTACTCCAGCTTTTCCACAGTATGGATGCCTAGCAAAGCGACTATACCATCCTATTTGACGTTCCTTGTGTTCTGGGGCCATTGCAGAATTTGTGTGGAATTAAATTTCTTTAGTAAAGACCAAATATTATCAGCTGGTCTTTTAAAAAGGCTATCAGTGTGAGAGTCAACTTCTTTCAGGAATAACGGCAAGGACAATCTCTGCAAACCACATGGTTTAAAGAGTTTTTCCACTCTACTGCATTCTCACTTGGAAAGGTTATGGAGTATATTGTATAATTAAATATTTGTAGAAATGACCCCTGTCAAGCCTTCCTTTAAAGCTATGATGTAGTTGATCTTCAGCAAAAATCTGGAATTGAAGAGGTTTGATCCTGAAAATAATAGCTGACTTCAACATCGTCATAGTTTCTTCCAATCTTTCACCTAGATGCATTTTCTCAACAGGCTGTATTTTCAGACTACACCTGTCCCACCTGCCGGGATGCGCAGCGGGACCAGCGCTGCCCGCGCCTCTCACCGCACTGCATCCGCCTCCCGCCAGCCAGGAAGCCACTGCGGCCTGAGGCTTCCCGCCACCACCGCGCGCGCCTTCCTCCGGGGACATGGGGAGCTGGCTGAAGGCGTAAAGGAGCGAGCAGAAGCCTCAGGCCAGACACAGCGCCACCACGCGCGGTAGCGCCGCATGGCCCCAGCCGCGTTCCTCGGTCTCCGTCTCCGCCGCGCCCGCCTGGCGAACTGGAGCACAGGGACTATAGTTCTGGAAATTTATCCTTTTTCTCTCCATGGATTCAGCAGCAGTGTCTAAAAGAAAAAAATTCATCCATCAATCATTTATATATGTTTTAATATAAAGATAAAACACTGCGAACCAGTGGAACTGGATAGAAAGTAATTCAGTTTTACAGAACACATCTGTTTTTCAGGCACTTACTTTTCTTAAACATAAAAGAGCAATATATATTTCTGTGGAATTCCCCTTTAACTTAAGAATTCATTATCAGCCAATTAGTTTAACGAGGCTGTTTTGTTAGAGGCTGTGGTTGCATTCAAAAATTAGAATAGGAACAACGACTTGTAAAAATTCAACACTTAATTTTATTTTTGAGACAGAGTCTCACTGTGTTGTCCAGGCTGGAGTGCAGTGGCTTGATCTCAGCTCACTGCAACATCTGCCTCCAGGGTTCAAGCCATTCTCCTGCCTCAGCCTCCCGAGTAGCTGGGATTACAGATTTGTGCCACCATACCTGGCTAATTTTTGTATTTTTAGTAGAGAAGGGGTTTCACCATGTTGGCCAGGCTGGTCTCGAACTCAACTTCAGGCGATCCTCCCCCCTCAGCCTCCCAAAGTGCTGGGAGTACAGGCGTGATTTAACATTTTAACATTTTAAACTACCACTTACTATATTCACTGTGTCTGTGATTTAACATATATTTTTCAGTGGCCACAAAATTATAAAATGGATACAGAATAGTCTCTTCAAAAAATTAAGGAAGTTCTTTCTTTTTCTTTTTTTTTTTTTTTTTTGTGTGTGTTTGAGACGGAGTCTTGCTCTGTCGCCCAGGCTAGAGTGCAGTGGCCCGATCTTGGCTCACTGCAACCTCTGCCTCCCGGGTTTAAGGAATTCTCTGCTTCAGCCTCCCGAGTAGCTGGGATTACAGGCGCCCGCCACCACACCCAGCTTATTTTTTTGTGTTTTTAGTAGAGACGAAGTTTCACCATCTTGGCCAGACTGGTCTTGAATTCCTGACCTCATGATCAGCCCGCCTCGGCCTCCCAAAGTGCTGGGATTACAGGCGTGAGCCACAGCGCCCGGCCGGAAGTTCTTTCTTCTTAAAAGGATTATAAATATAATTCGTACTGGCATGACACTTTTACTAATATAGATTGACTTTTTGCTTCAAATAACCCATTCGTACATCAAAACTAATTTTGGTCAGTATGTGTGTGTGTGGATGTATGTGTGTGTGGATGTGTGGATGTAAATGGCAGTAAAAGGTAAAAGGGAAGGTGGAAAAAAGGGAGATGGTCTAACATTTTCCACACATTTTTACACATTTTTTAAATACACAAAAGATATGTAGTAAAACAATGGTGTGGTGAAAACAAAATATTGCGAACTAGAAAAAAGACTTAGCTTCCGGTCCTGTGGGATCCGCCCCGCGGTGGCGCCCTCCAGCCGTAAGCTCCACGCGTTCAACAAGGGCCCCTCCTACAGGCTCTTGGCGGACGTCCAGAACAGGCTTCTGTTCAAATATGACTCCCAGAAGGAGGCAGAGCTCCGCAGCTGGATCAAGGGATTCACTGGCCTCTCCATCCGCCCCGACTTCCAGAAGGGCCTGAAGGACGGGATTATTTTATGCACACTCGTGAACAAACTGCAGCCGGGCTCAGTCCCCAAGATCAACGGCTTCCGTGTAGAACTGGCACCAGCTAGAAAACCTCTCCAACATCCTCAAGGCAATGGTCAGCTACGGCATGATCCCGTGGACCTATTTGAGGCCAACGACCTGTTTGAGAGTGGGAACAATATGCAGGTGCGGGTGTCTCTTCTCGCCCTGGCAGGGAAGGCCAAGACTAAGGGGCTGCAGAGCGGGGTGGACATCCGTGACAAGTACTCAGAGAAGCAGAACTTCAACGACACCACCATGAAGGCCAGGCTGTGCGTCATCCGGCTGCAGATTACCAACAAATGTGCCAGCCAGTCAGGCATGACCGCATACGTCACGAGGAGGCATCTCTACGACCCCAAGAACCGCATCCTGCCCCCCATGGACAACTCGACCATCAGCCTCCGGATGGGTACAAACAAGTGCGCCAGCCAGGTGGGCATGACGGCTCCCGGGAACCAGTGGCACATCTATGACACCAAGTTGGGAATCGACAAGTGTGAGAACTCCTCCATGTCCCTGAAGATGGGCTACACGCAGGTCGCCAATCACAGCAGACAGGTCTTTGGCCTAGGCCGGCAAATATATGAACCCAAGTACCAGCCGGGTGGCCCAGTGGCCCACGGGGCTCCCTCCGCCGGCAACTGCCCAGGGCCAGGGGAGGCCCCTTAGTACCAGGAGGAGACCAGCTACTGAGGCTCCCAGCACGCTCTCTCCACACATGGTCTCCCCGTCTGGGTGTTGGGTTTTTCTGTGTTTTCATCTTTTTTTTTTTTAACCTGTTCAGTGCTGCCAGTCAACCGAGGGTCTGTGAGCGGCAGCGTGGGATCAGGCAGCAGGGTTTTTTCCCCCACCTCCCCTTGCTTTGGTTCCTTCGCAGGACTGAGCCACCGGGCTGTGGGGGAAGGGATCAAGGCCGTATCCTGATGCGTGTAGGGTGAAGGTCCCCGCTGGCACTTCCAGGCTGTGGGCTGAGCTGTGCTGGGGAGAAGAGACCTGGGCATGGAGGGAACCAGTCCCTGAAGATTTCTGGTTGCCTCTCCTCTTCCCCTTTTTGTCAGCCGATCAGTTTGTGGTTTCTGTACCTGCAAAAGTTTCAGGAAGTATTAACAAAAGAAAGAAAATTTTTTTCTTCTCCGAGGAATGGGGCGGAGACAGTGGAGAGGGTGCTGGGAAATGAGTTCCCTGGGAGAGGGGGCCCAGCCACGATGCTAAAATATCTCAGGCTCCTGAGTGGCTGGATTTCCCTAGGACCCTCAGACCAACAGACCTCAGACCCTCAGACCTATGCTGGGGCCCGGTGAGGAAACTGAGACCCGTACAAGTTAGTGGAATTCTGAGTTGCCAGGATTAAGCCTGACCCCTCTCCATCCTAGCTCCCCCACCTCCGTGGCCCTCAGTAGGGTTTTTTGTTTGTTTTTATTTTTGTTTTTTTTGAGATGTAGTCTCACTCTGTCGCCCAGGCTGAAGCGCACTGGAGTAATCTCGCCTCACTGCACCTCGGCCTCCCAGCTTAAGCGATTCTCCTGCCTCAGCCTCCAGAGTAGCTGGGACTACAGGCACCCACCACCACGCCTGCCTAATTTTTTGTATTTTTAGTAGAGATGGGATTTCACTATGTTGGCCAGGCTGGTCGGGAACTCTTTCCCTCATGTGATCCGCCTGTTTCGTCCTCCCAAAGTGTTGGGATGACAGGCGTGAGCCACCGCGCCCAGGCCCTCAGTAGGTCTTAAGGAGCCCCGGCCCTCCTTCTCCCCTTCCGGGCCTGACCAGGTCTACTGCTCTATCTCCCCCGGCCCCAGGCCACGCCAAGTACTGCACAGAGCCCTCCCCCCAGGAGCCCTGCACTATGAGATAATGTGAAATACCGACTGTGGACCAAACGCAATAAAACCTCTGTTTTTAAGAAGAAAATGAAAAGACTTAAAACTGGCATTTTAAGACTTTATTATATATTATTAAATATATATTAAATATAAATGTTATACACTTTAGCGCCTCTATCTCCCGGTCTCTGATTAGGAGCTTAACTTTCCTAAGCCTCAATTAGTAAACACTTCTGGCCTAGCCACGTTGACCCGCCTCTCTCCTAACATCATCCATTACATTTCAGAAGCGCATGCAAAACTCTCCCACCTTCTGTTTCAACAGATATGTCAACTGATACAATTATACAATAATTGTATAAGATAATATTAGATTTAATCTCACAATCACACTCAGCTTGATTACTAACCCTTCTCTTACATCTTGCTCACCTAAATTTATCTACATTTTCTGTGAATTGAAATAGCTTAGAAATGTATGCCATCTGTGTATTATAGTGTAAGTTATTGTAATATAGAAATATGGACTTTCTTTAACTCCCATTTGCTGCCTAGGAAATACCAATATTTTTTGAGCATGGCAAGTGTTTCCAAGCATTCAGAAGTGGAGAGTGTAGGAAATCCACTGCAGAATGAGGTCTGCTTGTCATCCTCTCAGTCTCAACTGCTCTCCCTCCTTCATCTCTCTCTGTTTCATTGATGAGTATAGAAGATCAGGCATTTTTATATGAAATGAAAATTGATGGAACTAAGGTGTTGATTTGCATATCCAACCAACGATTTATTGAGTGTCCATTACAAGTTAAATTGTGTTGTAGAGAACAGCTCAGGAAACGAATGCTTGACATTGATGTTCATAACAGAAATACAAACATGCCATTAAAAAATCAGACCTCTTATGAGCATCCAGATTCTCATGTAAATTTTGTGAAGCTCTTTCAAGATAAGAATGTAAAATTTCAAAAAAAACATTTTCACAAGTCATTCTTGAGACAGAAAAGTGGAAATAGAAGATCATATATGGTTGTTTCACTAGCTCAAAACTTAAGTACAGTTTTTAGTCAATTGAGAGCCATATCATTCTTATTTTATATGCTGTTATTCATTAGAAACTACAAATTTTAAAAAATATTCGTCTCATTCTACGAATCAATCTAAACATTTCATTCATTTGGTTATATTTCTTCATTTTACCTGGTCTTGAATACTTCTTTCCTGCCCAGCATTAAATTTAATTAATGTCTAATTTGTTTACTTGGTTTAGTTACTTTTGGCCACGTTCAGTACACTTGTTATGAAGCAGGCATGTAGGAATGTTGACAAGTTTATGGTCCTCACTCTTCCAAATCCCAAATGGCAGCACCCCAACAGACACATACCACAATGTAAACTCATACACATACACACACACACAATCCACACCCACCCATACTCACCCACCTACACACAGACACACACACACACACACACACACTCCAGTGGACCAACACATGAAACACTCCACAGGCAAAGACATTATCCATCAGTGCACTACACACTTCTGTAAATTATCAGGACTCCTCAATTGAGGTGAGTCTACAGAGATTTCAAAGGCTATTTGAGTGCTAAGCTATCTAACTACTGGTTGGACACTATTTAAATAATGCGTTAAACACAACTCTTGAGGCTCTGAAGAATTTCTATGCTTTCCAATGAACCAGGAGTTACAAGGTCCTGAAAACCACAAGTGTGTTACATCCTTTAATAGATAAAGCAAAGCTGATATTAATGTGAATATACTTTATATTTACTTCTATTCGTGTTAATTTTTCTTTGCCTGTAATATACATTTTCATATAACGGGGAATAAGAAACATCTTAGGAAAAAGAAAACAAAAAATAAAATTTTGCTGTTTACACTGTGCCTTGGTCCAGTAACCCTGCACTGCACATATACACTTTAAATTGGTGTCTTGGGGAACCACTTCGGTATTTCATTTTAATAGTGCATCCTGGAGAATATATTTGAGTGGATCACATATTACAACTGATTTAAATTTTGACCCATATAGAAATAAGTTTTCAAAAATATGTCTGAAGCCTGGATACTGTAAAAATGTTTATCATCATAGAAAAATAAAAGGTTAGCCATTAGTTACTCAGAAATTGTTCAGTAAATCTAAGACAACTTAGACATAAATAGTTATGAGTGAATATAGTTCATTATTAATGTTTGTAAAAATTAATGCTGTCTTTTATGGTTGAGTAAAACTAGAAATGTAACTTAATTTGATAGAGATAAATGACATAAACTTTACATAAAGCAAGAGAATAATAGATGTGTAAAAATGTTTTATAGATAAGATTTTAAGATGAAATTGTGCTAAATAACATGAATCAAATGTGTTTTGCATACTACATCTGCAGCTACAACATCACAGCCTTTTAAGTATTTCATTAACTTCAAAATGTAACTTATTGCTGAAACAATATGATTTAATGAATTGAGATAACGGGTAATGATTGGTGTCAGCTGAAAGCAATGCTACACTTTTAAAGTTAGATTTCTTTGTGTATTAATACAAACACCAGAGAAGATGGTCAATAAAGTAATTACTGTACAATGACTATCATAATACTTAAACCTGGAAGAAAATCAGTAAATGTTAAGTGAATAGAATTGGTGAATTGCTTCCATTTTATACAATTTTTTGTTCATTTTAGGGCTTACCAAAACTTGCAGCTCTGAATAAGGCCCAATTATTTACTCCTTCAAATAAAACAAGGCTGCAAGAATAAGTGTGAATGCTTTGTTTTGTTTTGTTTTTCACTGAAATATTCCAGTCTGTACCTGCTCCAAATCACACTGATCTTTCTAGAGTCTGATACAGGTCCTGGTCTCAAGGCCAGTGTTACCATAATCACCATCTTTTGTGCTTCAAGGTTGAGCCCTCCTAATTTACCTGCATGAAATTGGAAAAGTCCCATTTCATACTTTAAGCAACCCAGATGTCTCTTTCACTGAAAGTGGTATTCTTCTTGTGTGTGTGTTTTTTTTTTGCAGCAAATGATGTCAACTTCTACCTACACCTGACATCTCAATTAACTTTTGACATTTTCTTCTTCACATTTCCATTTCAAATCACCAAGTATTGTCAGATTTTACCTTCTCTCTATTTCTTGAATGAATTTTTCTCTTTCTATCTTCATTGCCATCATGGATTCCAGCCCATCACTCTCTCACCTGGGCTATGGTGAGAACCTCTAAAGTGCTCTCCCTGATTCTCTCTCCAAAAATGGTTCTGTGCTATATCTGGAATGATTACTTGAAATGCAAATACAATTTGCATTGTAAATTGCTTTGCTTAAAAACTCCCAAAGACTTCACGTTAGTACTAGGATAAATAGCAAGAGTCCAAAAATGGGTTCAAGCAGTACAAAATTTGTTTCCTTTCTCTTTCCCCCCTCTTGTGGCATGAACATTGTTGAACTAAATGATTCAGATATATTTCTTCTTGTCTCCTGGACTTTGGTCTTCTTATTCATATGCTTTTCCCACTACCATCCCAGGTTTATATAATTAGCTCTTACTGGGTTTTTTTTTTGTTTGTTTTTTTGAGATGGAGTCTTGCTCTGTTGCCCAGGCTGGAGTGCAGTGGTGTGATCTCAGCTCACTACAAGCTCCATCTCCCAGGTTCATGCCATTCTCCTGCCTTAGCCTCCAAAGTAGCTGGGACTACAGGCACCTGCCACCTCACCTGGCTAATTTTTTTTTTTTTTTGTATTTTTAGTAGAGACGGGGTTTCATGGTGTTAGCCAGGATGGTCTCGATCTCCTGACCTCGTGATTCACCTGCCTCAGCCTCCCAAAGTGCTGGGATTACAGGTGTGAGCCACCACATCCAGCCAGCTCTTACTCTTATTTTAGTTTGCTCTTCATCTTCCCCACGAAGGGAAGCCTTACCTGATATCCCTAAATATGAAAGGCTTTCATAACAGTGCATACCTTTTCTCTGTTATTTATAATATTGTTTTTAGGTTTTTATATTTTTATTACTATTTATAATAGATACATCTGAGCATGCTCTTTGATAATAAGTCTAATAAAGTTTTGATGCATTTAGTAATTCAGTACAAAATTGTTTTCCATAAGCCATGATTCTAGAGATTGAGGGGAAAGTGCAGTGGTAATCTGTCCCAAGTGGAAGGACAAATAGCCAAGCAATGTTGACCTACCCATTCATCTCTCAAAAACAGGGTTAAGATATTGATTCTCCTGTTTTCAGGATGAAGCAGGGACAGGGAGTTTCTTGTTATCCTCTCAACTCACTCTTTTTATGGAAAAAGTAATTAATCTGATAAATGACCCAAAAGATTTTGATGTTTAAGGTGGTGATTCCAAGAAGTTGAAATAAAAAGACTTCAGAGCCCATCTCTCTCAATCACTATCTTTGGTCTCTTGAGGATGCTTGTGCACAAAATAGGGAGCACCTATGTAAGAGCTGCATAGGCTGGCTCAGTCCGGCTACTGGTTTCATAAATCCAACTTTTCCAAGCATGATGGAATGTCAGAATCCCGTGAGCCAAAAGTTTTATGATGAGAGAGGAAGAATGATATTTTACTCCCCAACCTAATTTTAAAATTAAATTTTAAACAAAGTTAATAAAGTTAACAAACTTGAATACACACACACCCATGCATATACCCATGCACACGCACACAGGATTCTTGCATTCTTTTTTTGTTTAATCATTCATGAGAAATGGTTGGATTTTGTATTTTCTATCTACCAATACTTGCGCAAACTCTGGCTGCAAAACTTTTGTTGGTCAAACATTAGCATTTGGGAAACCACATCCCTGCTGAGAGATAGAAGATCTTGATACAGCCTTAACTACATCATCAGTAGACATGGGACTGTTTTTAACCAGAAGGAGGCAAATGGCTTCCAGATGGTTGTGTAGCTGGTTTTAACAGTAGCCTGCAGTGGCTTTTTGACAGACATAAACCTTACTAGTTATTATTAGGCTTCAGAGCATTAGTATGAAGTTTTAATTTGCTTATGTTAGGGATGAGAAGGTAGCACTATCCTAGATGCCCTAAATATTGCTCCTTGTCACTTTTCCCCCACTGAATTCAGAGGTAATCTGGGGACTGTGTCTAAAATGGTCTTATATTCATGTGTTTGCCATGGGTTTCTGAAGCTTTCATTCTGAACATGGTCTCAACTTGGCTCTTGAGGACTAATTTCATTACACATGATCATAGGCATAAATTTAAATTTGTGGAGAATTGTTTTGTACATCCCACATGAAGGGGTGACCTGCCCCTCCACACCTGTGGGTGTTTCTCATTGGGTGGGATGAGAGGCTGAGAAAAGAAAGAGACACAGAGACAAAGTATAGAGAAAGAAACATGGGCCCAGGGTACCGGCACTCAGCATATGGAGGATCCACGCTGGCACTGGTCTCTGAGTTCCCTCAGTATTTATTGATCATTATCTCTACCATCTCAGAGAGGGGGATGTGGCAGGGCAATAGGGTAATAGTGGGGAGAGGGTCAGCAGGAAAACATGTGAACAAATGTCTGTGTGCCATAAACAAGGTTAGAAAAGGTGCTGTGCTTTGAGGTGCACATACATAAACATCTCGGTGCATTAAAGAGCAGTATTGCGGCCAGCATGTCTCACCTCCAGCCTTAAGGCGGTTTTCTCCTTATCTCAGTTGATGGAACATACAATCAGGTTTTACACTGAGACATTCCATTGCCCAGGGATGAGCAGGAGACAGATGCCTTCCTCTTATCTCAACTGCAAAGAGGCCTTCCTCTTTTACTAATCCTCCTCAGCACAGACCCTTTATGGGTGTCTGGCTGGGGGATGGTCAGGTCTTTCCCTTCCCATGAGGCCATATCTCAGACTATCACTTGGGGAGAAATTTTGGACAATACCTGGCTTTCCTAGGCAGAGGTCCCTGCAGCCTTCCGCAGTGTATTGTGTCCCTGGGTACTTGAGATTAGAGAGTGGTGATGACTTTTAACAAGCAAACTGCCTTCAAGCACTTGTTTAACAAAGCACATCCTGCATAGCCCTAAATCCATTAAACCTTGAGTCAACACAGTGCATGTCTCTGCCAGCACAGGGTTGGGGGTAGGGTTACAGATTAACAGCATCTCAAGGTAGAAGAATTTTTCTTAATACAGAACAAAATGGAGTCTCTTGTGTCTACTTCTTTCTACACAGACACAGTAACAGTCTGATCTCTCTTTCTTTTCCCCACACCACAGAATCTGGATTCACTACCAAGAGACTGTAGCATTTATCAAAAAGAAGATAAAGAGAAATAAGAGTTCTTGTTGTCTAGGGAATATATCATCTTCTTTGGGTAATGCCTATTAATGCTCCTCAAAATAGCTAGAGCATTCAAGCTTTGTAACGAGTTCACAATGAGAGAAGTAGCTTCTACTAGAAATTAAATATGTTACTTCTTTCAATGAGTAACTATTGCTACAAGAATATGTTTGCTGAATAAATTAGCACATTTATTGACATAATTGATTTGCATACTGTGGCAGCACTTCATGGACCAAACCCTAAGTCCCATGAAAAATTGAATAGAATTATTTGACAGTGAAGTATCATTGGAAAAGCCTGGCTCTAGTTCTCAGGAAGCAATCTGGTTGATTATGTGTTTTCAGTGTGTAGTCATAATACAACTGTATATCACTAGTGTACATCAGACACTTTGTGCACTCTACATATATTTTCTCATTTGATCCTTCAATACATGCATAAGAGAAGAAATAGACGTGGATTTAATTGCTCCGCTAGGGTCAAAGACCAAAAACCTCATTACAATGCCAATGTTAGAAATTCTTATTCCAATTAAAATAAAGTTACCAAAGACAATTGTTCCTGCCATAATGAGAAAATATTGGATGAACTTTAAAAAATTATTATTTTTTTGTTTAAAGCCATCAAAAAATTGTGGGCCTAAAGTTTCAATGAACTAAATTTCAGAGAAAAACAAGCCCTTCCTTGGTGATCACAGATTAGCAGCAGAGCCCATCTCTGAGGACATTTGCTGGATCTGGGAACTTGAGTAGGTAGAAGAACAAGCCTACAATGTGCAGAGACAGCTGGAACACTGGGAATAAGCAAAATAATCTACAGGGAACTGCAAGAGGGACTGAAAACTAGAAAGATCACGTGTTCTCCTCACACTTACTTATTTCCACTTAAGAGACAGGGTCTCATTCTGTCACCCAGGCTATGGTGCAGTGGAATAACCATTGTTCACTGCAGCCTCAAACTCCTCCCTCAGGTGATCCTCCTGCTTCAGCCTCTCCAGTACATGGAACTACAGGTGCACGACATCATGCTTGGCTAATTTTTAATTTTTTTGTGTGGACACAAAAGCCGACTAGGTTGCCCAGGCTGGTCTAGAACTCTTGGCCTCAAGTGTTCTTCCTGCCTTGACCCCCACCCTCTCCAATCAAGTACTGGGATTACAGGTGTGAGTCACCACATCTGGCCTCCCCTAGCATTTAGATACTAAACTGTTGGAAAAATGAGTAAAAAATAAATATAAGTAGCATTTTGAGTATTTCTTCCCATACACCCATGGATTGTTTAGTGTATCTTACTACTTCACAAAGGAGACCATTCCTGCATCAAACTATATAAACTAAGTATTTAAATTTGATTTTTGCCCTACAATAAGCTCTATGCCAGAGCTCATTACATTTGAATTTGACAATCTGTTTTTATACCACAGTTGCAAAAAATTAATCACATTCTTTACTTCATGAGACATTATCATTATTGTTTCCTACAAGTTTCTCTGGTTTTACTTGTTTCATTTTTTTATTCCTTATCCCTTGTCAAAGACAGGCATGCTAATGTGTTTGACATAGGTTCTTTACTCTTAAAGAATTCTTACAAGATAAGAAGGTTGTTTTCTGAGTGTGTGTATGTGTATATACATGAGTGTATACATTTTGCTTAAAGAGTATTGTGCTATAAATCTAATTTTATTTCTAATTTTTTCACAGAGCATAACATCCTTCATACATTCCCACATTGCTGTAGGTTATTTTTGGTTGTTTATTCCCCTGTAGCTGCTGCATAGTTTTCAATAAAATGAATCAACCACATTTTCCCTATCCAGTCTTGCAGTAGAATTCACACTGATATCCTGCTACTGAAATATTCACTTCCTTATGGTATCCTTATGAAAACACTGTTTGGTCATGTGTCACAGTTTGTCAGGGGCTGTGTTAGTCTCTTTGTATCGCTAAGAAGACATACCCAATGCTGGGTAATTTATTTATTTATTTTTTAATAAAAGAGGTTTATCTTGGTTCAGTGTTCTGCAGACTGCACAGGAAGCAATGGCATCTGCTCTGAGTGAGGCCTCAAGAAGCTTACAATCATGGCAGAAGGTGAAGGGGAGCCAGTGTGTCACATTGTCAGAGAGGGAGTAAGAGAGAGAAGGGGGCAGTCCCAGGCTGTTTCTAACAATCAGATCTCTATGAACTCACTGAGAAGAACTCACTCAAGTGGATTGTGCTAAACCAAGCTTGTCCAACCTGCAGCCTGTGGGCTGAATGCAGGTCAGAACAGCTTTGAATGTGGCCCAAATTTGTCAACTTTGTTAAAACATAAGAGTGTGTGTGTGTGTGTGTGTGTGTGTTTAGCTCATCAGCTATTTTTAGTGTATTTTATGTGTGGCCCAAGAAAATTCTTCTTCCATTGTGGTCCAGGGAAGCCAAAAGGTTGGACATTCCTGTGCTAAACTATTCATAAGGGATCCACCCCATGATCCAATACCTCTCACTGGGCCCCACCTCCAACATGGGGGATCACATTTCAGCATGAGATTTGGAGGGGACACACATCCAAACTATATCAGGGATATGTACCCATCATCGAGACAGGTTGTAGAGTATGCATACTTTCAAATGGGTCCTGTCATGTTATTTTCTGAAATGGTTAATACCATTTAATTTCCCATCCATTGCCTATAAAGGTTGTTTTCCTCATATCCTCATCACTCAATGTTACCTAGGATTCTTATATTTTCTAAGCAAGTGGTGAAAATACAGATCTCATTTTATTTGTGTATATTTGCATTTGTCAGATTGTTAATAATGTATTGGAATTTTTTGGCTCATTTTTCTATTGAGTTTCCTATCTTCTTTGTTCATCTGAATATCAATCATATTCACTTTGCCCTAAGCAGTGTCAACATTTTCTATTACTCTGTCATATATCTGATAACTTTGTATGCCAGCCTTTATTGAAATGAGTCTATGATTTTTCTACTTCTTCTAAAGTTTATGTATTTAATTAAATTTGTTGGTTTAGTATATCTTTAATTAAACTGTAACAACAGCCCCAAATCTATGTTTTGTTGGGTTCATTCAGATTTAGAATTCAGATAACTTTTTGGAGGATAAATTCTTTGTATCATAATGAAGAATGGCTATCATAATGCAATATGATTATTTCTGCCAACGCTTATTGTTTCATAGTCTACTTTGTTTATGTGGTCAGGAGGAAAAGACCTGAATGCCCTTGACCAACTCAGCTTTCTGTATCTCCTAATTCTCAGGATAATTTTAGAATGTTCCAAGAAGACAATATCCTGAGATGAGTAGAAACTGTCTGGGACAGTCTGGAATCTGTCCTTGTTGTTCCTAGAACAGGATATCCCTGCAACTCTTAAACTCAGAGAGCCAAGGTGCACATGGGGTGTGAAACCTAGGGTGGAGCACTCAGGGGTTCCTCAGCGCAGTACACAGTGGGGCATGTGCAGAGGAGACTCCGTCAACCCTGGGCAACTTTTCTGACCTCAAGGGTCAGACTTGCCATAGAACTTAGGCTTTTGCTGATTCTTCCTGCTCCTCTGTGAGTAATAAATTTGGTTTGCCTGACTTACTGTGTCAGCATTCTTGTTTCTGGCAGCTTGGTTTACATAAAAAACCTCCTGCTAGACCTATGAATCTATGCAATGTGGAAGTGTCATAGAGGTAAATAAGCAACTTAACTGAGTTGAAAACTAACATACATAACATGGGGCCACTGCCCCATGGGGCAAAATGATCCTGCCAAAAAATCTCATGTGACCATTCCAGACATACTGTGGAAGAAGAAGGATGTGGAAACTCAGAGAGATCTGAAGATCTTATCCAAGCCAACAGGAGGCTAATAAAGCAAGAGAATTCCACTGTACTCTGATTCA
Source organism: Homo sapiens (assembly GCF_000001405.40). Lineage (NCBI taxonomy): Eukaryota > Metazoa > Chordata > Mammalia > Primates > Hominidae > Homo > Homo sapiens. Next base: position 94,749,596 of record NC_000002.12, read on the forward strand.
AGAGTACAAGCTTCATCTCAGAGAAGAGCAATGCAATGGCCCCAGCGATCAGACCAGAGAGACCCTCTGCCACAGAGAAAGCAGAGGTCTAGAGAACAGCATGAAGACAGTAAGAGACTTCAGATTCACTATCCCTTTGCCTTGAGGCCACAGAAAGCCCAAAGCATCTGAACATCTTCCTAGAGGCATTTAACTAAAAGAGAGCTATTGAAACTTGAAGAAAAATGTGAATCAAGAAGCTAAATTTAAAGATATGCTACTTTCTCCAACCCTCCCTGACCAATTAACCATAGGATGAGTCCAGTGAGATAAAGCATATCATTTATTCAAAATACAAAAGTTATATGTTCTTTATGTGAGCAGAAATATGTTCTAACTTTACTCAATAAATGTATTTTGTTTTACTACTAGAAACAGTAATTTTCACTTGGTCATTATTTTATAATTATCTCTATTTAAATTAGTATAGCTCACTCCTGGGTACCTACCTAGAGGAAAAGAAGTCATATGAAAAAGACACATGTACACACATTCATAGCAGCACAATTCACAGTTGCAAAAATGTGGAACCAGGTTAAATGTCTATCAACCAATGAGTGGACAAAGAAAATGTGTTATAGATACACCATGGAATACTACTCAGCCCTAAAAAGGAATCAAATAATGGCACTTGCAGCAACCTGGATGGAGTTACAGATGATTATTCTAAGTGAAGTAACTCAGGAATAAAAAACAAATATTGTATGTTCTCACTTATAAGTGGGAGCTAAGCTATGAGGGTGTAAAGGCTTAAGAATGATTTAATGGACTTTGGGGACTCCGAGGGAAGATTGGGGGGTGAGGGATAAAACACTACGCATTGGGTACAATGTACACTACTCGAGTAATGCATACACCAAAATCTCAGAAATCACCACTAAGTAACTTTTCCATGTAACCAAAAACCACCTGTTTCCCAAAAACTATTGCAATAAAGTAATATATATGAAAACAATCAACATGATAGTCTTGAGGTGCAACATTCACTGGGTTTCATATGGGAGAAAAATAGCTAAAATCAAACACATGGACAGGCAGTCAGAACAATGTCCATCATATACATAGTAAAATTAATACAAGAACAAACATTCATGAGTGGAGTCCATTTGGAATAGCCCGCAGTGGAGACATATGCCTTAGGGCACACATAACTCAGGGAGAAAATGTATAATTTTACTCAATGTGAAAACATCTTCAGAAATAACTCAGTCCGTGCTGTCCAGATGCAGTCCTGTACTGTAGAGATGAAGAATAAGAATCATCAAAGTGGAAAAACCTCTGTCCCTGCTCCAAATTCTGGTTCACACAGGAGTAGTACTACGGGAGAGAAAAGCTGTACATGTCCCAAATGAAGGAAAGCCTTTAGGTATCAGTCATTTCTTATGCGACATTATGAAAATTCACACTGGGGAGAAACCTTATGAATGTAACAAAAGTCAGAAAGGCTTTAGATCTTCCCTACACCTTAATAAACATTTAAGAAAGAACACTTTGGAGAAGCCCTATGGATGTAAGGAATGTGGGAAAGCCTTCAGCAAGCCTCAAAACATGCACATATAAGGAGTCATGCTGGAAAAAACCCTATAAATGTGGAAAAGACTTGCAAAGTCATCAGAATTAAAAGCCATCTTAAGATTTACAATAGTGAGAAGCCCTGTGAGTGAAAGGCAGGGAAATCATCATTAATTTTTCACCAAACTGAACATGTGAGGGGTACATACTGGAAGGGAGCTCAATGAGTTAACATGCATGAGAACATCTTTCCTGAACTCTCCTATCTTACAGAAGTGTGAAAAGAAACCCTCTGAAGGTAAAGTCTATGGAAAGCCTTTCATCTTCCTTCATCTTGAGTAGGTATTTGTTCTCACTAGAGAGAAGCTATGAAAGTAAGGAATATGAAAAAAAGCCTCAGTGTTGCCTCAGACTCATAGTTCATACAAGAATTCACACAGCAGAGACTGCTTATGGAAGTAAAAAATGCAGAAAATACCTCTTTAAACACTATCCCTCCTTTATACATGATTCCACACCCTGGAGGGAGACTACAATTGAATAAATATAAGAAAGCTTTCAGTTCCAGCTCTTCACTTATTGGGCATGAACGAGCACAGGGTAGGACTGAAGCACAGTAAATGTTAACAATTGTTGCCTTTATCATTGTCTTATCCCTCAATTAGAACTCAAATTCATAATTTTGTAGTTTTTCCTTTCTTAAAAAATGGTATAAGATGACAGATATCTGTCTTAGCACCCTTTCCCCTCTGCCACCTTAATGTTGCTATGTGATAGCTTTGTTACAAGTCACTTACATACACATGGTTTCATTTTCAATGTGAAGCCCTTCTGAGCTCCATTCAATTTAGATTTAGAATTCGTATGCTCCATGATACCTTTTTTGTCAGTTTGTTTTTGTTGGTCACAATTTGACTGCATTATGGTCACATTATGTGGTTTTAATGGTACTGATTTGGGGTACCTGTTATGACTTTCATTTTGGTCTAATGTGGCCAATGCTGTCCATTTCCCTGCTATATCCGTTATTCTCATCTTCTTCACTAAGGGAACATAGATTCACTTTTTCCAAGGAGCACTGTTTAAATGTATTTATGTGTTTATCCACATTTTATTATTTAATTTATAATTTTTTGAAAAATGGTCTCACTCTGTCTCCCAGGCTGGAGTGCAGTGGCATAATCAAAGCTCATGCAGCCTTGAACTCCTCATGTGATCTCCCAGCTCAGACTCCTGAGTAGGTAGGACTGCAGGCATAACAGGTGTGCACCACCGCACCCAGCTTTTGTTTTGTTTTGTTTTTGTAGAGACTGGGTCTCGTTATGTTACCTGGACTGGTTTCAAATTCCTGTGCTCAAGTGATTCTCCCACCTTGGCCTCCCAAATTGCTGGAATTACAGGCATGAGCCACCATGCCTGGCCCTGGCTTATGTCTTTAAATGAGTTTCCCAGTTTTTCTCATAACTGTAGTGAGCAGAGCTTATAGTCCTGGCCAATGTGAAATGCAGAATTCACTGCTTTGGATTTCTGAAAATCTGTTTGGAAAGGGGAGAGTTATTGTTCTTCTTTTCTCTTAACCAAGTTCCCTTTGCTCTCTCTGCTTGCTGCTCTCTTCAAATAAGATGAAGTGCCCTGAGTTGGGTTTAGCAACTTGAAGACAATTGGAACGATTGTCCCTACAACAAAACCTTCAATCTACAAGATTTCTCCCTCCCCAATGGCATGTAGGGTATCCCTGGCTGCCCTGGACTATTTCTGGACTTATTTCATGAAACTAACCCCTAGTAGAACTAAGAAACATTTTAGGAGAGATGTTTATAACAGATTAAATGATAAACCTAAAAAATGAATAAAACATATTATAAAGAGAATAGACAAAATGGGCTTGCAGATGCTGACTGGCCACACTCATCTTTGGCACTCGCCCCCATGGATGCCTCACCGACTGTGACACTTGGAGAGCTGGCAGCCATCACTCAAAAAATCAGAACACAGTGGCCTCTACTGCAGCATCAGGGAATAAAAAATAAGCTTGTCAGCTCTGAAGAAACATACTTGTGTGTGTGTGTATATATATATGTGTGTGTGTGTGTTTGTGTGTGACAAATTTATTCAGTGACTTTGAGGTATCTCATGCTAAACAGATAAAATGAATTAAAACTAGTGCAAAGTTACGGCAACAGTACTCCCCATTATGTATCCAGGGCATTGAAAATTGGCACACATCACAGATCCTTAAGTAATTCTCTGAACCAGGAGAACAGAGAGAGCTCACTGTATGTGCCAGTCACTGGACTGAGTGCTGTGCCTACAGGATCCCACTTGATGCTTGCAATAACCCTGCAAGATGAAAGTAAAAACTCACACACACACATATAAAAACTCACACACAAACACACACACTCACACACATATACTCACACACATAAACTCACACGCACACATATAAACTCACACAAACACACTCACACAAACACACACATAAACACACACTCACACACAAACACACACACATATAAACTCAAACACACATATAAACACACATACACACACACAAACACACACACATAAACTCACAAACACATATAAACACACACAAACACATACACACACATAAACTCACACACATACACAAACTCACACATAAACACACACACATACACAAACACACACACACACATAAACACACACATAAACACACACACACTCACACACATAAACACACACACACATAAACTCACACACACACACTCAAGCACACACTAGAAACTACAGAACAAAAAAGCACTGATAACTAATAGAAGTACAGTGCTGGCCAAGCAAAGTGGCTCATGCCTATAATCTCGGCACTTTAGGCCAGGAGTTCAAGACAAGCCTGGGCAACATAGCAAGACACCATCTCCACAAAACATTTTCTTAAATAAAAATCATTTTCAAAAACAGGTATAATGCCTAAGGACTCAGGGAAGCAATACGCCTGTGGCTGTATGGTAAGCAGCAGGCAAGGCTATTTGTGAGACCAAAGTGGTAGTGACTCCAGGGTTCCTTTGCACACTTAGCCAGGAGACTGGCTAGCTCAGCACTGCCTGGGTTCACTTTACCCTTCTACAGCTCTAAAGCTCTGGCAGGTGGGACCTAAGCATCAGAGAAAGTGCTATTATGCAGGACTCTCTTGACCGCAAGTGACTGACACCTAACTTGATCCAGCAGAACATTGAACTATTTGGCTCTACTTACTTAAAATGTCCATGAGTAGATGGGCTTCTGGCTCAACGGGATCAGGGGTCAACTAATATCAACCAAGGCTCATTCTGTCCCTTCATTTCCTGTGTCAGCTCTGCTTTTCTAGTGGCTGTTTTGAGACAGCAGCAAAAATGGCCCCATAAAGTTCACATCACTTACTTCCTTGCAAATAGCTATGCCAATAAAAAGAAAGCACCTCATTCCCAGCAGTTTCATCAAAAGTTCAGGGATGACTTCCATGAGCCCAGCTTGGATCACATGCCCACTCCTGAATGAATTACCCTGCTGATTGCCCAGGGTGGGTCAGCCTTCCCAAATGACATGGACTAGACATGGAGAAGTGGTCCTCCCGTGGGAAAAAAAAAAAAAAAAAAAAGGAAGGCTAGTGGCAGAGGAATATGAGTGGGAGGGCCTCATCTCTATATAAAAGTATGAGTGTATTTGTGTTCTTTTGTACATTCATTTGTAGTCACTGGGAAGAAAATGAGAAAAACCCACACGACTTTCTACATGCCTCTGTGCTTTGTTTTGAACACTGAGCTGTGAGAAATTTAGTTATTAAAACAAAACTTTGAAACAATATAACAATTTGGGACAATGGGGACACTTAGCTGATGCAGCACAGGTGAGCAGTTCTTCTTTCGTGCCCATGAGGACACAATTCCCAGGAGGCTACCTGGGGTCTCCTAGGACAAGCATGTGGGCACCCACTGGCTGCAGTTCCACCTTTCCTTCCCTGGACTCTCAGGAAGACACGAGTTCTGGATTCAGCTGAACTGAGCTCAAGTTCAGGCTCTGTGACTCACTGGCTCTGTAATTCTGGGTAAGTCTCTTGCTCTCCTTGAGTCTCATATAATCCTTGGTAAAATGGAGAGGTAGAGTTATTGTTAGGTTTTGAAGGCAAGGCTAGGGTTAAAGAAAGACAGAGAGACATGGTTGGTGGCTTCAACAGCAACACCTTTATTACTAGCAAAACCCTGCAGAGGAGGAAATCAGCTTAGTGCCATCACCAACTGCCGCTCACAGGCTGGGGCGATCATGGGACTGGGAAGGAGGGGTCTGGGCGGTAGAGCTTGCTGCCCGGCAGGATATGGCAAGGATGTTCCTGCAGTCAGGCTGTTGGGCCTTCGCCCGGGAGGATGCGATAAGGATGTTTCCGCAGTCAGGTGGTCAGGAAGGATGCTTCTCATGGCCCGAGTTCCCAAGGAATGTTTCATTCTGACCAGGGTTTGCAAAATGGCTGCAGGATTACAAAATGGTACAGGTTAGACTAACAGCAACATCTCCCAGGTAGACAGTTCTATAAAGTAAACTTCCCTTGAGCATCTACACTGTACCAGACATGGTGCTAGGACCCAGGCCACAGGAGGAACAGAACAGATGAGGTCCCTGTCATCCTAGTGCTCATGTTTGATGAAGGAAGCTAACAGGTCATAAGACCAGCTCAGATGGTGGTGGTAATGAAAGACATTACCAGAGTGAGATGAGCTAGAAAGAAACCAAAGGAGCTGTTCCAAACACAGTGACAGGGAGAGACCCCTCCAAGAGGTGACTTTTGAGCACAAACCTGAGATATGTGGAGGGGGCCATGGAGAAGGACCAGCCCCTGAAGCCATCTCAGGATTAAAGACCCAGCAGCAGGAGGGCAATAGAATGGCCTGACCTCTGCGTCCTTCATGCTTCCTTCCTCAGTGGTGCCCAAACAAACAGAAACATGGGACAATTCTGTGCAGGTCCATGGAGGGAGCAGGAAGCAGCTGCAATGAAAAGCCAGGGTAGGGATAAAATCAGGCCCAACAGTAAAGCTAGAAGCAGGTGCTGTTTACTAATGACCGCAACACAGGTCATGAAGCATAACCAGTCCCTGAAGGCATGTCCAGGGCCAGACCAGCTGGTTGGGCTGCCAACATCTTAGTAGAGATCCCAGGAGATCAGATGAGCTGGTTAGGGGGAGAAGAAAACAGGAAACCTTCAAAAAATTCCAGAGGATCCATGACACTTAGAATGAACTTCCCCAGAGTGGGATGTGTTTGGCATTGCTGGTTCTAAAGAGTTCGTCCCACCATCCCCACCTGCCCGTTGTCCCACCAGGGGAAAACTCAGGGTGGGGTACACAGAAACAATCCCTGTGGAAGGGAAAAGGTTGTTTCCCATCCTAAACCAAGGGAGGACACCCACAAAACACCACTCATAAGGAGCAGAGGGACCTGCAGGGAGAGACAGGATTCTGCTGCTCATTTGGGTATCTGCTTCCCAGTGGGGAAGGGGACCGTACAGGATAGAGGGGCTAAGTGGACCCTGGGCTGTGGGGCTAGGGGAGCTGCTGCTGACTCACTGTTGGAGGTGAGCCACAATAGGAGGCTTAGAACCCCACTCTGCAGCCTCTCCAATCTAATAAGGAGATGGTAGTGTGGTCGGTGGGGGCATCCACACGCAGTCAAAGGGCACAGGGAGTGATGTGTCCCCTGGCCTCCTCTTTCAGCTGTAGATTCTCCCTCTGAGTTATTGGAACAGCTTCTCTATGGCCCCATCAGCCTGGAGTGTGGTGACAGCTCCCAGATGACGCTAACACCAGGGACCTGCGCCATCCCTCATGGTTCCCCTTGGCCCAGCCCACACCTTTGTAAACAGCTTTTTCTTAATGATCTTTCAGCCACTTCGAGGTCCCTGCCAGCACCTGACTGCCACATTCCCCAAAGGGACCAGACTCCTCGGCACAGTAGCTGAGGTTTCTATAGGCACAGAGAAAACACTGTCCCAACTGTTGGAATGGAGTTGGGAGTGGAAAAAAGAATGTTTTTTCTCAGTGCTTAGACTTACCAATTGCTTCGTTTTATCACATGAAGGCTGTGTGGCACTTTGAAGTAGAATTAGTAATTTACATAATTACAAATTATGTGTTTTTTTTGAGATGGAGTCTCACTCTCTCGCCCAGGCTGGAGTGCAGTCACGCCATCTCGGCTCACTACAAGCTCTGCCTCCCGGGTTCACGCCATTCTCCTGCCTCAGCTTCCCAAGTAACTGGGACTATAGGCGCCAACCATCATGCCCAGCTAATTTTTTGTATTTTTACTAGAGACGGGATTTCACCAAGTTAGCCAGGATGGTCTCAATCTCCTGACCTCATGATCCGCCCGCCTCGGCCTCCCAAAGTGCTGGGATTACAGGCATGAGCCACGGCGCCTGGCTACAAATTATGTTCTTAAAAGAAGCTGTTCAGTGCCATGCCTGACACAAGGTGGAACTCCACGATGAGATATGTGTGAAGCCAGGGTGCCATGGTTACAAACAAGGACTCCAGGTGCAGACTGCTTGGTTCAAACCTGGACCAGCAGTATGAATTTTTGCAACTCTCTGTATTGCTCTTTGCCTCGGTTTTTTCATCTAACAACTAGAAGTAAAAACAAGGTTATTGTGAAAATTAAATGAATTAAAGTAAGCGGAATGCCTACAACAACACCCCCAGGCACACGGTCAGCACTGAGCATGTTTTTCATTACTACTCTTAATGAGGTAAGAATGAGAACACAGGCACCAGCCATGAGCCTGGGGTTTCTCTGGCAAAGGCCTCAGAGACCCTACTTTTAACATCCTCCATTCATTCATTTGACCCTGATAAGGGAGGAGTCTCATAGGAGAGGAGCAAGCCTCCACCTTGGGGCCAGACATCCCATGGTCAAAGTTGAACTCTACCACTGTTCAGCTGGGTGACTTTGGGCAAGTGACTTTCCCTCTCTGATTCTCATGTTCCTTTTTGATAAAAACAGCACAATGTCAGGCCTATGGGGATTGAAGGAGCCGAAAGAAAAATGTGTGTCTTAGTCTGAATTTCCTAGAAGTAGATCCTAAGGCAAAGATTCAAATATAAAAATTTTATTTGGAGATAACTCTAGGATATTAATTTGACTGCCAGTTCTTCCTTAGGGTGCTAATCCCAGGAAACACCAGTAGAGGAGTGGGGAACAGAGATAGGAAAGGAATGCAGCAGTTAAAGGGACTTTCATCAAGAAAGTTTCCACTGTGGCAGCCAGGACTCAGCCCTGCCAGGTACCTCTGAGAGACAGCATAGAACATGTGCCTCAGAGTCATCATACCCAGAACAAGGGAACTGGGTTATTTATCCACCAATACCCACCAGGCACTCCTTGGGGATCCTTCCAAGGTCATGATTGCTCCAGAATGTCCTGCCTGCACTGCAAGGGTCAGACCTGGGGTTGACGGCAAGGCCCCTGACAGCACCTCCAGCAATGAGCAAAAACACAGCCTGGTGTGCACAGTTTCAGTCATGCAGTGACTCCAACACACAAACACACACACATTCCCACACCGCACTCCAACACCAACAAAGTATATATGTACATACACATAAATGCATACATGACTGTTACCCACATAGATCTTAGTGACTCCATGGGATAGACGATAAGCTGGGAATCAGAGGAAAGAGCAAAATTAAGGGGAGTGAAAGTCTTAAGAACAAAATGCAAATTTAGGCTGAAAATGAAGGCGGAAGAGGAGTGGTCTGGACACCAAATGCCTGCTGCGTGGCACCTGCTCTACACACACTGTCACTAATTCTCCAAGCAGCCTCGTGGTGTAAAAGAAATTCCTCTCAATTTACAAATGACAGAAACATAGCTCAGAAAAGAAAACTGATTTTACTAATGTCTCAGCAAGTTAGTGGGTGATATGGACTCCCAGATCTTTCTGTCCACAAAGCCTACAAATTCTCCCTTGTTAGGCAGGCTGGGTACCAGGCCCTGCTTCTGGGCTCTGCTCCTTTTCCTGCTAGGCAATCATGGCAGAATTGACAGAGACGTCATCCCCCTTCACCAGCTGGAGCAGAGCCTATGAGAGGGGCTGGGGAACAGCCACGAGGCCTGGCACCCACCATTCAATGTCTTCAGAATTGCGGTCCCTCAGAACTCTTGCACCACGTGGTGGCAGCACTCCCAGTGTCTAGGTGTCTTCTGAGGTTGTACAGGATCCAGTAGAGGCCACTGGCTGTGCTGTCATATCCTGAGTGGCAGGCTTGGGTCTCTCGGCTGCTTCAGCACCAGAGGTTGGACAGCGCCCTTGCACTGAGGCCCTCAGAATGGGAGGGAAAGGAAGGGCAGAATGGAGTGATGTAGGGTCCATCCACCATGTCCCTGGATGGAGAGACCCCTATTCCCACAGTAGTCCACACCAGGACAACGATTGGCACTCACGAAGATGCCAGCCTTCATTTATATGTTCTTGTCTGACAACTCCTTCTCATTTTCATCCTGGAGGCAAGACCCCTGAACACACTAGCTCTGAGGACACCTGAGTGTAACCTGAGACATTCCCTGAAGACCTTTCATCAAAGCAGGATCCCTCCCTTGTCATCTCCAGACCTGCCCCACAAGCTCCCTCCCTGGTCTCCTGGCTCTTGTTCACTCCTTCCAGGCAGCCTTCCACAGTCATCTCTAAAACATATACGACTGTCCCTCCTTTATCCAACAACTTCTATGGCTCCCCAGAGCTCTCCAGATCAAGTTCAAGTTATTTGATCAGACACTTGATCTCAAGCTGCATTCTACCTCCTGAACTAAAATCCCGGAGAAGCCCACCTTGCTCAGCAAAAATGCATCACTGAAGTCCAAAATCTTGAATGTGGCCTTAGCCTTGAGGAAGTCATCAACACCCCGGCAAGTGAGGGTGAGGTGCTGCTCCAGGATGATGGTGTCTAAAGTTGTGCACCAGGTCATAGGCCCTGCAGAAGCATCTCCCCTCAGGAGTGAGGTAGTACAGGAAGTCCGTGCACAGGCAGATCTGCTGGTGCCATTACACTAAGAGGGCACTGAGCTCCAAGATGGTGGCAATATATTCACTGGGATTCCTGCAGGGTGAGCCTGGAGAGAGGAAGCAGCTCCATAATACATATGAAACCCTGGAAGCGCTTCCCAGCCAGAAACTCAGGACCACACTACATCCAGATACGGGTGCCCTCTGAGCACACTTGTCTCTCTGTCTCCCACTCTGAGCTGCCTCCTGGCCCCATATGCCCCAGCCTGGCCCAGGGCTTGGAGCCCAGCGGGTGTTCAGTCCATGGTGTTGGCTGCTCCCTGGGCCAGGAGACCCCTTGGTGGCTCTGTGACTCCTCCTGTGGAACCCCTCCCTCTGCCTTGAGACCTCCCAATTCCCATGGAAGCCCCCACAGCTCTGGATTGCCCCACCTGCCCTGGGATCCTCCAGCCCCAGAGGCCTTACTTGATGCCTTAGCCCTCCCAGAACATGACATGTTTCTCAGAATGTGGCTGATGTCCAGGGCCATCTGTAGATGTTTGCTGCGGACCTCTTGCTGTTTTCCTTTATGGTCTGTAGGGCAGGGCCAAGAGGAGAAACCAGCCCAATCTCAGAATGGACAAAAGGCTCACTGCCCCAACAGCAACCACCAAACAGTCAGCAGTGCTTCTGGATGAAAAACAGGTTTCATTCTGCAGAAAGCTCCTTGTTTGGCTTATTTTTGAAGCCAGGGAGGGGTACCAAGCTCAGCTTACCCGCGGTGCCTACATTAGCATCTGTGCCTAGGATGCGTGATGGGCTCCCACTGCAGGGTTGACATTCCCTCCAGCTGGAGACCTGGGCTCCTGATACCACCTGGCCTGTTTGTCCTGCTCTGGATGAGGGTGGAAAGGCTGTACCTGGTATTTCCCTAGGTCCTTGGTTTTCACCTTCCAGACATCCAGCAGGAGTGACCATGCCCAGCCCCACACCTGAAATGGGACTCCCTTGTACAGCAGCTGAAACATCTACAGATGGAAGAATGCTCTGGTGAGACAGGCCACAGGGGTCCCTGGGGAGGATCGGGGGCCGGAGGATTCTGGAGGTTTCCAGCCTTGGGCACTGTGGTTCCTCAAAGAGGTTAGGTTTACCTAGGACTAGGCCTCCCCTCCCATGATTCAAAGAGTGGATGAGTGCCCAGCATCAGGAACTCTGTTCTGGACCTATTTTTTCATTTAGGTCACCAAGAGACAACCCGTACCTCCCAAGCTAGGGACGGTCCAAGCTCTGGCATGAAATTCTCTTCCAGCAATGTGATGCTTGCAGGGACAGGGAGAAAAGCCGGTGGCCAGGCCTGCTGTCCCCCAGGTAAGGACAGTGTGCTACCCACCCTCTGAGAGGCAGGTGGTGCCAGGTCACTGCACTGGGTGCCTGTACCCCTGGCTCTGCAGACACCGGTCATGGAGGTCCTCCCCTCTCCACATTACCTTCTTGCTGCTCCTCGATTTCTTCTAGTCATTAAGCACTTTGAGCCATTTTTCTGTGCAGCTGATATGATATTTTTGTTATCAGATGAAACATGACAAAATAAGTCGAGCCACCAGGATTTCTGGAGGGAACCTTGGATGCTGCATCTTGGGCTCTAGGGCCCTGAATGGGACTGAACCAGAAGCAGCCAGGGAAGGAAAAACACTGGGGCTCAGGCCCTATGACCCAATGGCCATTGGTGGCCTGTCCTCATGGCCCCAAGACACCCTGTCCTCAGGCCACAGACACCATGGGCATTGGTCAGGTCCCAGCTTCCCAGTAGTGCCCTGGCACTAGCGGGTGCTGACCCCCAAACCACAATCACAGTTGTGGGTTATGGGTTTGGTAAAACCACCTCAGGGAGACTTCTGGGGTTGGGTTTGGCAGGTGCCTCCCAGGGATGGTGTGTCACTCCTACTTGCCACGAAATGTGCACACAGGCTTTCCCACTTCCCAGCCCATCCTGCTGGACAGGATGGAGGAAGTCAGGGAACAGGCAGGGTGGACATCTGGGGTGCAGGGAGAGGCAGGTGCATGCTGGGAGGACAGACCCTGTGAGGGCTGTGGGGGCATCAGGTGGAGTGGGCTCCAGGTGCACCCTCAATGCACTGGGAAGGTCTCAGGCCAGGTTCCCTGGACCCCGGCTGGGTGATGTGGTCACTCCCTGGGGACTGCTGTCAGGCCCCAGCCACCCACCCTGGGCAACACCTTCCTATCTCAGGACTGGACTTTCTGAGTCCTGAGACAGGACAGTGCTGTCCAGGCCTGACAGATTGGGAGGACCTGTTAAGTCCTCCATCCCTAGACCAGCCTCGCACACAGCAGGGACAGTCTCTTACATTTACCTTCAGAGCACTGACTGATCCATCTCACTCTAAGGCAATCAAGGCAGAGCTGAGGACCTGTGCCAGGCTGGGAACCAGTCCCCTCCCTAAATGGGCCTAAGGAAAGCACCATCCCTGTCCCAGTGCGCCGCAAGTTTCAGCCCAGGAGACACATAGGGAAGGGAGGACTGGGCCTCCCTGCTGGCTGACACTGGAAATGTGGGACCTGGGAAAAAATGGAGCACAGGGCTGGCAGGTGATGCTCCAGGACCATGGAGAGCTCAGGCTCCACCAAGGGGCTGCCCCTCCTGGGCTGGAGGCTGTGCCCTCTGCAGGATCTGAGGAAGTCCAGTCCTGAGATGGGACAGTGCTGCCCATGGTGGGTGGCCGGGGCCTGACAGCAGTCCCCCAAAGGAGTGACCACATCACTCGGCCAGGGTCCAGGGAGCCTGGGCTGAGACCTGCCCAGTGCACTGAAGGTGCACCTGGAGCCCACCCCACCTGACGCCCCCACAGCCCTCACAGGGTCTGATCTCCCAATATGCACCTGCCTATCCCTGCACCCCAGCTGCCCACCCTGCCTGTTCCCTGGCTTCCTCCATCCTGTGCAGCCCATAGACTGTGACCATCTCTCCGACCACTCTGGCCCTTCCTTTATGTTTGTCTTGTGAGAATCTCTGAGCAAGATCTCCCCGGTCCATCCAAACACCTGCTTTGTCCACTTTTGACTGGGCCATTGGACACCACTGGGCCATCCCAGCTGTCCACAGGGACCTTGATAACATGCATTTCCCCTGACATCTCCCATCAGGGCTCAGCAGTCCCCACTGACCAGGTCCCTGCTGACCAGATCCCGCACATCAGGTCCTCCCTGACCACATCCTCAGTGATTAGACCCCCATCACCAGGCCCCACTAACCAGGCCCCCGCTGCCACGCCCACAATGACTAGGACTCCATAAACCAGGACTTTACTGACAAGACCTCACTGACCTGGACCTTACTGACCAGGCCTCACTGACAAGGCCTCACTGACCAGGTCCTTACTGACCATGTCCTTACTGACAAGATCTCACTGACATGGCCTCACTGACAGGGGCCTCACTGACATGGCCTCACTGACCATGTTCTTACTGACAAGGCCTCACTGACAAAGGCCTCACTGACAAGCGCTCACTGACCACGTTCTTACTGACAAGGCCTCACTGGTCATGTTCCACCGATCATGACCCTATTGCCTGGCCCCACAGATGAAGCCCCACTGACCAGGCCTCCAGGGAATAGGCTGCCAGTGAACAGGCCCCTACTAACCAGGACTGAGGTGACCAGATGCCCCTGAACGGGACCCTAATGAGTAGGCCCCCCTGAACAGGCACGCACTGCTCAGATCCCCACAGACCAGGTCACCCCGTAGACCAGTGCTACAAAAGCCACCACTGATCAAGTCCTCTCTGACCAGGCCCCCACTGATTAGGTTCCACTGACCAGGCTGCCCTGACCAGGGCCCCACTGACAAGGGCCTCTGCTGACTAGGTCCCATGTGACCAGGCCTCCACTGAGTAGCACCCCTTAACCTGGTCACCAGTCACCCAGCCCATGCTGACAAGGCCACCACTAAGCCCCAGCTGACCAGGTCACCACTGACCAAGTCCCACAGCCCAGGTTTGCACTGACCAGACACCAAACATTTGTCTGCCACTAGGTCCCCACTCACCAAGACCTGCACTACTAGATCCCCCTAATGAGACCCTCTCTATGCAGACCCCTGCTGACCATGCTCCCAACTAAATAGGCCTCACTGACCAAGTCCCAACTGACTAGGTCCACTGAGCAGGCCCACACTGATCAGGGCCCTCCTAAACACACCAGAAGGCCAAGCGGCAATGAGATGTTTCACATGGCAGGAGTAGGAGCAAAACAGAGAGAAGAAAGAGGTGCCATATCCTGTTACACAACCAGATCTCATGAGAACTCACTATCAGGAGATCAGCGTCAAGAAGATTAACCACTGGTGAAGGATCCTCCACCCACACCACCGCCCACTGTTTCCAGGCAGAAGCCTCCTGCAGAGGCAGAGCCTCTTGAGAAACTTCCACTATGGCAGTGCAGAAGGAAAATATGGGCTTGGAGGCCCCACACAGGAGGCCACCATCCTCCAGACCCCAGATTCATAAGCCCACCAACAGCTCAAACCCTCAGTATGGAAAAGCAACAGGCACTTAACACCAGTCCAGCCCATGAAAGCAGCCATGGGGGCTGAAGCCTGCAAAGCCACAGGTGCACTGTCCTAGTAGTTTTTCCATGAGCCTCTGCCTCTGCAGCAGGTTAGTCCCCCTTCCTACTACCCTCTACCCTCCCACCACCCTACTGACAGCCTACTCCTCCCCACCCTACCCCTCCTTTTCCTTCCACCCCAACCCCCTCCCATCCAACATCAAATCGCCTCCCACCTGGCCCCACCTCCAACATTAAGGATTACAATTCCATGTGAGTTTTATAGGAACACACAGCCAACCCATATTATTCTGACCCCTGATACTCCAGAACCTCATGTCCTTCTCACAGAGCAAAACACAATCATGCCTTTTCAAAAGTTCCAAAAGTCTTAACTCATGCCAAATGTAAAAATTTCAAAGTCTCATCTGAGACAAGGCTATAGTCCCTTCTGTCAATAAGTCCCTGAATTTAAAAGGGATTTCTTTTCTTTCAAGGTACAACAGGCATTGGGTAAAGTTTCTCAATCCAAAGGGAAGAAATTCCCCAGGAAAATAACACAAAGGCAAGTCCAAAACCCAGCAGGACGGTATTCACTCAATCTTTAAGCTCCATAGTCATCAAGAGAACTCACTATCACACAGACAGCATTAAGGAGATAGTGTGTAGCCATTTGTGAAGAATCTGCACCCCACCCTCATCTTTCACCCTCGTCCACAAAATAATCTCCCCCATTCTCCTACCACCAACACCGACTCTTCTCCATGATTAAATCACCTCCCGCCAGGCCCCACTTTTAACATTCCCCATCACTATTCCATGAGAGTATTGGTAGGGACACAGGGCCAAATCATGTTATTCTGACCAGGGTTCCCCCAGATCTCATATTCTTGTCACACTGCAAAATACTGTGATGCCTTCGCTCCCCGAAGTCTTAACTCATTCCAGCATTTACTGAAATGTACAAAACCCAAAGTCTCATCTGAGACAAGGCTGCCTTCCCTTCTGCCCCGAGCCTCTGAAATACAAAGCAAGTTAAGCGCTTCCAAGATACAATGGTTGTACAGGCATTGGGTAAGCATTCCCAGCCAAAAGGAAAAATTTTGCCAGAAAGAAGCACAAAACACAGATGGGACTTACAGACCCCATGCAAGTCAAAAACCTGGCAGGCCAGTCATTGAATCCAACAGCTCCAAATCATTTTTTCTGGATCTACATCCCACATCTAAAGCACAGGGGTGGATGGCTGGGCTCCCAAGGCCTTGGGCAGCTCAGCATCTGTGGCCATGCAGGGTCTATCCCCCACAGCTGCCCTCATGGGCTGGGCTGGTGTTGAGCACCTGTGGCTTTTCCACACTGAGGGTGCAAGCAGCTGGTGGGTCTATGAATCTGGGGTCTGGAAAATGGTGCATCCCTGTGTGGGGGCTCCAACCCTATGTTCCTTGTGTACTTCCCTAGTAAAGTTTTCCCATGAGGCTCTGCCTCTTGGAAAAGCTCCTGCCTGAACACCCAGGTTTTTCTGTACATACTCTGGAGTCTAGATGGAGGCTCCCAAGCCTCTAGTTTTGTGCTCTGTGCACCTGCTGGCTTAACACTATGTGAAAGCCACCAAGGCTTGAAGCTTGCACCCCTGAAGTACTGACCCAAGCTGTACCTGTGCATCTTTCAGCCATGGCAGGAGCTGGAGCTGGAGCTGGAGCTGCAGGGATGCAGGCAGCAGTGTCCTGAGGATTGACACAGCAGCACAACCATGGGACTAACCCAGGAAACCATTCTTCGGTCCTAGTCCCCATGGCCTATGACAGCAAGCTCTGCTGCAAAGGTCTCTGAAATGCCTTCAAGACCTTTTAAACATTGTCTTAGCTATTAGCACTGGGCTCCATTTTATGCAAATTTCTGAAGCCTTCTTGAATTTTCCCACTGAAAATCAGCTTTTCTTTTTGACCACTTGGCCAGGCTGCAAATTTTCCAAACTTTTAAGCCCTGCATCTCATTTAAATATAAGTTTCAACTTGAGGTCATTTATTCAGTCACACAGAAGACCACAGGCTGTACGATACAGACAAGACACCTCTTGAGCTTTGCTGCCTAGAAGTTCATTTCACCAGATATACCCTAAGTCATCACCCTCAAGTTCAAAGTTTCGGAGGTCTCCAAGGGAGGGGCACCATCCAGCCAAATTCTTCGCTAAGGCAAAACAAAAGTAACCTTGGCTCCTGTTCCCAGTAAGTTGTTCATTTTCATCTGAGACCTTCTAAGCCTGGCCTTCACTGTCCAACCTTCAGTCACCATTTTAATTGTAACTATTTAATAAGTCTCTATAGTCACTCTTTTAATTGTAACTATTTAGCACGTCTCTACAATAGTCTAAACTTTCCCTCATCTTTCTGTCTTCTTCCAAGCCCTCCAAACTGTGCAGCGTCTGGTCGTTACCCACTTCTGAATCTGCATCTACATTTTCAGCTATCATTGTGGCAGCCTGGCAATGTGGAAAAAGAAAAGTTCATTTTCAGGGGAAAAATTCAAGAAGGCTTCAGATATTTGCATATAAAAGAAGGCAAATGCTAATAGTAAAAAAATAAGGAAAAAAACCTTGAGGGCATTTCATAGCTCCACTCTACAGTACAAATTCTCTGTAATATTATTTTTAAAAAAGGTTTAAATGGCTCATGGTCCTGCAGGCTGTAAAGGGAGCATAGTGGCTTCTGCTTCTGGGAGGATTCAGGAAGCCTCCCAATCATACCAGAAGGCCAAGCGACAATGTGATGTTCCATACGGCAGGAGTAGGAGGAAGACAGAGAGAGAAAAGAGGTGCCACACCCTGTTATACAACCAGATCTCATGAGATCTCACTAACAGGAGATCAGCTTCAAGAAGATTAACTAATGGTGAAGGATCCACCCACACCACATCCACTGTTTTCAGGCAGAAGCCTCTTGCAGAGGCAGAACCTCTTGGAGAACCTCTAGTAGGGGAGTGCAGAAGGAAAATACGGGCTTGGAACCCCAACACTGGAGGCCACCACCCTCCAGACTGCAGATTCATAGACCCACCAACAGCTCACACCCTCAGTATGGAAAAGCTACAGGCACTCAACACCAGCCCAGCCCATGAGAGCAGCCATGGGGGCTACACCCAGCAAAGCCACAGGTGCACTGCCCTAGTAGAGACTTTCCATGAGCCTCTGCCTCTGCAGCAGGCTACTCCCGCCTCCTACTACCCACCACCCTCTCACCACCCTACTAACAACCTACTCCTTGCCCTACCCACCCCTTTCCTTCCACCCCCGGCCCCCCTCCCATCCATGATTAAATCACCTCCAGCCAGGCCCCACCTCCAAAATTAAGGATTACAGTTCACATGAGTTTTGGTAAAGAAACACAGTCAAATCATATTATTCTGACCCTGATCCCCCGCAGTCTCATGCTCTTCTCACAGAGCAAAATATATTCATGCCTTTTCAAAAGTTTCCAAAAGTCTTAACTCATTCCAACATTAACTCAAATGTAAAAAATTCAACATCTCATCTGAGACAAGTCTACAGTACGTTTTGCCTATGAGTCCCTGAATTTAAAAGGATGTTCTTTTCTTTCAAGCTACAGTAATAGTACAGGCATTGGGTAAACTTTTTCAATCCAAAGAAAAGAAATTTCCCAGGAAAAGAATACAAATGGGACCACAGGCCCAATGCAAGTCCAAAACCCAGGAGGCCAGTATCTGTTCAAGCTCAGAGCTCCAAAATCATGAAGAGAACTCACAGTACAGCAGTAAGGAGATAGTGTTTAATCATTTGTGAAGGACCCACCCCCCACCCCCAATTTTCACCCCTAACCCCCACCATAATTCCCCCATTCTCCCTACCCCCCCATCTTCCAACCCCCAGTCTCCACTGTGATTAAATCACCTTCCACCAGGCCCCACCTTTAACATTCTGATTACAATTCCACATGAGTTTTTGTAGGGACACAGAGCTAAATTTTATTATTCTCTCCCTGGCTCCCCAAATCTCATGTCCTTCTCACATTGCAAAATACAATGCCTTCCCTACAGTCCCCTAAAATCTTACATCATTCCAGCATTTACACAAATGTTCAAAGTTTAAAGTCTCATCTGACACAAGGCTACAGTAGCTTAGGCCCATGAGCCTCTGAAATACAAAGCAAGTTAACTACTTCCAAGGTACAGTGCTTGTACAGGCATTGGGTAAGCATTCCCAGCCAAAAGGAAGAATTTTGCCAGAAGAAAACAAAACACAGATAGGACTTACCGGCCCCATGAAACTCCAAACCCAGAAGGCCAGTCATTCAATCCTACAGCTCCAAAATCACCCTTTTTGAAACCTTGTCCCACATCCACGGCACAGGGGTGTGTGAGGGCTGGGCTCCCAAGGCCTTGGGCAGCTTGACACCTATGGCTTTGCAGGGTTTATGCCCCATGGCTGTCCTCATGGGCTGGGCTGGTATTGAGTGCCTGTGACTTTTCCACATTGAGGATACAAGTTGTTGGCGGGGGGTGGGGGGGTCTATGAATCTGGGATCTGCATTATGGTGACCTCCAGTGTGGGGGCTCCAACCCCATATTTTCCTTCCGCACTGCCCTAGTAGAAGTTTCATATAAGGCTGTGCCTTTTTGGGATGCTTTTGCCTGGACACCCAGGCATTTGCATACATCTTCCAAAATCTATAGAGAGGATCCCAAGCCTCTAGTCTCATGCTCCATCCACCAGTGACTTAACACTGTGAGGAAGTTACCAAGGCTTCTAGTCTGTACCATCTGTAGCTTGGGTCACCCAAGCTGTGCCTGTGCATCTTTCAGCCATGGCTGGAGCTGGAGCTGGAGCTGGAGCTGGAGCTGCAGGTATGCAGGCAGCAGTATCCTGAGGCTGCATATAAAGGGGGGTCATGGAACTGGCCCAGAAAACCATTCTTCTCTCCTAGGCCCCAGGGCCTGTAGAGCAAGGGCTTCTGCAAAGGTCTCTGAAAGGCCTTCAAGGCCTTTTCCTTATTGTCTTGCCTATTAGCACTGGGCTCCTTCTCGTGCAAGTTTCTGAAGCCTTCCTCAATTTTCCCCCGGAAAATCAGCTTTTCTTTTTGACTACTTGGCAGGGCTGCAAATTTTCCAAATTTTTTAGTTCTGTTTCTCATTTAATGTACGAGTTGTGACTCATTTAATGTAAGTCCCATCAAGAGGTCATTTCCTCCATCACACATAAGAGCACAGGCTGTTCCATGGAGACAGGACACCTCTTGAGCTTTGCTGCCCAGAAGTTCATTCCACCAGATACTCAGTAAGTCATCACCCTCAAGCTCAAAGTTTCACAAATCTCCAGGGCAGGGTCACTGTGCAGCCACATTCTTTGCTAGGGCAAAACAAAAGTAACTTTGGCTTCTGTTCCCATTAAGTTCCTCATTTTCATCTGAGACCTTCTAAGTCTAGCTTTCACTGACCATTTTCCCGTGAGCCTTCTGATCACAAGTATTTAACAATTCTTTACAAAGATCCAAACTTTCCCTCATCTTCTTGTCTTGGAAGCCCTCCAAACTCTCCCGAACTCTGTCTGCTATCCCCTTCTGAATCTGCTTCTACATTATCAGCTATCTTTGCCGCAGCCTGGCAGTGTGGTAAAGGAAGACAAGTCCATTTTCAGGGGGAAAATTCAAGAAGGCTTCAGATACTTGAATGAAAAGAAGCTGAGTGCCGATTGCCAAGACAATAGGGAAAAGGCCTTGAAGACATTTAATAGTTCCACTTTGCACTACTAATTTTCTCTAGAATCATAAAGGAAAGATGTTTAATTGGCTCATGATTCTGTAGGCTGTAAGGAGGCCTAGTGGCTTCTGAATCTGGGAGGACTCAGGTAGCCGCCCAATCATACCAGGATGTCGAGGGGCAATGAGATGATTCATGTGGCAGGAGGAGGAGCAAGACAGAGAGAAGAAAAAGGTGCCATGCCCTATTATACAACCAGATATCATGAAAACTCACTATCACAAGGTCAGCATCATGAAGATGGTGCTTAATCATTGCTGAAGGATCAACCACTCACCCCCAACTCCCACTGTTTCTAGGCAGAAGCCTGATGCAGAGGCAGAGCCTCTTGAAAAACCTCTACTAGAGAAGTGTGGAAGGAAAATATGGGCTTGGAGCCCCCACACAGATGGCCACCAACCTCCAGACCCCAGATTCATAAGCCCACCAACAGCTCACACCCTCAGTATGGAAAAGCTACAGGCACTCAACACCAGCCCAGCCCATGAGAGCAGTGGCAGGGGCTAAACCCTGCAAAGCCACAGGTGCACTGCCCTAGTAGAGATTTCTCATGAGGCTTTGCCTCTGCAGCAGGCTGCTCCCCCTTCCTACTACCCACCACCCTCACACCATCCTACTGCCAGCCTACTCCTCCCCACCTTAACCAACCCTTTTCCTTCCACCCCAACCCCCTCCAATCCATGATTAAATCATCTTCCCCAGGCCCCACCTTCAACATTTGGAATTACAATTCCACATGAATTTTTACAGGGACACACAGCCAAACCATATTATTCTGACCCTGCTATCCCAGAATCTCATGTCCTTATCACAGAGTAAAATACAATCATGCCTTTTCAAAAGTTCAATAGCTCCACTTTGCAGTACCAATTTTCTCTATGATCATAAAGAAAAGAGGTTTAATTGTTAATGATTCTGCAGGCTGTAAGGAAGCACAGTGGCTTCTCCATCTGAGAGGACTCAGGAAGCCTCCCAATCATACCAGAATGTCAAGGGGCAATGAGATGTCTCATATGGTAGAAGTAGGAGCAAGAACACGAGAGGAAAAAAGATGTCACACCCTATTATACAACCAGATCTCAGAGAACTCCCTATCACAAGGTCAGCATCATGAAGATGGTGCCTAAACATTAGTGAAGGATATGACCCACACCCCAACTCCCACTGTTACCAGGCAGAAGCCTCCAGCAGATGAAGAGCCTCTTGGAAAACTTCTATTATGGAAGTACAGAAAGAAAATATGGGCTTGGAGCCCCCACACAGGTGGCCACCAATCTCCAGACCCCAGATTCACGGACCCACCAACAGCTTGTACCCTCAGTGTGGAAAAGCTACAGGCCCTTAATACCAACCAGCCCATGAGAACAGCTGAGGGGCTAAACACTGCAAAGCCACAGGTGCACTGCCCTAGTAGAGGCTTTCCATGAGCCTCTCACTCTGCAGCAGGCTACTCCCCCTTCCTACTACCACCCACCCTCCCACCACCCTACTGCCAACCCACTCCTCCCAATCCTACCCATCCCTTTTGCCTTCCACCACCACCAACTTCCTGTCCATAATTAAGTCACCCGCTTCAACATTAGGGATTACAATTCCACATGAGATTCATAGGGACACACAGCAAAACCATATTATTCTGACTCTGATATCCCAGAATCTTATGTCCTTATCACAGAGCAAAATGCAATCATGACTTTTCAAAAGTTTCCAAAAGTGTTAACTCATTCCAAATGTAAAAAATTCAAAGTCTCACCTGAGACAAGGCTACAGTCCCTTCTGCCTATGAGTCCCTGAATTTAAAACAGACTTCTTTTCTTTCAAGGTAAAATGATGGTATGGGCATTGGGTAAGCTTTCTCAGTCCAAAGGGAAGAAATTTCCCAGAAAAATAACACAAATGGGCCCACAGGCCCAATGCAAGTCCAAAACCCAGCAGGACAGTATTCACTCAATCTCACAGCTGCAAAAGTCATCAAGAGAACTCACTGTCATGTGAACAGCATTAAGGAGATACTGTTTAAACATTTGTGAATGATCGGCCCCCCCACCCTCATCTTTCACCCCCACCCACAAAATAATCTCCCCCATTCTCCTCACACCCCTACCTCCAACCCCCACTCTTCTCCATGATTAAATCACCTCCCACTGGGACCCACCTTTAACATTCACCAATACAATTCCACATGAGTTTGGTAGGGATGCAGAGCCAAATCCTATTATTATGACCCTGACCCCCTCATATCTCATGTTGTTCTCACACTGCAAAATACAATGATGCCTTCTCTACTGTTTCCCAATGTCTTAACTCATTCCAGCATTTACTCAAACGTCCAAAGCCCAAAGTCTCAGAATTCTGAGACAAGGCTGCCATCCCTTCTGTCCCTGAGCCTCTGAAATACAAAGCAAGTTAAGTACTTCCAAGGTACAATGATTGTGTACAGGTATTGGGTAAGCATTCCCAGCCAAAAGGAAGAAATTTGCCAGAAAGAAGCACAAAACACAGATGGGACTAAAAGACCCCACGCAAGTCAAAAACCCAGCAGGCCAGTCATTGAACCCAACAGCTCCAAATCACTTTTTTTTAAATCCAGATCCCACATCCAGAGCACAGTGGTGAGCCCTGGGCTCCCAAGGCCTTGGGCAGCTCTGCACCTGTGGCTTTGCAGGGTCTAACCCCCACAATTGCACTCATGGGCTGGGCTGGTGCTGAGTACCTGTAGCTTATCCACAATGAGGGTCCAAGTTGTTAGTGAGTCTATGAATCTGGTGTTTGCAGAATGGTGCTCCCTGTGTGGGGATTCCAACCCTATATATTCCTTCTGTACTGCCCTTGTAAAGGATTCCCATGAGGCTCTGCCTCTTGGAAAAGTTTCGACCTGGACACCGAGGTTTTTCTGTAAATACTCTGGAGTCTACATGAAGGATTCCGAGCCTCTAGTCTTGGTCTTTGTGTACCTGCTCGCTTAACACTATGTGGAAGCCACCAAGGCTTGTAGATTGCACCCTCTGAAGCAGTGACTCAAGCTGTATCTGTGCATCTTTCAGCCATGGCTGGAGCTAGAGCTTCAGGAACGCAGCCAGCAGTGTCCTGAGGATGGACACAGCAGCAGGGCAATGGGGCTGGAGAAGGAAACCATTCTTTTCTCCCAGGCCTCGGGGCCTGTGACAGCAAGGGTTGCTGCAAAAGTCTCTGAAATGCCTTCAAGACCTTTTTAACATTGTATTGGCTATTAGCACTGAACTCCATTTTATGCAAATTTCTGAAATCTTCTTGAACTTTCCCATTGCTAATCAGCTTTTCTTTCTGACCATTTGGCCAACCTGCAAACTTCCCAAACTTTTAAGCTCTCCTTCTCATTTAAATGTAAGTTTCACCTTGAGGTCATTTCTTTGGTCACATGTAAGACCACAGGCTGTTCGACACAGACAGGACACCTCTTGAGCTTTGCTGCCTAAAAGTTCATTCCACCAGATACACTCTAAATCATCACCCTCAAGTTCAAAGTTTCACAGGTCTCCAGGTTAGGAGCATCATGCAGTCACGTTCTTTGCTAAGGCAAAACGAAAGTGACCTTGGCTCCTGGTCCCAGCAAGCTCCTCATTTTCATGTGAGACCTTCTAAGCCTGGCCATCACTGTCCATCCTTCTGTCATCTTTTTAATTATAACTATTTAACAAGTCTCTACACTGGTCCAAACTTTTCCACATCTTCCTGTCTTCTTCCAAGACCTCCAAACTCTCCAACCTCTGGCTGTTACACACTTGTCAACCTGCTTCTACATTTTCAGCTACGTTTGTTGCAGCCTGGCATGTGGTAAAAGAAGAAAAGTCCATTTCAGGAGAAAAATTCATACAGGTTTCAGATATTTGTCTGAAAAGAAGCTGAGTACTGATTACCAAGACAATAGGGAAAAGGCCTTGAAGGCATTTCATAGCTCTACTTCACAGCACAAATTTTCTGTATAATCAGAAAGAAAAGAGGTTGAACTGGCTCATGGTTCTGAAAGCTTTAAATAAATCACAGAGGCTTCTGCTTCTGCGAGGACCCAGGAAGCCTCCCAATCATACCAGAAGACCAAGCAGCAATGCTATGTTTTATATGGCAGAAGTGGAAACAAGACAGAGAGAGGAAAAAGATGCCACACCCTATTATACAACCAGATTTCCTGAGAACTACGTATCACAAGGTCAGCATCAAGAAGATGATGCTTAACCATTGGTGAAAGATCTGCCCCCACCACCCCCACCCCCCACTGTTTCCAAGCAGAAGCCTGAGGCAGAGGCAGAGCCTCTTGGAAAACCTCTACTAGGGCAGTGCAGGAAAAAAAAAAAAAAAAGAAAAAAAAAAACCAAGGGCTTGGAGGGCCCACGCAGGAGGTTTCCATCCTCCAGACCCCAGATTCATAAGCACACCAATAGCTTGCATTCTCAGTATGGAAAAGCTACAGGCACTCAACACCAGCCCAGCCCATGAAAGCAGCCATGGGGGCTAAACCCTGCAAAGCCACAGGTGCACTGCCCTAGTAGAGGTTTTCCATAAGCCTCTGCCTCTGCAGCAGGCTACTCCCCCTTTCTATTGCCTACCACCCTCTCACCACCCTACTGCCAGCCTACTCCTCCCCACCCTACCCACTGGTTTTTCCTTCCACCACTATCAACCTCCCATTTATGATTAAATCACCTCCCACCAGGCCCCACCTCCAACATTCAGGAATACAATTCCCCATGAGTTTTTTTGGGAAACACAGTGAAACCATATTATTCTGACCCTGACACCCCCAAATCTCATGTCCTTCTAACAGAGAAAAATACAAACATGTCTTTTCAAAAGTTTCCAAAAGTCTTAACTCATTCCAGCAGTAACTCAAATGCGGTAAGTTCAAGTCTCATTCAAGACAAGGCTGCCATCCCTTCTGCCTATGAGTCCCTGAATGTAAAAGGGCGTTCTTTTCCTTCAAGTTACAATGATGTACAGGCACTGGGTAAGATTTCTCAATCCAAAGGGAAGATTTTCCCAGAAAAAAAAACACAACTGTGACACAGGCCCAATGCGAGTCCAAAACCCAGCAGGACAGCATTCATTTATCATGAGAACTCACTATCACACAGACTGCATTAAGGAGATGGTATTTAACCATCTGTGAAGGATCTGCCAACCACATTGTCCATCATGATTAAATCACCTTCTACCGAGCCCCACGTTTAACATTCCTCATTACAATTCCACATGAGTTTTGGTAGGGACACAGAGCCAAATCATATTATTCTCCCCTTGCCCCCCTCCCCAATCTCATGTCCTTCTCACACTGCAAAATACAATGATGCGTTCTCTACAGTCCCCCAATGTCTTAACTCATTCCAGCATTTACGTAAATGTCCAAAGCCCAAAGTCTCTTCTGAGACAAGGCTGTCATCCCTTCTGCCCCTGAGCCTCTGAAATACAAAGCAAGTTAAGTACTTCCAAGGTACAATGATTGTACAGGCATTGGGTAAGCATTCCAAGCCAAAAAGAAGAAATTTGCCAAAAAGCACAAAATACAGATGGGACTTACAGACCCCATGCAAGTCAAAAACCCAGCAGGCCAGTCATTCCATCCTACAGCTCCAAATCATCTTTTTGGAATCTATGTTCACATCCAGAGCACAGGGTGCTGTGATGGCTGGGATCCCAAGGCCTTGGGCAGCTCTGCACCTGTGGCATTGCAGAAACTTTCCCCTACAACTGCCCTCATGGGCTGGGCTGGTGTTGAGTGCCTGTAGTTTTCAACACTAAGGGTGCAAGCAGTTGGTGGGTCTACAAAACTGGGGTCTAGAAAATGGCACATCCCGGTATGGGGACTCCAACCCTATACTCTTCTTCTGTACTGCCTGAGTAGAGGTTTACCATGAGGCTCTGCCTCTTGGAAGAGCTTCGGGCTGGACACTCAGGCTTTCTGATACATCCTCTAGAGTCTAGATGCAGGCTCTGAAGCCTCTAGTCCTGTGCTCTGTGCACCTGCTGGCTTAACACTATGTGGAAGCCACCAATGCTTGGAGCTTGCATCCTCTGAAGCAGTGATGCAAGCTGTACCTGTGCATCTTTCAGCCATGGCTGGAGCTGGAGCTGGAGCTGCAGGGATGCAGGCAGCAGTGTCCTGAGGCTGCACACAGGAAACCATTCCTTTCTCCTAAGCCCCAGGGCCAGTGACAGCAAGGCTGCTACAAAGGTCTCTGAAATACCTGCAAGGCCTTTTTCCCATTGTCTTGAATTATTAGCACTGGACTCCTTTTTATGCAAATATCCAAAGCCTTCTTGATTTTCCCCCTGAAAATCAGCTTTTCTTTTTCACCATTTGGCCAGGTTGCAAATTTTCCAAACGTTTAAGCTGTGCTTTTCATTTAAATGTAAGTTCCAACTTATGGTCATTTCTTTGATCACATGTAAGAGCACAGGCTATTCAATGTATGCAGGACAACTCTTGAGCTTTGCTGTTTAGAAGTTCATTCCACCAGATACACCCTAAATCACCACTCTCAAGTTCAAAGTTTCACAGAGCTCCCTGGAAGGGTCGCTGTGTAGCCAATTACTTTGCTAAGACAAAACAAAAATCCTTGGCTCCTGTCCCCAGTAAGTTCCTCATTTTCATCTGAGACCTTCTAAGCCTGGCCTTCACTCTCCATCCTTCTGTCAGCCTTTTAATCACGACTATTTAACAAGTCTCTGCAATGGTCCTAACTTTCCCTCATCTTCCTGTCTTCTTCCAAGCTCTCCAAACTCTCTAACCTCTGGCCATTACCCAATTCGGAACCTGCTTCTACATTGTCAGCTATCTTTGTCGCAGCCTGGCAATGTGGTAAAAGAAGAAAAGTCCATTATCAGGGGAAACTTCAAGAAGGCCTCCAATATTTGCATTTAAAAAAGCCCAGTGCTAATAGCCAAAAGATTCAGGGAAAAGCCTAGAAGGCATTTCATAGCTTCACTTTGCAGCATTAATTTTCTGTATGTACATAAAGAAAAGAGGTTTAATTAACTCACAGTTCTTCAGGCTGTAAAGAAAACATAGTGGTTTCTGCTGCTTGGAGGACTCAGGAAGCCTTCCAATCATACCAGAAGGCCAAGAGGCAATGAAATGTTTCATATGGCAGGAGCAGAAGCAAGACAGAGAGAGGAAAGAAGGGCCATATCCTGTTATACAACTAGATCTCATGAGAGCTCACTATGAGGAGATCAGCATCAAGAAGATGGTGCTTAACTATTGGTGAAGGATCCGCCCCCCACCCCATATCCACCCCCGACTGTTTCCAAGCAGAAACCTGAGGCAGAGGCAGAGCCTCTTGGAAAACCTCTACTAGGGCAGTGAGAAGGAAAATATGGGTTTGGAGCCCCCACACAGGATACCACCATCCTCCAGATCCCAGATTCATAGACCCACCAACAGCTCCCAAATTCAGTATGGAAAAGCTACAGGCACTCAACACCAGCCCAGCCCATGAGAGCAGCCATGGGGGCTAAAGCCTGCAAAACCACAGGTGCACTGCCCTAGTAGACTTTCCATGAGCCTCTGCCTCTGCAGCAGGCTACTCCCCTCCCACTACACGCCACCCTACAGCCAGCCTACTCCTCCCCACCTAACCCACCTCTTTGTACTTCCAGCCCCACCCCTCTCCCATCCATGAATAAATCACCTCCCACGAGGCCCCACCTGCAACATTCGGGATTACAATTCCACATGAGTTTAGGTAGGGATACACAGCTAAACCATATTATTCTGACCTTGATCCCCTGAATATCATATCCTTCTCACAGAGTAAAATACAATCATGCCTTTTCAAAAGTTGGCAAAAGTCTTAAGTCATTTCAGCATTAACTCAAATGTAAAAAGTTCAAGATCTCAGTTGAGAAAAGGCTACAGTCCCTTTTGCCTATAAGTCCCTGAATTTAAAAGGGAGTTCTTTTAAGGTATGATGATGGTAGAGGCATTGGGTAAGTTTTCTCAATCCAAAGGGTAAAGGGTTACCAGGAAAATAACACAAATGAGATCACAGGGCCAATGCAATGGATACCCAGGAAGCCAGTATCCATTCAATCTTACAGCTCCAAAACCATCACGAGAACTCACCATCATGAGGAAAGCATTAAGGAGATGGTGCTTAACCATTTGTGAGGGATCACCCCCACCCCCACCTCTCACCCCTCTCCCCCACCATAATCCCCCCATTCTCCCCAATCCAAACCTTCTAACACCCACCACCCTCCATGATTAAATCACCTTCCACCTGGCCCCACTTTTAACATTTTGATTACAATTCCACATGAGTTTCTGTAGGGATACACAACCAAATCTTATTATTCTCTCCCTGCCTCCCCAAATCTCATGTCCTTCTCACTTTGCAAAATACAGTGATGCCTTACCTGCCATTTCCCCAAGCCACTATGCTTTTTTTACAGCCTGCAGAACCATGAGCCAATTAAACTCCTTTTTGTTATGATCATACAGAAAATTAGTACTGTGAAGTGAAGCTATGAAATGCCTTCAGTGACTTTTCCCCATCGTCTTGGCTAAGACCCCCAAGGTCTTAACTCATTCCAGCATTTACTCAAATGTCTGAAGCCCAAAGTCTCATCTGAGACAAAGCTGCAGTCTCTTCTGCCCCTGAGCCTCTGAAATACAAAGTAAGTTAACTACTTCCAAGGTACAACTGTCCAGGCATTGAGTAAGAATCCCCAGCCAAAAGGAAGATTTTCACCAGATAGAAGAATAAAATACAAGTGGGACTTACAGGTCCCATGAAAATCCAAAACCCAGCAGGCCAGTTTTTCAAACCTACAGCTCCAAAGTCATCCTTTTTAAATCCTTGTCCCACATCCAGGGCACAAGGGTGTGAGGGCTGGGCTCCCAAGGCCTTGGGCAGCTCTGCACCTGTGGCTTTGCAGTGTTCAGCCCCCGCAGCTGCCCTCATGGGCTGTGCTGGTGTTGAGTGCCTGGAGTTTTTAACCCATGGAGGGTATGAAACTTTTGTTGGGTCTATGAATCTGGGATCTGCACGATGGTGGCCTCCAGTGTGGGGGCTCCAACCTCATATTTTCTTTCTGCACTGCCCTAGTAGAGGTTTCCCATGAGACTCTGCCTCTTGGGCAGCCTTCTGTCTGGACACCCAGGCATTTTCATACATCTTCCGAAATCTATATGGAGGCTCCCAAGTCTCTGGACTAGTGCTCCGTGCACCCACTGGCTTAACACTATATAGAAGTCACCAAGGCCTATAGCTTGCACCCTCTGAAGCAGTGACCCAAGCTGTACCTGTACATCTTTCAGCCAAGGTCAGAGCAGGAGCTGGGGCTGCTGGGATGCAGGCAGCAGTGTCCTGAGGCTGCACACAGCAGCAGGGCCATGGGGCTGGCCCAGGAAACCATTCTTCTCTCCTAAGTCCCAGGGCTTGTGACAGCAAGGGCTGCTGCAAACATCTCTGAAATGCCTCCAAGGCTTTTCCCCACATTGTCTTGGCTATTAGCACTGGCCTCCATTTTATGCAAATTTCTGGAGGCTTCATGAATTTTCCCCCTGAAAATCAGCTTTTCTCTTTGACCACTTGGCCAGGCTGCAAATGTTCCAAACTTTTGAGCTCTGCTTGCCATTTAAATAGAAATTCCAACTTGAGGTCATTTCCTCAGTCACACATAAGAGCACAGGCTGTTTGATGCAGACAGGATCCCTCTTGTGCTATGGTGCCTAGAAGTTCATTCCACCAGATATGCACTAAATTATCACCCTCAAGTTCAAAGTTTCACAGATCTTAAGGGCAAGATCGCCCTGCAGCCACGTTCTTTGCTACAGCAAAACAAAAGTAACCTTGGCTCCTGTTCCCAGTAAGTTCCTCATTTTCATCTGAGACCTTGTAAGCCTGACCTTCACTGTCCTTCCTTCTGTCAGCATTTTAATCAAAACTATTTAACAAGTCTCTACAATGGTCCAAACTTTCCCTCATCTTCCTGTCTTTTTTCAAGCTCTCCAAACTCTCCAACCTCTGGCTGTTACCCACTTCTGAAACTGCTTTACACTTTCAGCTATCTTTGTTGCAGTTTGGCACTCCTGCCTTTCACGCGTAAACCCAAAAACAATCCCCCCCAACTCTCCCCACCCCCTTAATACCCTCCACTCTCCCCCAGGGGAAACTTCAAGAAGGCTTCAGATATTTGCGTTAAAAAGAAGCCCAGTGCTGATAGCCAAGACAATGGGGAAAAGTCCTTGAAGATATTTCATAGCTCCACTTTGCAGTACTTATTTTCTGTGTGGTAATAATGAAAAGGGGATTCATTGGCTCATGGGTCTGCAGGCTGTAAAGAAAGCATGGTGGCTTCTGCTTCTGGGAAGACTCAGGAAACCTCCCAATCATACCAGAAGGAAAGCAGCAATGAAATGTTTCATACAGCATGAGTAGGAGAAAGACTGAGAGAGGAAAGAGGCATCACAGCCTGTTATACAACCAGATCTCCTGAGAACTCACTGTCACTAGGTCAGCATCAAGAAGATGGTGCTTAACCATTGGTGAAGGAGCCACCCCACAACACACCTCCACCCCCTATTGTTTCCAGACAGAAGCCTGCTGCAGAGACAGAGCCTCTTGGAAATCCTGTTCTATGGCAGTGCAGAAGGAAAACAAGGGCTTTGAGTTGCTATGCAGGAGGCCACCATCCTCTAGACCCCAGATTCATAGACCTACCAACAGTTCGCAGCCTCAGTATGGAAAAGCTATAGGCACTCAATACCAGCCCAGGCCATAAGGGCAGCCATGGGGGCTAAAGCCTGCAAAGCCACAGGTGCACTGGCCTGGTAGAGGTTTTCCATCAGCCTCTGCCTCTGCAGCATGCTACTCCCCCTTCCTACTACGCACCACCCTCCCACCACCCTACAGCCGGCCTACTGTTCCCCACCCTACCCAACCCTTTTTTCTCCCACCCCCACACCTCCCATCCATGATTAAATAATCTCCCACCAGGCCCCACCTCCAACATTTGGGATTATAATTCCACGTGTTTTTCTAGAGGCACACAGCCAAATCATATTATGCTGACCCTGATCCCCCCAAATCTCATGCACTCCTCACACAGTAAAATACAATCATGCCTTTTCAAAAGTTTCCAAAAGCCTTAACTCATTCTCGCATTAACTCAGATGTGAAAAGTTAAGTCTCATCTGAGACAAGGCTACAGTCTCTTCTGCCTATGAGTCCCTGAAGTTAAAATGGCATTCATTTATTTCGAGGTACAATGATGGTACAGGTATTGGGTAAGTTTTCTCAATCCAAAGGGAAGAAATTTCCAAGAAAAATAACACAAGTGGAACCATAGGCCCAATGCACACCCAAAACCCAGCAGGACAGTGTTCATTCAATCTCACAGCTCCAAAATCATGAAGAGAACTCACTCTCAGAAGGGCAGCATTAAGGAGATGGTGTTTAATCATTTGTGAAGGATCCACCCCCACTCCCACCTTTTACCCATAACCCCAACCAAACACAATCCCTCCCAACTCTTCCCACCCCCCCCAATACCCTCCAACTCTCCCCATCCCTCCCATCCAACCTCCACTCTCCACCATGATTAAATCACCTTCCACCAGCCCCCACCTTTAACATTCCCCATTAAAATTCCACATGAGTTTTGGGAGAGACACAGAGCCAAATCATATTACTCTGTCCCGGGTCCCCCAAATCTCATGTCTTTCTCACATTGCAAAATACAATGATGCCTTCCCTACAGTCCCCCAAATCTTAACACACTCCAGCATTTACTGAAATGTCCAAAGCCCAAAGTCTTATCTGAGACAAGTCTACAGTCCCTTCTGCCATGAGTCTCTGAATTATAAAGCAACTTAACTACTTCCAAAGTACAATGATTGTACAAGCAATGGGTAAGCATTCTCAACCAATAGAAAAAAAAATTGCTAGAAAGAAGCACAAAACACAGATGGGACTCATAGGATACATAAATGTCCAAAACCCAGCAGGCCAGTCACTCAATCCTACAGCTCCAGAATCATCCTTTTTGAAACCCTGTCCCAAATCCATGGCACAGGGGTGTGAGGGCTGGGCTCCCAAGGCCTTGGGCAGATCTGCACCTGTGGCTTTGCAGTGTTCAGCCCCTGCAGCTGCCCTGATGGACAGGGCTGGTGTTGAGTGCCTGTAGCTTTTCCATACTGAGGGTGCAAGCTGTTTGTGGGTCTATGAATCTGGGGTTTGGAGAATGATGCCTCCCTGTGTGGGGGCTTCAATCCTATATGTCCCTTCTTTGTTCCCCTAGTAGAGGTTTCCCAAGAGGCCCTGCCTCTTGGAAAAGCTTCTTTCCTGGACATCCAGGCATTTCTGTGCATCTTCTGGAGTCTAGACAGAGGCTCCCAAGCCTCTAGTCTCTTACTCTGTGCACCTGCTGGCTTATCATTATATGGAAACCATCAAGGCTTGGAGCCACCTCTGAAGCAGTAACCCAAGCTGTACCTGTGCATCTTTGAGCCATGGCTGGAGGTGGAGCTGCAGGAATGCAGCCAGCAGTGTCCTGAGGGTGCACAGAGCAATGAGGCCATGAAGCTTCCCCAGGAAACCATTTTTCTCTGCCAGGCCCTAGGGCCTGTGACAGCAAGGGCTGCTGCAGAGGAACCTGAAATGCCTTCAAGGCCTTTTTCCCATTGTCTTGGCTATTTGTACTGGGCTTGTTTTTATACAGATACCCTAAGCCGTCTTGAATTTTCCCCCTGAAAATCAGCTTTTCTTTTTGACGACTTGGCCAGGCTGCAGATTTTGCAAACTTTAGGTCTCCACTTCTCATTGAAATAGAAGTTCCAACTTGAAATCATTTCTTAGGTCACACATAAGAACACAGGCTGTGCAATGCAGGCAGGACACCTCTTGTGCTTTGCTGCCTAGATATTCATTCCACCAGATACATCCTAAATCATCACCCCCAAGTTCATAGTTTCACAGATCTCCAGGGCAGGGTCACCGTGCAGCCACGTTCTTTGCTAAGGCCAATCAAATGTAACCTTGGCTCCTGTTCACAGGAAATTCCTAATTTTCATCTGAGACCTTTTAAGTCTGGACTTCAGTGTTTATCCTTCTGTCAGCCTTCTGATCGCAAGTATTTAACAATCCTCTACAGTGGTCAAATTTTCCTCATCTTGCTGTCTTCCAAGCTTTCCCAATTCTCCTGACCTCTGTCTTTTACCCACTTCTGAACCTGCTTCTACACTGTCAGCTATCTTTATCACAACCTGGCAGTGTGGTAAAAGAAGAAAAGTCCACTTTCAGGGAGAAAATTCATGAAGGCTTCAGTTATTTGCATGAAAAGGAGCTGAGTGCTGGTTGCCAAGAAAAGGGGAAAGGCCCTTGAAGGCACTTCATAGCTCCACTTCATAGCACTAATTTTCTCTATGATCATAAAGAAAAGAGGTTTAACTGGCTCATGGTTCAGCAGGCTGTAAAGGAGGCATAGCAGCTTCTGCTTCTGGGAAGTCTCAGGAAGCCTCACAACCATACCAGAAGGCCAAGGGGCAAGGAGATGTTTCATATGGCTGGAGTAGAAGCAAGACTGAGAGAGGAAAGAGGTGCCACACCTTGTTATGCAACCAGATCTCATGAAAATGCACTGTCACTAGGTCAGCATCAAGAAGATGGTGCTTAACCATTGGTGAAGGATCTGCCTCCCACCCCCACCTCCCACTGTTTCCAAGCAGCAGCCTGCTGCAGACACAGAGTTCTTGGGAAACCTCTACTAGGGCACTGCAGAAGGAAAATACGGACTTGGAGCCCCCACATCGCGGGCTACCACCCTCCAGATCCCAGATTCAGAGACCCACCAACAGCTTGCACCCTCAGTGTGGAAAAGCTACAGGCACTCAACACTGGTCCAGTCCATGAGAGCAGCCATGGGGGCTCAAACCTGCAAAGCCACAGGTGCACTGCCCTAGTAATGGTTTTCCATGAGGCTCTGCCTCTGCAGCAGGCTACTCCCCCTTCCTACTACCCACCACCCTCCCACCACCCTACAGCCAGCCTACTCATTCCCACCCTACCCACCCCTTTTTCCGTCCACACCCACCCCTGCCCATCCATGATTAAATCACTTCCTCCCACTCCCTCATCTTTCTGTCATGCTCTAATCCCTCCAAACCCTCCCAATCTTTGTTTGCTACCCACTACTGAGCCTGCTTCTACTTTTTCAGGTATCTCTATAGCAGGTTGGCTATGTAGCAATAACACAAAACCCCATTTAAGGGGAAAAATTCAAGAAGACTTCAGAAATTGGCATATAAAGAAGCCCTGTGCTAATAGCCAAGACAAAGGGAAAAAGGCCTTGAAGATATTTCACAGCTCTCTCTGCAGTTCTAATTTTCTGTATTATTGTAAATGAAAGGGGTTTAATTGAATCACGGTTCTGCAAGCTGTGAAGGAAGCATAGTGTCTTCTGTTTCTGGAAGGAATCAAGAAGCCTCCTAATTATACGAGAAGCCAAGACAATGAGATATCTCCTAAGGCAGGAGTAGGAGGAAGACAGAGTGAGGAAAGAGGTTCCACAGCCTTTTGAACAACCAGATCTCATGAGAACTCACTCACTATCAGGAGGACAGCATCAAGGTGATGGTCCTTTATCATTCGTGAAGAATCTACCCATACCCTTTTATAACTAAATCTTTTTCCACCTAGGCCCCACCTCTAACATTAGGGAGTATAATTCCACATGGGTTTTGATAGGGACACAGAGACAAACCATATTATTCTGTCCCTGACCCCATGAACGGCATGTCCTTCTCACATTGCAAAATACAATCATGCCTTGCCAGAGTGAGTCTTAACTCATTTCAGCATTAACTCAAACTTACAAAGTCCAAAGTCTCATCTGAGTCAAGGCTACAGTCTCTTTTTCTTACGAGCCTCTGAAATAAAAAGCAAGTTCACAGCTTCTAACGTATAATGATGGTACAGGCATTGTGTAAGCTTTCCATATTCAAAAGGAAGACATTTTCCAGAAAGCTTCTTATTTCTATCTGAGACCTCCTCAACCTGGCCTTCACTGTCCATGTTTCTGCCAGGATTTTTATCACAACCATTTAACCAGTCTCTAAGATAGTCCAAAAATTTTCTCATCTGTCTTCTTTTGAGCCCTCCAAACTCTTCCAACCTCTGCCCATTACCTAGTTACAAAGCTGCTTCCACATTTTCAGGTATCTTTATAGCAATGCTGCAATCGTCATTTGCCATTTTCTGTTTGATTCATTTTGAAAAAGAGGTTTAATTGGCTCATGGTTCTGCAGGGTTGACAGGAAGCACAGGGCTTCTGATTCTGGGAGGCCTCAGAAATCTTTCAATCTTTGTACAAGGCAAAGAAAGAGTGAGTTGTCTCACATGGCAAGAGGAAAACACGCAGAGTAGGGAGGTGACGTAGAGTTTTCAGTGGTCAGATCTCATGAGAAGTCACTCATGATTGTGAGGATGGTACAAGGGGATGGTGCCGAACCATTCATGAGAAATTTGCCTTCATAAATCAATCGCCTTATACCAGGATCCACCTTCCACATTAGGAAATATAATTAAATATGAGATTTGGTGGGGACACATATTCGAATTGCATCATCAGTCTTTGAGTATAAAGACATGCACAGCAGGCTTTATCCAGCCAACTTATTTGAGACTCTTTACAGGGTTTGTGGTCTATAGCATATACACTAAAATATTCATACTTCAAAAAGCAGTAAAGTGGTATGATCATTCTTCCAAAATTTACAATGGTAGTTTAGGCATTCATGGCATGATTTAGTTCATGTTTGCTACTGTTTCTATTCTATCACCATATTAACTGTGTCCTACACAATTCTGTATTCAGCTGGATTTCAGTTGAGCACAAAACCATACTTGTGCTACCACGGATAGCTGGCACTAGCTCTTTGCTAGTGTTATTATTCTGTGTAGAAGGTATCCTTGAACTGGAAACAGTCCACAATCAAATATCTAGTCATTCAACGCTATCGATTACTGGATGACTTTTTGAAAAATTTGTATCTCTTGTTGCAAGAAATGCTGCATCTGTGATTTCATGTCTCTCATTCAAACTGGATGGAAGTGGTTAATTTCCACTGAAGTGGTGAAAGAATTCCTGTTCCTGTGATTCTGACGTCATCAGCCTCTGCATCGCTGTCTTCCCTTCTGCCACATGTTGCCTGCCCTCCGTGACTTTGGTAAGAACTTCCTTGTGTATGTGGATGATGTTCAGGATGTTGGTCTGGTGTCCCTGAGACAGCACTAACAGGTCCATGACTGGGTCCAGGTCCTGCCTGGGCTGATTGGCAAAGAGCTCACTGACAGTGTTGAAGGCATCTGTGGTGAAGTGGATGGCCTGGTCCAGCTCCAAGGCCTGGCTGAGGCTGAAGAACTGGCAGCTTTCTGATGCTCTTTCTTAAAGCCTGTCACCATCACCTGCTTGCATGTCAACTCATTGGCTGTGAAGTTGAGGTGAGTGCCCTGTTGTCCATCTTCTTAGTGAAGCACTTGAAGCCGTCAACCTTGCTCTCCCACTCCTAAAGTTTGAGTGTCACCCTGGGGGTGGGCTCAGGGCCAGGGAGAATCTGGCACTCACCGTCTCATCCTTCTCAGCCTTCCTCTTGCCCTGCCTCCAGGCTGTCTCTTCAGTGCTGGTGGGGCACATCAGGAAGTGACAAAAGATGTGGCACTAGAAGCTGGTCTAGTGGTTCATCCACCAGATTAGGCCCTTTCTGCACTTGAACATAGAAGCCTCCTCAAGAGGGCCTGTGGTCTGCCT
Source organism: Homo sapiens (assembly GCF_000001405.40). Classification (NCBI taxonomy): domain Eukaryota; kingdom Metazoa; phylum Chordata; class Mammalia; order Primates; family Hominidae; genus Homo; species Homo sapiens. The sequence goes on from NC_000002.12 coordinate 94,787,256, forward strand.
CTTGGCACCCAAGAAGCCCACAGTGCTGTAGGAGCCCTGATGCATGGACTGGAGCCCCAAAGGCAGCGCACACCCTGCTCCTGAACCTGCTGCTCATTTCCTATATGTGGCTCCATTTGCAGCACAGTTGTTGCACTGAGGCCTGTGCATGCCAGGCAAGGCCAAGCTGGCTCAAAGAGCAACCAGCCACCTCTGCAAGGGTGTGCCAGGAGCAGGTGGACCAGCCACCAACCTCACTTGCTGCCAGTCAGGGTAAATCAGTTATTCTGCCCTAGAGGTAGGGCCCCAGTGCCATCTGCTTTTCCTCAGGCCTCTACTCCATCAGCTGTCAGGTGGTGGTCACTCAGGCTGTGGGAACCTGGCCATCCCTGTTTCCTTGAGTGGGTGAGGTTGGTGGCTGGTCCACCTGCTCTTGGCACACCCTTGCAGAGGTGGCCAGTTGCTCTTTAAGTCAGCTTGGACTTACCTGGCATGCACAGGCCCCGGGTACTGACAAGCTGCTCCGAGTGAGCTTGTCTTGTCTTGGGCCAAATTCTAAGTCTGGCCAGGGCCACAGAAGGCTGAGTCCCCTGGGTGGTAATCCTGGCTGCTGCAGGGAGGCCCATGGTGCTCCTCCCCTCCCAGGACTCAGGATGAGGTTCAACTGGGACAGGACCCTTTAGGTATGGGACTTGTGCCCCAGGAGGGGGCCTCTGTCACACAGGTTGGCTAAGATGTATGGCATGCTTCTGGCTTCCAGGGATGTTGGGATGACACATTCACCCTTCCCTCCAGGGACCTCAAAATGACCAGCTTCCCCTTTGAGAATGACTTCCCAAGGCCTAGGAGCCATCTGGGGCTGCAGGGCAGCTGGCCGCATGCTGCCCTGGCTTCTTCCATGTTGTGCTGGTCACTCCCACCAAGGGGGGTCAGATGCAGGCACCATGAAGGGTGGTTGTCTCTGGACCTGCTTCTTGGTTATCATGGAGCTGGACTGGGCCTGGGTGAGAGGGCCTGATGGGGTTGTCCTGGGTCATCACGGGGGTGATCAGAAAAGATGCAGAATGGAATTGCTGCGAGGATGAATGAGATGACTGTCAGCACAGAATAGGCACCCAGTGAGTGTTCAGGGATTACCCTCAGCAGCTGCCCAGAGGCCAAAACCACCCACCTGATAGCGACTGTCCCCAAGCCAGGAGAAAAAGAAGAGAGCAGGTCCCACTCACCTGAGTCTGATCAGTCAGCTGTGTTGAGATGTGCCTCTCACCTAGAAAATGGTCCTTCACGCAGAGCCACTCACAGACACGGCTGTGTGTCTCTAACTGCTCCACAACACAGAGGCGATGGGGGCTTAGCAACAGTGACATTGTGGGGTGACACAACCCACCACAATGGGAGCCTGCATGGGTCAACAGGGCCCAGAGTCAATGTCCTCTATCCCCTGAACTGACATGTGTGGATGCAGTGTGTTTGTGCATGTGTGTGTGCCTGTATATGTGTGCACTTATGTGTGTGTTTCTCCTGCTTCTCTGGCCAGGCCTAGCTTCTCCACTCACGGGTGCACCCAGGTCATCACTGAGGGCTCATGGCCAGCATTAGAGCTTCTATAGGTGTTCCCCAATCTCTGCCTTCCCCACCCATGGTGGTCCTGGGGATGCAGACAGAGGAGGGGCACCAGGCACAGCAGAGAGGGCTGGCACCACCTCTAGGTGAAACACAGGTCATGTGTAAAGTTGTAGGTCGGCCAAGCAGTGCTGGATTCGACACATCTTCTCACCTTCTCTTTCCAGCCACCCTCCAAGGTGCCCTGACTCACCTTCTCTGCAGATGGAGGCAAGGAGACTCCACAGACAAACCCCCTGCCTGAGGCCACACAGTGGCCAGCTGGCCAGGTTCCTACTGATCAGCCGCCCAGGACCAGGTTCCCACTGATGAGGCCTCTAATGACCACTCCTCCATTTACCAGTTCCCACTGACCAAGTCCCCACTGACTATGTCTTCCTAACCAGGCTCACACTTAATAGGCCTCATAGGCCAGACCTCATTGACCAATTTCCCACTGACCTGGTCCCCACTGACCAGGTTCCCACTGACAAGACCGCAATTTACCAGGTTGCTGCTCACCTGACCCCCACTGAACAATTTTCCATGGATCAGTCCCCAGCTGACCGAGCCCCCTCTGACCAGGCCCTCACTGACCAGGCTCCAAGCCACTAAGGCCCAACACTGACCAGGCACCTAGTATACTGTATAGGCCCCACCAACCAGTTTTTCATTGTTTATGTTCCAACCCATCAGGCCTCACTAAGAAGACCACCACTGACCAGGTCCCCATGGACCAGGCTTCCAATGACTAGGTCACCAGGTCCCCACTGATGAGGCCTTTACTGAGGAGGCCACAACTAACCAGGTCCCAACTGACTAGGTCCTGATGACCAGGCCCCCTGACCATGGTCCACTGACCAGGCCCCTGAGCAGCGTGCTCAAAGTCTCATTACAATGCCCCCCTCAGCCCACAGACCATCCCTCCCTGTATGTGTGCCCAGAGGTCAGGCCCTGGGGTTTTTTTTGGGACATGGCTTTTCCTCCAAGACAGAGGGAGAGACAGTTGGCCTCAGGCTCCAGGTGCCCAGCTCCACACTCACCCCAAAAGCCCTCTGGGCCAATCTTAAAGGAGATAGTGAGGTGGCCTGGCACTGCCTGGACATGCCATGTAGCCTATTCCTGAGTGTCAGAGTGGGAGGAAGGCAGGGACATTTGGCAGATGAGACATCTTGTGCTGTTGGGCCTCCCAGGGCCCTTCCCACAGAGACCCGATCTACAGACACAGCACAGAGGCTACAGGAAGACTAATGCAGAACCCTTGAGGCTGAGCCAGGGACCACATGAGGACTGTGCCCAGACAGCCAGAAGGCCCTTTGCTAGTTTCTTGGTACCTCATGGAGGCGGCAGCGGTTCTTCTGTTGGGGACCAGTGAGTATGTGCTGGGGAGGGCTGGCCTGTGCTTCCTCAGTGGCTCCACCTCTGCTTCTAAGAAAAATCACTCATTCCATGGCTGGAGCAGAGAAAATACAAGATGAGCTTAGAACATCTTGTTCCAGAAACTAAAAAAGTGCTGACAGAGTAATAAGGACAAATAAAAAAGACATGAAGTCAGCTTGAAATGTCTACCACTGGCCTAATCTTGGGGAATGGGAGCACCAGAATCATGAGCTTTCCCTTCTCAGTTATTTATTGGTTTTACTTCTCCATGTACAGCAAAGAAGAGAAGAAAATAATCATCTGGCAACCATCATAGTAATAACTGTTCAAACACAAGTCATCCATGAAATGCTAAATCTAGTGGGTTCTGAGGAGTAACTAGATATTTACAGAGCCTCAAAATATCTCCCCACAAAATACGGTTCAACTACAAAAAGAAAATTGTCACATTAGCATGGACAAGCCTGGCAGGTACTCCTTAACTCCCCTAAGCAGTAAAAGCTGTAAAATGCAAAGAAGCCTTCGATGACCTTTACTAAAGTATCAATGATGACTTGGTTGTTTGGCTGTTTAAACAGCTGACATTTGGGCAATTTGAGTACGTCAAACTCAATAATACTGGTGTTCATTTGCAAGATCCACTTAAAATTAAGGAGGCTAAAAAACATCATTTAAATTACCCTATAAATTATCATCATACATGTGATACAAAAACATCCTACTTCAGTAAAGATTGTAATGTTATATATTTTATGAGAAACAATTAAAATGTTGTGTAAATAGCCCAGTAATAAAGTTTTATAATCTTTTAAATAATAAAATTTTTCCATAAGACTTTATGGTTAAACATTCTCTTCATTAGATGTGGCTTACCAGTGGATTATAGAGAAGTAAGTAGATGGGAGCAAGTGTCCAACACAGCAACAGCTGGAAAAAAAAAGAAAGAATTATGTTCTTTACCTAAAACACTTCAGTTAACTAAATGTGAGTTTAAATACTAAAGAGTTGAGAACTTTATCAGAGTTAGTAAGAATGAGAAATATGTATGTACATTTACAATACAAAATTACTATTAAATAATTTACACATGACATTAATTCTATTGTGTTTAAATATCAGAGGTTTTTCATTCTTCATTCATGTAATCAACAGCCACGTGCTAAGGTCCTAGAACCAGCACTGGAATTCCAAGATGAAGATGGTATGGGCCACCTCTCAACAGTCATATGCTATAACCTAAAAAAACAGACAGGCAGGCAAGGTCCACATAGTGTCATAGATACTATGACAGGTATACGGCAGGGCACTACTGGAACACACAAAAGGGACATCTATCCCACTTTTATGTCAATATCATGGGCTTTCTGGTGGAGGAGATAACATAGGTTGATACCTGAAGGACAAGGAAAAGCTTGCCAGATAGAGGGAAGAGGCGAAGGCAAAGAGCCTGAGGTGAGGAAGAGCCCTGCGGAGTTCTACTCTGTCCACTTTGGTGCTAGAGCAAAGGGCAGAGTGCGGTAAGTGTCAAGAAGCAAGGCTGAGTAACTTGACAAGCATCACATTGATGTGGGTGTTTTTACTTCATGGTGAAAAATTTGGAACTTTTCCTGAGAACAGATGTAAGCCAATGACACAGTAAATGACAGGAGATTTAAAATGTCACCTGTCAAGTGACTGCTTATGAAGGGTTATTGCCCAGCTAAGGATTTCAAAATGAGTCTCAGGTCTGTTGGCCTTCAATCTCTACCAAAACCCTGAGAACTTGGTGATGGCTTTGTTTTCTGAGAATCGTTTCAGTGTGCTGGCTGACACTTCCATGAGAATGGCAAAACTTAAGAAAGTGTAGAGCCAGTAAAAAATGGATGCATAGACTTCTTGGGAATTTTTTAAGCTATGGAACATGATGAATTTATGGTGCATAAGTACAGTCTTCTCTGTGAAAGATTTTGTTTTCACATCTCGCATTAGATGTGTGTAAGATAAAAAATACTTGACATAGTATCTACTAACCAAACAATGAAAAGGAATGCCATTTGTTATTTACACTTTATTTCTAAAATAAACCTAAATGTAATTAATAAATTTTGGCAACATACTTCTCTTTGTTTCTCTAGTTATCTGTTCTACATAGTCCGGCTCCATCTAAAATAAGTAAAAATAATAATAATGTTTAAGTTAAACAAGAAACATTATCATGCAAATAATGTATCACTTACAAAATGTGGCCTTTAGTATTTTTAGCAACTAGACATAACTTGAAGTTTGCTTAAATAGAAAAATAATCACATAAATAAAGTAAAATTTCTACTTATTTTAAGTTTAGATAACAGAGGATGCATCTGTGTAATGCTGTTTAGAGTAATCGGACAAAAATACAGTTAATATTGGTCTATTGCATATACATGATTTTAGAAAGGTAGTGTTATTAGTACAAAAGTTAAACAATGGCCAGGCGTGGTGGCTCATGCCTGTAATCCCAGCACTTGGGGAGGCCAAGGCAGGCAGATCATGAGGTCAGGAGATTGAAACTATCCTGGCCAACATGGGGAAACCCTGTCTCTATTAAAAAGACAAAAATTAGCTGGGCATGGTGGTGCACACTTGTAGCCCCAGCTACTCGGGAGGCTAAGGCAGGAGAATTGCTTGAAGCCAGGAGGTGGAGGTTGCAGTGAGCCAAGATTGCACCACTGCACTCCAGCCTGGTGACAGAGTGAGACCTTGTCTCAAAAAAAAAAAAAAAAAAAAAAAAATTAAATAATTAAAGTCATCTTTTGCAATGAATGCATTGCTTTGAAATTCTTAGCAAAACTCTGCCCTTTATACAAGTTTAATCCATTTTTTTACATCAATAAATTTTATCTTAAAAAGAAATTTCTATTCTCTACTCATAGTAAACTTTTTAATAGTAAATTTTTCTTGGTTTTTTTTTTGTTTGTTTCTTTTTTTCTAGTTTGTATTCTAAATTAAGATGGTACCTGTGTAGGCTTCTTCCAAGAGTATACTGAGGGAGGCCGAGGTTTGGAGTACAGTGGAACCCATCACACAGGTAGTAAGCATAGGATCCAATAAGTAGTTTTCCAACCCTGGCCCACTCTGTCCCTCCCTGTTCTTATTTCCCAGTGTCTATAGTTCCCATGTTTATGACAATGTGCACCCAATGTGTAGCTCCCACATAAGTGAAAACATGAGATATTTGGTTTCTGTTTCTGTGTTAGTTTGCTTAGGATAGTGGATTCCAGCTGTATCCATGTTGCTGCAAAGGACATGATTTTGTTCTTTTCTTGGCTGCATAGTATTCCATGGTATATATGGAACTTTCCAATCTACCTTGGATTTTCAATCTGCCTTGGATGCACCTGGATTGACTCCATGTCTTTGCTGTTTTGAATAGTGCTGCAATGAACACACATGTGCATGCATCTTTTTATTACAATGATTTATTGTCTTCTAGATATACCCCTAGTATAGTAATGGGATTGCTGCATCCAACGGTCATTGTTAGTTCTTAATTTCCAAACTGCTCTCCATAGTAGCTGAACTAATTTACATTGCCAAAAACGGTGTGTGTTCCCTTTTCTCCACTGCTTCCCCAACATCTTTTTTGTTTTCTTTTTACTTTTTAACAAAAGTTATTCTGATTGGTGTGAAATGGTATCTCATTGATGTTTTGTTTGGCACTTTTCTGATGACTAACAATGGTAAGCATTTGTTAATATGTTTGTTGGCCACTTACATGTGTTATTTTGAGAAGTGTCTGTTCATGTTCCTTGCCCATTTTTAATGGTGTTATTTATTTTTTGCTTGTTGACTTGTTTAGGTCTCTTATGGATTCTGGATAATAGGCGTTTGCTGTATCCATAGTTTGTGAATATTTTCTTCCATTCTTTACGCTGTCTGTTTAATCCTGTGATAGTTTCTCATGCTGTGCAGAATCTCTTTAGCTTAATTAGATCACACTTGTCAATTTTTGTTATTCTTGGAATTGCTTTTGAGGACTTAGCCATAAATTAATTGAGAAGTATGATGTCCAGAAGAGTATTTCCTAGGTTTTCTTCTAGGATTTTTATAGTCAGAGGATGTACTCTTATGTAAGAAAAGCACAAACCTTTTTTTTTTTTTTTTTGAGACAGAGTCTCCATCACCTAGGCTATAGTGCAGTGGTATGATCTTGGTTCACTGCAACCTCTGTCTCCCAGGTTCAAGTGATTCTCCTGCCTCAACCTTCCGAGTATCTGAGATTACACATGCCTGCCAACATGCCGTGCTAATTTTTGTATTTTTAGTAGAGATGGGTTTCATCATGTTGGCCAGGCTGGTCTCAAACTCCTGACCTCAGATGATCCAGCTGCCTCGGCCTCCCAAAATGTTGGGATTATAAGTGTGAGCCACGGCACCTGGCCAAGCACAAAGCTTGTAACATAAAAATGGAAATGAACATTTTAGTGTTTTGTTTAATTCATAAAATGCAATTATTTTGGATTCTACTAAATAATAAACATCTATATGTGGTAAACTGTTTGGATGCCAATCATTCAGTTGTGATTATGGGTGGGAAGAGTTGAGACAGTGCAAATAAACTTTTTTAAAAATGTTTTATATTCAAGATGAAGTCTCACCCTGTCACTCAGGCTGGAGTGCAGTGGCACAATCTCGGCTCACTGCAACCTCTGCCTCCTGGGTTCAAGCAATTCTCTGCCTCAGCCTCCCTAGTAGCTGGGATTACAGGTGCTCTCCACCACACCTGGCTAATTTTTATTTTTTGTACTTTCACTATCTTGGCCAGGCTGGTCTTGAACTCCTGACCTTGTGACACACCTGCCTCGGCCTCCCAAAGTGCTGGGATTACAGACATGAGCCACCACACCTGGCCAGTGCAAAGAAACTTTAAAAGTGACATGGGCTGGATGCGGTAGCTCATGCCTGTTATCCCAGCACTTTGGGAGGTTGAGGCAGGCAGATCACAAGGTCAGGAGTTTGAGAACAGCCTGGCCAATATGGTGAAACCCTGTCTCTACTAAAAATACAAACATTAGCTGGGTGTAATGGCAGGTGCCTGTAGCCTCAGCTACTTGGGAGGCTGAGGCAGGAAAATTGCTTGAACCCGGGAGGTGGAGGTTGCAGTGAGCCAAGATGGTGCCATAACACTCCAGCCTGGGCAATAGAGTGAAACACTGTCTCAATAAAAAAAAAAAGGTGGGGGGGGGGGGCAGTATGAACCACAGCTAAACAAACTATAATCAATTAGAGAGTAAGCCAAAGCATCTCAAACCATATCATCAGTTATCAGGCAATAATATGCAATTTCTAAAACCTAACTTAAATGCAGCTTTTAAAGACATTTTAAATGTGTCAGTTTAGTCACATTTATTGAATAAAGTTAGTAAACGGGTATCTCTTGACAATGAGAGCTCCAGGGAATTAAAAAACGTAAAGTTCCCATTTTCTTTCTGTGTTAACACAGCTAATTATGATCTTTACTAAACATGCATAAGTCAACAGAACTCAGTATTTCACCAAATTAAAAACAAGAATTATATTAGAGAAATGAAACCCAAAAGAGAAACGGTCATGTAACTAACCGCAGTCAAGGAGTTCTTGAAGTTATTTGAAGTCTGTGGGCTTGAAATAGGAATTCTTATGGGTGTTTGGAGAATATATTTTCTGTTGAGTCCTATACTAGTAAGATTTTCAACACAAGGTGACTCTGGGTCTCGCCTTGTAGGAAGAGTGCTGAGAAAATATTTCATCCGCTCTTTCTCCATAAGGAGCTCCATGCTGATCGTTGCTATTTTCTTATTCGATCTGTAAAGATAGCAAAGACAAACACTTAGTATTTCATTTTTCCTCTAATGATTCTTAATGACTTGCAGTTTTTAAAAACTTGCCCTGAGAGCAAACCAAATTATCCACTCAACAGTGTTTTCACACCGAAGATGTGTGAGAGCATACTGTGGTAAGCAATTATAATTTTAACATCATTCTAAAGAAGCACCTGTGTTTCTAAGGTAATTTATACTGAACAAGCAGTACAAAGTAGACAGGGAAGAGAAATGGCTATCAGTGATGTATGGCTCAACAGGTAACACTTGCTGCCTTCTAAAAGGGCTCTACTTGTGAGATTCTGAAGATTCCATTAGAAATACTCGTATTTAAAGGGTAACAATGTGGGAAAAGAATATGTTGATTTGCTTGATTATAAGAACTACTTCACTAGAAATACCTGTATCAAAACATCATGTTGTACTCCTTAATGTAGGTTAAGAAAACTAAAATGAACTACAACAAAAAAATCTAGGAATACTTGTGTTTAGCAAACAAATTTTAGGTTTCACCCTTGTGCATTTCACCCATTATCTAGGAACAATTAACCATTTGGCTCTGAGGAATAATTCAGAACAACAACTCCTGGGGGAGAACTAGATTGGTTGGTTGATGATCAAAAAGAACTAAAGCATGTCTGAAGGCAATTAGCCCCCAGCACTGTGACCAAGGCACTAGAGGTGGGGTTTTTCCTTCTGCCTTCCACACACCCTTTCAGGCTGAACAAGGTTTTTTGTTTTTTGTTTTTTTATACTTTTTTAGGGTACATGTGCACAATGTGCAGGTTTGTTACATATGTATACATGTGCCATGTTGGTGTGCTGTACCCAGTAACTCATCATTTAACATTAGGTATATCTCCAAATGCTATCCCTCCCCCCTCCCCCCACCCCATGACAGGCCCCGGTGTGTGATGTCCCCCTTCCTGTGTCCATGTGTTCTTATTGTTCAATTCCCACGTATGAGTGAGAACATGCGGTGTTTGGTTTTTTGTCCTTGCGATAGTTTGCTGAGAATGATGGTTTCCAGCTTCATCCATGTCCCTACAATGGACATGAACTCATTATTTGTTATGGCTGCATAGTATTCCATGGTGTATATGTGCCACATTTTCTTAATCCAGTCTATCATTGTTGGATATTTGGGTTGGTTCCAAGTCTTTGCTATTGTGAATACTGCTGCAATAAACATACGTGTGCATGTGTCTTTATAGCAGCATGGTTTATAATCCTTTGGGTATATACCCAGTAATGGGATGGCTGGGTCAAATGGTATTTCTAGTTATTTTTTAACCACTTTCTGAATTACACTTCAAATTCCTTAATAATTATTCCCTATTTCACAAGGATGCCTTTCTGTAACATCTTGAAAATGTTACACAAATAGTCTTTCTTGAGGCACCCTCTAGTGGTAATACTAAAGATCACAATCAAAAAAGATTGTGCCCAGAGTAGCAGTATCACTTGACACTTTGGGTTTAGGTTGTGATCTACCAAAAAATAAATTAAACTCATTAATATTTCTATTTAGGGAAATTCTGACAAGCAATTTTATAACAAGATCACTTTATTAATTATAAAGCTTCAAAAATACTTAGTGACAAAAACTAACAGATCAGGTTAACTACATGAGACTTTTCAGGGGAAAAAAGCCATACAAAAGCAAAAAAAAAAAAAAAAGGGAGAGAGAGAGAGAAAGAAATGGGACAGAAACTATCCTTGACTAACATTTTAAAGGTAAGATTATTTACTAACATTATTTTCTGAAATTACATTATTAGATTAGCATTCACTTCCTACTAATCTCCTGAAGCCATCTCACTAAAAATTATGCTTTCAAAACAAATTAATGAGCTGAATTCATTTTCTATGAGTGTACGTTTTGACTTACTTCATTAATTTTTTTGACATGGAATTGTTATCTTTCAATGCTGCTGCAAAGGCTTCCTTATTATATTCTTCTAATTCGGTTGTAACCTCTTCATAAGCAGTTTTCATTTCTGAGAATTTACATTCCACATCTTTAAGTGTGAGTTCCTTCTTACTTAGTGAAGCCATATTATCCTTGTTTAACTGCTCTAATTGTTTTTCATATTGTGCTCGTTCCTAAAACAAAGGAAAAGAATACACTTTTAAAACAATTATAACCTAATTATTGTATGTTTGTTGCCCTTCATTTTGAGTCAGTGATTCAAAGAGCGATTTTGAATATGTTAGTAAAAGAGGCTGAAGCTTAAAATATTTATCAGCAATATCAAAACTAATAACTGAATTCAGAATTGTCTGATTTATAAAAATTCAAAATCATAATTATGTTAGTATTAATGTAATCTGGTCATATAAAAAGTAATAGAATCCATTCATAATTTTAAAAAGTGATTAATGAACGTAGCTTATGACCAATTCAAAAGTGTCACATAATTTCTAAATCACAATTTTTTCTTATGCCAACTGATCTTAATCATCAAACGACTCCACAGTGAGTCGTTACTCTGAAAGATTGATTTTGTTATAATAATAATGGAAATGTAAATATTTAAAAGAAAAAACAGATGTCATTTTTTTTTCTAGAACTCTACAAAGCAAATTGCTGCAAGAAAGGCAGAGGAAACATAATATATACATATCCAAAATAAAATTTGCGGTGAAATAAATGAAAGCACATTACAGATAAACTTACCTGATTTAAAAAACTAACCTGTAAGTGGATTTCTACTAATTTTTCTACTGCCTGCATTGCCTTTTCATCTAGCTCCGATTTATATTCTTGTAGTTTACTAAGTTCTACCATATTGTTTTCCATATGTGTCTTAAGATTTAATATTTCTTCTTTCAACATCTTTTTATCCTCCTCAAGTTTTTCATTCCTGTTGTACTTTTTTCATAGATAAAAACTCCTGTTGAAGAACTTGATTGTCTTTAGCCAAATTGACACATTTTGAAGATAAAGCTTCCTTCTCTGCCGTAAGATCATCAAACTGCATGAATAAAATAATACAGCTTGATAATGAAGTAGGCTGAGAATAATCTAATACAAAACCAATAGCAAATTTTGAAATGCATTTACTTGCAATAAAATGTTATCTGTAATGCAGTGGATTCTTCAAATGTGAACCCTTAAATTACTCAGAATTTTAAGAACAAAGTTAAAGTTACCATGAGTCACAGAAATATATTATTTACTATCATCATCTTTGCCACAGAACTTTTGCACTTCATCTTACTTTTATTTTTCTGATAATTCATTTTTGTTCCTCCTTAGATGGCACTTAAGTTATCTCTTAGTAAAAAGTGTCTAACCACCTTCCCTCATTATCATTCCTCATAATATGTCAAAAAAAGTTGCAGAGATATCATATTGAGTTATTTAGGCCAAAGTCAATAAATGGCTCTCAGAATAAGACTTTGAAAATAATATAACACTCTATACTAGGCATGGTGGCTCATGCCTGTAATTGTAGCAATTTAAAAGCCTGTGCCAGAAAGATCACTTGAGGCCAGGAATTTGAGATCAGCCAGAGCAACATAGTGAGACCCCCAAGTCTACAAAAATTTTTTTTAAATTAGCTGGGCATGGTGGCTCATGCCTGTAGACCCAGCTAGTTGGGAGACTGAGGCAAAAGGATGGCTTGTACCCAGAGTTCAGGGCTGCAATGAATTATGACCACATCACTGCACTTTGCCTGGATGACAGACAAAGACCATATCTCAAAAAAACACAAAATAATGAATCCTGTAAATAAGGATTCTGATGCCATAAGCCTTTCCTTAAACTGCAAATGTTTCATGCTAATTTGAATTGCATTTTAAGAAGTAATGATTCTTGGGGTAAAGGCCATAGAATACACACCCAGAAATAAATCCGCATATTTACGGCCAACTGATTTTGGACAAAGGTGCCAAGAACATACACTGGGGAAAGGACAGTCTCTTCAAATGAATGGCACTGAGAAAACTAAATATCCATATGGAGAAGAATGATACTAGCTTCCTATGTAACAGCACATAATGAAATAAACTCAGAATTGATTGAAGACTGAAATGTAAGGCCCAAAATTATGAAACTACTCTAAGTAAATATAGGAAAAATGCTTGAGGACATTAGGCTGTACAAAGATTTTTATGGGTAAGACATCAGAAGCATAGGCAAAAACCAAATGATAGACAAATGGTATTACATTAAGATAGTTTCTGCCCAGCAAACTGAGTGAAGAGAAAACCGGTGGAATGGGAGAAAATATTGTCAACTATTCATCTAATAAGGGACTAATATCCAAAATATACAAGAAACTCAAAAAACTTGACAGTAAAAAAACATCTGAGTTCAAAATTGGGCAAAATATCTAACTATACTTTTTCTTTAGAAAAAATAAATACAAATAGCCAATAAATAAATTTTAAAATGCTCAGTATCACTAATCCTCAGGGAAATACAAATCAAATCTTCAATGTGATACAATCTTGCTTCAATTTGAATAAATTGCTATCATTGAAAAGACAAAAAAATAACAAATGCTGGTGAGGTTCCAGAGAAGAGTAAACTCTTACATGCTGTTGGTGGGAAGGTAAATTAGTGCAGCCACTATAGAAAACAACATGAGGGTTTCTCAAAAAACTAATAATGGGACTGCCAAGGGATCCCGCAAACCCACTATTGGGTATTCAGGCAATAGAAAAGAAAACAATAGATCAAAAAGATACTTGTACTTGTATGTATATTGTAGCACTATTCACAATAGCTGATGTATGGAATCAACCTGCATGTCCATCACCAAATGAATGGACAAAAAACTGTGGCACACAAACACAATGGAATACTATTCACCATATAAAGGAATTCAATCCCGTTATTTGTGGCCATGTGGATCAGTCTGAGGGATGTTATGTTAAGTGCAGACACAGAAAGATAAACACTGCACAGTCTCACTCATGTGTGGGAGCTAAAGAAAAACTGAGGGCTGGGCAACATGGCTATTGCCTGTAATTTCCTAGCACTTTGAAAGACCAAGGCAGGAGAATCACTTGAGGACAAAGTTCCAGAGCACCCTGGACAACATAGGTAGATAGCTCTACAAAGTCAAAAATCAGACAGATGCAATGGTGCATGCCCATAATCCTAGCTGCTCAGGAGGCTGAGGTGGGAGGATCACATGAGCCCAAGAGTTTGAGGCTGCAGTGAGCTATGATCAAGCCACTGTCTCTAGTCTGGGTGACTACAGTTGCCCAGAGCCCAGACTAGACTAGCAAGGCCCTGTCTCTTAACAACAACAAAAAAGCTCACAGAGGTAGGGGAGGGGAGGATGGTTAAGGGATACAGAATTACAGTTAGATAAGAGGAATGAGTTCTGGTGTTCTGTGGCATTGTAGGGTGAATATGGTTAACTATGATTTATTGTATATTTTTAAAAAGCCAGAAGATTTTGAATGTTCACAATTCAAAAAATGAAAAATGGTTGAAGTAGTAAATGTACTAGCTAGCTTGATCATTACACATTACATACATGTATCAAAATATCACTCTATTGGCCAAAGTTATGTATACACGTCAATTAAAACAAAAGAGAAGCTATATTTATCCCATTAAAAAAACAGAATATGGGCAATCCTTACAGACTTCCTTCTAATGAATAGAATGCAGTAAAAGGGATATCACGTGGCTTCCCTATCTCAGACTGCTTTCCCTTTGAACTCAGCCCCCAGATTGTGAGAGAGATCAGGCCACAGAGACAGCCTGGGAGTATCAGTGTCAATGTTCACGCTGCCTGCTCCAACCAAGGTTCCAGCCAATGGCCAGCATCAACCATCAAACATATGGGTGAGCAAAGCTTCAGATGATTCCATTTCCCCAGCTGATCAGCTGTTCCTAGGGAAGCTGAGGGGAGCAGAGATGACCTGTCCTGGCTAAGCTTTTTTCAAACCACAGGTTCATGAACAAAATAAATGTTTTTCTTTTAAGCCACAAAACCCTGGATAATTGTTAGAAAAATAAGTTTTAAAAAGAGACAACAGGAAACATAACTTACGTAGAGAAAAGAGTCTCCTTTAAAGTAGGATCTAAAAAATGTTGAGATTAATTTATTGATGGCAAACATTATTGAGAAGCAGTAGATAACCAGGAGAGAGACATAAGCTGCTGAGGAGGAACATTTCCTAAAACCCCCTTCAATTATGAACTCTAATAACAAGGCAAGGGTGTCTCCTTACAATTTCCCCTTAAGTTAGGAAATAAGACTGCAAAGCAAAAAGATGTATGATTTGAAAAACAACTAGAAATACTTGGTTAGATAACCAAAATCAGACATGTACCTGATTTCAGTTAATGGAAATTCTAAAAGAATAAACTTTGAGTATTTATTAATCAATCTAGTATTCAATTTTCATTTTCCTTTTCTCAATGAGGAAATAAGGAGAACATTATGGAATGATTTTTAGTCTTCACAGAAGTAAAATAAACACAGTATGCTTTGAGTGTTAAGACATCAAATGCAATTTCTCCTTTATCTTACTTCAAGCTTGTTTGTATGGAGAAGTTAAGACCGTCCCATCTCTGTTATGCCACAATGCTTCTCTACAGCACACAACTTGGCTCTGAAATTTCAAAAGTCAAAATACTAATCTACTATTTGTCTCTGATAAATTGCCTGAACATTACCTGATTTTGAAGTGCTGCACTCTTAAGACTTTTTCTTGGAATGAGTTAAACTTTATATTCCAAGAATCCTCTACTGAGCTAGAAAGCAGAGCTGTGCATCTCTGTTTCAGTAAAAGGAGGTCAATACAGGGAACTGTGGTTTCTGAGAATGCAAGATCTGCATCAAGTAAAGGATTAGATGCAGTGCTACCCAAGAGAACCAGCTACCAGGTGGAAAGAGGATCTGCAAACTACAAGATGATGACTTCACTTGATTTCCACTGAGGAAAGCTGGCAGCTCAGACTTCTCCTTCCTGGATGGTAAACATCTATGGAAGATTCTATGAATTATAATGAGTTAGCAAAACATAATACACTAAATATTAGACTACATCAGCAGATCCTGTGACCAAAACTTACTGAAAATATAACTATAGAGGGAGACGATGGAATAGAGACTGAAGGTTTGAATAGAGAAAAAAAGAAAGTGTGTCTTGTAAGCTTGACTTGCCATCATGTCTTAAGAGTAAGGTATAAGCTGGCCAGAGACTCCTTTGTGACACAAAAGGTGAAGTTAAAGATATTCCACTAAATTTAATTTTTATTATGATATAAGACAACTGGTAATATGCAACATGATTGAAAAAAACTTCTCATTAAATTCAATTTGGCCTTGGCATAAGAATAGATATAAACAAACTAAGAATTGATAATCTACAAATAAACCTGCACATTTACAGTCAATTGATTTTATACAAGGTTAACAAAAGAACAGAATGGGAAAAGAATAGTCTTTTCAACAAATGGTGCTGGGACAACTGGATATCCACATGCAAAAAATAAATAAAGTTGGACCAAATATCTTATTTAAAAATTACCTCAAAATAAAACAGTGAACTGTAACAGCTAAACCTATAAAACCCTCAGAAGAAAACCCTGGCATAAATCTTTGTGACTGCATTTGGCAGTATTTTCTTAGCTATAACTCCAAAGGAAAAATGGATTCAATGGACTTCAAAATTGAAAACTGCTGTGCCTGAGAAGACAGTATCAAGAAGTGAAAAGGTAAGACACTGACTAGAAGAAAGTATTTGAAAAGCATGTATCTGATAAGGGACTTACATATGTAGGATACATAAAGAACCTTTGCAATTCATAAATAACAAGATAACCCAATTTAAAAAATGGGCAAAGATTTTGAATAGATATATTTGCAAAGAAGATTTAAAGATGGGTAATAAGCACATTAACAGATGCTTAATGTAATTAGTCATTAGGAAAAAGTAAATCAAAACCACATGTGTTATCACTTCACACCACAGGATGAAACATTTTTTCAATAAAAAAGAGAAAATAAGTGTTAGGAAAAATGTAAAGAAATTAAAACCCTTATCCAATGCTGCTGGGAATGTAAAGTGATGCAGCCACTTTGGAAAACAAACTGGCAGCTCCTCAAAAGGTTAAGCATGAAGTTACCATACGACCCAGAAATTCCAGTCATGAGTATACTCCAGAAAATCAAAAACATATGCAAGCACAAAAACTCATATATAAATGTTTACAGCAGCATTATTAATAAGAGTCAAAAAGTGGAAAGAACCAAAATGTCCATCACCTTTGGGTGGGAAAGAACCCAAAGGTCCATCACCTGGTGAATGGATACATAAAATGTTTGATGTATCCATACAATGGAATATCACTCAGCAATAAGAAGAAACTGAGTACTGATACTGTATTAGGAGGAGACAGCAAAATGCCTAGGCAGATATGGAAGGGTCCCCAGAGAATCCCCAACCAGCCCCACAAGTGTTTACACCAGATGTTATGTGCAGATAAGGGAACCTGGACTTGTCTTGCCTGGACATGCCAGCAGCAGACCCGAGGCCCACAAGCACTGGGGGGATGGGGTGGAGTCACCAGGAATTCACGCCTTATGCAGAGGAGGAACCTGGCCGCTTCAGCTCCTGTGCTCCTGCTATTCAATTGTGAGGTGGAAACCTGTTTGCAGGACCCCCCTCTTTGCTGAGAGCTTTCCTTTCACTTAATAAATTCTGTCCTCCTCACCCTTCAATGTGTCTGTGTGATTAATTTTTCCTGGTCATAAGAGAAGAACCCAGATTGAGCTGAACTAAGGAGCAAAAACCCTGCATCAATACCTGCTACAGCACAGATGCAGCATGGAAAATTATGCTAAGTGAAATAAGCCAGTCACAGTAGACCACTTGCTTTTCATTTCAGAGGCTTATAGGCAAATCTATACAAAGAAGGTGGGTGGTTACCTAGGGCTGAGGGAGGAAGGGAAAACTAGTGAAGATAGCTAAATGATGTGGGGTTTGTTTTTAGGGTGATGAAAATGTTCTACAATTGATTGTAATGATGACTGCATAACTCTCTGAAAATACTAAAGTTAGTATATTGTATATTTTAAATGAGTGAATTGCATGGTGTGTTCATTATTTCTCAATGAACCTGTTACCCCCCACCCCAAATCAATTTGGTACTAGTGATTTTGGTACTAGTGATCTGGAGACAGGTACTGCTTGGTTTCAGATCACTGGCCAGGGTTCAAGGCCTAAGAGAATCAACAGCATGTCCTTTTCATAGAAAAAGAGATTTATATTTTAAAAGCTATCCTTTTCATTAGTTTCAAGTCTGTAAAATTAAATGAAAAATCTTTCACTGCTTAAAGCACTGACAGATTTATATTGAGGAATAAGACCTTGTTTTCTTTGGCCCCAATTTCTATCTAAACGGTCTGGGAATCACACCCTTCAAACTATCAAATCTCATCAGATGGGTTTTATTAACTCCTATAATGTGGCTTCCTTTCTAACCTGATTCTGGTGCAGCATCACAGAGAGAAGAAGCTGAAGGAAATCAAAATATTTTACCCCCAAATATATTTTTTTGTCATATTTTGAAATGGCTGCTGCAGGGCCAAGAGATTGAAATGGCCCTCATTAACGTAGCCCAATCTCTCCCCTTCTAGGTCTTCCCAGATCTGGGGAAGATTAACTAAGAGCCTGAGGCATTGAAAGTCTGAAAATATATATTTGCCCTCTATTTTCTCAACATATTTTGGCAGAATTTGGGTTTTCCATTATCAATATTTTCCAAAATTACATGATTTTTAATACCAAAACTGATTTAAAATTACCATACGTTGGAATATAAATTATTCTATTATAAAGATACATGCATTTGTATGTTCATTGCAGCACTATTCACAACAGTAAAGCCATGGAATCAACCCAGATGTCCATCAGTGATAGACGGGATAAAGAAAATGTGGTACACATACACCATGGAATACTATGGAGCCATAAAAATGAATGAGATCATGCTTTTTGCAGGGATATGGATGAGCTCAAAGCTGATATCTTCAGCAAACTAATGCAGGAAGAAAAAACCAAACACTGCATCTTCTCACTTATAAGTGGGAGCTGAATGATGAGAACACATGGACTCGGGGAGGGGAACAACAAACACTGGGGCCTGTTAGGGTCAGGAGGGAGAGCATCAAGATCAATAGCTAATGCCTGCAGGGCTTAATATCTAGGTGATGGATTGATAGGTGCAGTAAACCAACGTGACACACGTTTACCTATATAACAAACCTGCATGTCTCACACATGTAATCTAGACCTTAAGATAAAATAATTTTTTTAAATTACCTTCTGTTTTAGCTTCTTAATCAGAATATCCATTTTCAGTTGATCTGTTTTTAAGTCTCCATGGCAATCAAAGTCTGCATTTCCAAATACATTTAACATATTTATTGTCATTTCCAGGAGTTTCTTATATCTGCAGAAATGTACAGAATTAGTAAGTCAACTATTTTTGAGTAAATATTTAATAATTGTTTAAACATCTGTTATGGCATATCAAAGAAACAAATCTATAAACTATGTTCCTTTCAGTTTCAACTGAACATAGTTTGAAAGCATTCTATATGAAATTATAATCTTAAATAATATGAAGAACAATTTTATGGCATATATGGCAGGTAAAGTGATATTATAGCCATACAGTGTTTTTGTTTTGTTTTTTGTTTTGTTTTGAGATGGAATTTCACTCTTGTTGCCCAGGCCAAAGTGCAATGGTGTGATCTCAGCTCACTGCAACCTCTGCCTCCTGGACTCAAGTGATTCACCTGTCTCAGCCTCCCAAGTGGCTGGGATTACAGGTGTGTACCACCACGCCTGGCTCATTTTGTATTTTTAGTAGAGACGGGGTTTCACTGGTCAGACTGGTCTTGAACTCTTGACCTCAAATGATCCACCCACACTGGCCAACCAAAGTGCTGGGATTACAGGTGTGAGCCACCACACCTGGCCTAACCATACACTTTTTGTAAATAAACTACTCATATCCATGTTGGTATGCCAAGTAAAATAACCTATTACTAAATATAAGCCATAACCCAGAGATGAGTAACCAAGATAAAAAAGTAAAACACATACGTTTAAAAAGACACAAAAGTACATTTTGATACCCATTGACCACAGTCTATCAGAAGAAAAAAAAGTACACACAAAAAGCATCAAGGAGATCATTCAATGTAGAAAAAGAGAAGAAAACATCTTTAATATCTGAGTTGAGGAGAAAAAGGATACAGGCAGTTTTAGAAAAAAGGAAAGGGGCAGAGAGATGTGTGACGATTTAAAGACTTTGAAGAAGAGATCTAGACATCTTTGCTGACATAATGTCAACAAAATGAAAGAGATACAAAACCATGTAGAGAAAGGCAATGACAGAAAAATGTTGATTCGAATCAGAAAACCAAATTAAGTGCTCAGTAAATAAAATAGGAAAGTAGCTGTGTTCAGGGCTTCAAAGACAGATTCCATTGTTTTAAAAAAAATCTGTGATCAAAACATGAATGTTCATTTTACTTTTTCTTTAAGTTATACATATATTTTTATATATATGAAATTTATTTATGTAAAACAAGTTTAATAACATGTATACTTCATGTATACAACAGACGTACTCATGTACAATGAGTAAATTTCCATATGTTTTATATCTAAAAGAAAAAGAAGCAGAAACAAAATATAAGCTACATATCAAGATAAATTTGATGTTAACGTATGACACAAACAGGTCTTCTTTAAACAATTTGAGTGCAGCAGACGATACTACAAAAGGAAGAAAAAATGACCACAGACAGCAAAAAATATCTTCAGAAATAAAAATTCAAACTAGATAATGAAGAGTGCACCGGACACTATATGTCCAAGGCATGGTCATTGTTTTCAAAATCATTAAAGAATAAGTGGCCGGGCATGGTGGCTCATGTCACTTTGGGAGGCCGAGGCGGGCAGATCACGAGGTCAGGAATTCAAGACCAGCCTGACCAACTTGGCAAAACCCCGTCTCTACTAAAAATACAAAAATTAGCCGGGTGTGGTGGCACATGCCTGTAATGCCAGCTACTCAGGAGGCTGAGGCAGGAAAATTGCTTGGAGGCATAGGTTGCAGTGAGCCAAGACCACGCCATTGTACTCCAGCCTGGGAAACAAAGCCAGACTTTTTCTCAAAAAAAAAAAAAAAAAAAAAAAAAGAATATTTTGGCATTCAAAAAAAATTTCACCTTGCCCCAGCAGCTCAGCTGACTCCCGCCCCATGACACACATGTCTAAAAAGTTGTGCTGTGAGTTTCTGAAATACATTTTAAAATAGAATTCATTTAATTATGAAAATGCAAACATAAAATGAATTTGTATCTGTTTTAGTCAAGTAAAATTAGCGTTAAATCAATTAATAAATGGTTAACATGTTCTACAATATGAAAACCATACCCAGTTGCCTCTTCTTCTAATTCATCATTTTTCTTTCTTATTCGATTCACATTATACTTCAGTGATGATATTAACTCAAAAAGTTTTCTTAATTCTTCATTTTCTTTTTTAGGCTTAAAAAAAGTGTTTAAAATTATTTTTGTAAAATCTGTAGACCCTCTTTTATCTCAAACATATTATTTCTCATAAGTGGATGAGTAATATGTATTTAGGCAGGTGTATAAAGTGCATTTTATAAACCTGATGCCAATAAGGTCAGATTTCAATAATAGTCACTTTTCTTAAAACTGCTAAAAATGATTCAAATTTTCATCATTATCTTTTCTGAAATTTAAACTGCCAACAATGTTCGTTACAAATGAGGGTTTTTACACAAAAAATACTAAGTGTTAGTTAAAAAAAAAAAAGAGTAGTTATATTTACATTTTAGTTTTTAAAGATGCTCTAGAAATATTGTTTTTAATAGTTTAAGATATTCCAAGTTTTCTTAAATTATATCTTACTAAGACAAATTTTAGAAAACTCTTATCTAGTTCCCATTACATTTTTCATCCTCATCTGTCTTCAGGCTGAGCTAAACACTGTCATTCTAAGTATTCACCCATAGGTTTCAGTTTTTCCCTTTCTCTTAACCATTTCTCTTTAAATAAAGTTTATTTTTTCTATAATAAACAAAAACAACTTTTGTCTACTTTTTGTGGCTTTTCTATTATCCTGTTTCTCCCCTTCCATTGGACTCTATGACACATGGTCTCATTCAGAAATATTTTTTCATCAATTATTGTGTTTTTTATACTGAAATCTGATTTTTAATAATTCCAATAAAAAAGTCCAAGGGTCATGAAGGACTTTATCCTACTTTACTCAGCAGAGCAGTGACCAAATGCTCCCTCTGCTCCTCTGACCCCGCCTCCTTTCTAAATGCAGCGACCTCTGTTCTTCAGCCCTATCTCTATTCCTCTGACCCCACTTCATTTCTAAATTTAGCAACCTCTGTTCTTCAGCCCTATCCTTTTCTGGTTTTTTGTTTTGTTTTTGTTTTCTGTTTTGAGATGGAGTCTCCCACTGTCACCCAGGTTGGTGTGCAGTGGCATGATCTCGGCTCACCGCAACCTCCACCTCCTGGATTCAAGCGATTCTCCTGCCTCAGCCTCCCAAGTAGCTAGGATTACAGGCATATGCTACCACGCCCAGCTAATTTTCTGTATTTTTAGTAGAGACGGGGTTTCACTATGTTGGTCAGATTGGTCTTGAACTCCTGACCTCATGATCTGCCTGCCTTGGCCTCCCAAAGTGCTGGGATTACGGGTGTGGCCACCACACCCGGCAGCTATTTCACTTTTTAAATTCTCTCAGGACTCCTAAAATCTCCTAAACTTTTACCTAGATTCCCTAATCTACATTTCTAGCTCTGACCTTTTTCTTGAGGTCTCTTCCTTCTAGAACACATATTATAGACAATATTCTCCACCACATGCTCATACATTGCTACTTGGTGCAGATTACTTTTGTAGATAGTGAATCTTGTCTATTTTATGTTGGTTCTTATTGATGTTACTTTGAGTATACTGTTATTTTCTAATCTCAAAGGGGGACTATCTCACTGTTACGATACTAACCAGTATACTTTGTCCTTTTTTTCATTCTTTCTTCTTTTTTGGACCAGTATACTTTGTCCCTTTCTTTTCTTTTTTTGAGGTGGAGTCACACTGTGTCATCCAGGCTGGAGTGCAGTGGTGCCATCTCAGCTTACTGCAACTTCTACCTCCTGGGTTCAAGTGATGCTCCTGCCTCTGCCTCTCAAGTAGCTGGGACTACAGGTGCACACCACCACGCCTGGCTAATTTTTGTATTTTCAGTAGAGACAGGGTTTCACCATGTTGGCCAGACTGCTTTTGAACTCCTGACCTCAGGTAATCCACCCCCCTCAGCCTCCCAAAGTGTTGGGATTACAGATGTGAGCCATGGAACCCAGCCCTCTTTTTCTTTGATAATGAAAACCTTCCCATGAGAATCAGATTATCAATTGTTTGCCTTTATTTTCTTTTAAAGAATTTCCTTTCCCATAGACATATGGCATGATGAACATCTTGTTCTAAAGTTCCTTTTGGGGGACACTTAACTATGTCATTGGGAGGCTTCAGTAAGTAGAGATCTCCCTTCTTCCCATTCAAGATTCTTCATCTCAAAATGGTGTCTACCAAATGTCTTAATCCAGGTAGTCCTTTGCTTAGAAATTCATGAAATAAGAACCTTCTCGAGAAGTTAGAGGCATTGATTGAGATGGTTTAAAGCTGCCCCTTATTATATGTTTTACTCCCAAGGTAGACATCAAAGTGGCTAATAATTCTATGTCTGATATCTAACTCACTTCTATGGGAATCTATACAACATGTTTTATTTATGAGACAGAGTCTCCCTCTGCTACCTAGGCTGGAGTGCAGTGGCTTGATCACTGCTCACTGCAGCCTCAATATTCCAAGCTCAAACGACCCTCCTACCACAGCCTCCCAATGTAGCTGGGACTACAGGCATGCACCACCATGCCTCAGCTAAGTGTTTAAAAAAATTTTTTTTTTTTTTTTTTTTTTAGAGACAGGGTCTCACTATATTGCTCTGGCTGCTCTCAAACTCCTGGGCTCAAGCAATCCTCCTGCCTCAGCCTTCCAAAACCAGGTGTTTAACTGGGGACTAACATGAAGCACTTAGAAGACTACATGGAACATAGTGAGCTACATAAAATATTTGCTATTAGCATAATAATTTTATTGTATATCTTAACAAAATTGTGTGTTTTACGCAGGTGGCATGCCAATGGAAGTATTCTCCTATAGCTGCACTTAATCATTCTTACCACTGAGAGTTGCAGCAAATGGGGGACATAATTTATAACTTACTTTTCTCTCTGTATGACTCATTAGGCAATGACTATGTATGTACTACAATGTAAATAGCACCTCCTGGATGGAATAGTATGTAACTGACATGACCAGCAGAGACAGGCTAAAGACACTGAGCTGAAAACCCTGGACTCTATTGCTAAGTCAAGGCTCCTGAATCCGTTCACTCTGAGCAACTGTTGCTGTGGTGCTGCCTTCACAAGCACTCTGCTGAGTACTGAGATTGAGGGGCTGTGCTATCCTTCATCAGACAAGCTGCACCCAGAACTGTTCAGCTGACAGACTGGGAGCAATCCAGAAACACAGTAATGGCTACATAGTGAAAAAAGGCCAATTGAGATTCTTTTTCATAGAGAGAAAAACATAAACACGTGATTGAACGCATCTCCTGTGTTAGACTAATTGGGTTAGATTTGATATTTAATTGCTAAAAATACATTTAGAATATAACCTTACTGTGTCAAGGTCTCAAAGAAGAAATAATTGGTATGGTATAAAGGATTGAATTGTATGCTACAAACCTCTAAGCTAAAATATTTTCAATGTATGCAAGGATAGGTGGCATACATATTATATATTATTCCCCCATTAAGCAAATTTATAATGAGAGAAAATTATCTTCCATAAAAAAAAAAGCCATGTAAAATTAAGGACTAAGTTTTTCAGCACAGACTAGACAACGATTGCTAACACATAAGGTCAATGAGAGAACAGTCAGAGAAAGCTTCATGAAAACAAAAAAATTGTCTGCCAGGTCTGAATGAATGAGGCTAGATGAACAGAAACTGAGAAGGCAGAAAGGATAGCATGAGCAAGACAAGTGCTGAAATCTGCCCAGTTAACTCTGAGGATAAAGTCCAATGGCAGGGAAATAAAAACCTGTGTCCACATAATAACCTGTAAGTGAATGTTCACAGCAGCATTTTTCATAATAGCTAAAAAGTGGAAACTAACCTAAAGGTCCATCAACTGATGAATGAATGGAAAACCAGTATAGCCATGGAATAGAATATCATTTAACTATAAGAAGAAATAAACTATGAATGTGTGCTAAAACATGCATGAATTCTAAAAACATTATGCTAAGTGAAAAAGCCAGTCCCAAAGTATACATATACATATTGTATATGTATACATATTGTATAACTCTATGTATATGAAACATGCAGAACAGGCAAACATATGGAGACAAAAGTAGACAGTGGTTGCCTACAACAGGGGTAGGTGGAGGGACATGGAGGAAGGCTGCAGTCATGCCTAGGAGATGTGGGGTCACTTTTCAGGGTGATGAAAATGCTGTGAACATACTAATAGATACTGAGTTGTACATTTTAAATGGTTGAACTGTCTGATACGTGAATGACATCTCAGTGAATTTTTTAAAATCCAAAGGCAGGATCAAGATAATTTTCTCAACTCTTAATTTTTGATGTACATGCTATATCAAATCTAAATATTTCTACAGTTTTACAGTATATTTTAAATAAAAGATAGATAAAGAAAATGCCTAACTTTTCAAATAGTTTGTAAATTAACCTAAAACATGCACATTTCAAAGAATAGTATAACGGCCTTTCTGTACAAGTTAACCTAGAATCTGTGAAACAAATAGACACAGATTCTGTGTCCATTCACAAAAGTGAAGAAATAAGACAATTTTCTGGAACATTCCATGAAACATTCTCCTCTGATTTAATCTGGCCTGCCTCATCAGAGAAATACAAAAATTACTTAAAAATACTGTTTAACAGGAAAAAAGTCAATTTTCTATGAGGAATGATGTATAATTCTCAACTTTTCCAAGGGTACATATTGTAAGAGAAAAGGTATGCAATGGTTTTTCAAAATGGTAGAATGAAAGTCACAACATAAAAAAATAATTATAAAGATAGTAAAATGGAAATCATTCATTATAATGAAAATAAAAAATCAAGCTTCTGCCAAAATTAGTATCCTAAAACATGTTATATAATTCAACTAGCTACAGAATAACTGTTGACATGTTAAATTCCATACATACTTGACTTTCCACTTGAAATAATTTCTTCTTTGAGGCCTGTGTCTCATCCAAATTAATGTGACAATGTGATATACCTTCCAGTGGAGACTCTAACGTTGTTAATTTTTTTACGCTGTCAGCCACTTCTTGTTGAAGTTGTCTCACAACCACCTGATAAAATATTTTTGTTACTGATTTTATAAATTGCCTTATTATTAAATTATGTTAATAATGTTTAATTCTAACATATCTACTTTGAAAATTATCACCACACATATCAATTCACCTTCTTTTAATCACATGTACACATTTTTATGTATTACTGAATTCAGTGAGGGATGCAGAATATGTTCTCTTCCTGCCAAATTGGTATTCTCTTACTTACACAACAGATTCATTCCAACATTCAATCATCTCAGAAGCTCAACTCAGCCTCAAAGTTCCTAACATATTCAATCACCTGTTCAAATCCTTCCAACAGATTCCTATCTCAGAATAAAAGTAAAATTCCAATGGCCTTTGAGGCCCTAGGTAAAAAGGCCTCTACCTCCCTCTCTGACTTCAAAGCTCCTACAACTCCCTCCTGTAATTACTCCATTCCCACTGTATGTGAAGCCTGCCACCCCTCAGTCTGAAAATGGAGATGTAATGCCTAACTCGTAAATCACAGACAGCTACAAGTATCTTTGTACTGAACAAAATTATATTCCAATGACAGTCATTGAGCCTTGAAATAAAAATTATGACCTAATTATTAATATAAATATTCAAAGTAAACTATAAATACCAGTGGGAAGACTAAACCAAATATAGTTTTGCTAAGTTTTACCACATTTCTCCTAAATTATGATTTTATAACAAGTAGGTGCCTTTAAAACATTACGTGGTCATAAAAATACGTAATTTGACATATTTTCAGATTTGTTAAATTAATATGAATAATAACAAAGCTATACCAACTAAAATACATAAAAAGCTAGTTAAAGCAAGGTACTACAAGACACAGCAATACACTTCAATTCATCTGGGGAATCTAGAATTAAGTGTCGAAGAAAATCACTTAATTAAATTTTAATTTGAAAATACTTCAGGTGTAAACATTTCCATTTATAACTACATTATGGTCTTAACATGTGGCAATATAAAGACATTAAAATTACTATTTCAGCAGTACAGAACTATCTACCTTAAAATATGACTCTGTGCCTAATAAAATTTCATAGGTGACACAATGTCTTTTCTCAAAGTAAATCATCTCTCACCTCTTTTATTTCCTAGAAATGAGGCATGTTTCTAAGCCGATATAGTAAACATTTTTCCTTTTTTATTAAAACAGCTTTGTTGAAATATAATTTACATACTATAGAATGTATCTGTTTTGACTTAAAGTTAAAAGATTTTTAGTACATTTACTGAGTTGTGCAGCCATCTCTACAATCCAACTTTAGAGCATTTCCATCACTGTAAGATTCCTCATGCCCATTAGCAGTCACTACCAGCTTCCAGCCCCAGCCCCTTGCAAACATTAATCTACTTTTTGTCCCTATACATTTATCTTTTCTGGATGCTTCATGTAAATGGAATTATACAGTATGGTAAACACACTTTTTATCTAGATTTTTATATTCAACTAAGTTCAACATGTATCCAGAACCAAATGTTTAAATTTTCTTTCTAGAAGTTTGAAAATATTTATCTTCCTTGATACTTACTACTCCTTCTGCTTTCTCTCTCTCATACTGAAAGAGACTTTCTTTTAAATGATCACATTCATTCATTAGCTTCTTACTTTTCTCTTCTAGTACGAGGTCTTTCTTTCCACTCTCAATAAAGCCTCTTTGGATATTAGTTACTATCTCTTTATGATCCTCTTTCTGATGAACGTCATCTAGTTGCTGTACAAGCCACGCATTTTCACGTTGGAGGTGACATATCCTCTCTTCTACACAGTTCCACTTTCCAGTGGAATTATTCACTTTAGCTTCTGCATTTTGATACATCTCTTTCATTTCCTGTGTTTGCTGCTGTGTTTTTCTTAGGTCATTTTGTACAGTTTCTAAAGCCAATGACTTTTTTCTGAGACTATCTCTTGTCTTACGGAACTTATCTTTTAAGGCATTGAATTTAATTTGTGTTTCAGAAAGTTGTTCAGTAAGAAACTCATTCTCATCTTTTACTTTGGAAATAGCAGAACTCATTTCTACTTGTACAGAAACATCTTGTGTTCTCTCTAAAGCAAGTTTTACGTTTCTTTCTGTTTTCACACTTTCACTGTGTTTACCTATAGCAGCAGCCAGTCTAGACTGATAAGATTCAATGTCAGCTTCCAGTCTTTTCTTGCTTTCTTTTTCCTTCAACAGTTCGGCATTGAGCCTTGTATTCTCAGCCTTGAGATCATTAAGCTCTTGTTGATACCGGAATGCTGTTTCTGTTATCATTTCCTCATTGAGTTTTATATACTTTTCAAGGGCAGCATTTGTTTCTTTAACAATTTTAATGTCCTTAAGATATTTATTTTCTTTTTCCAAGTTGTCATTTTTCATTGTACATATTTCCTGTCTGAGTATGGCAATATCTGCCTTCAAAATGCAATTTTCATCCATCAGACCTTTCGTTTCTTCATGATTATGAAAATCCTAAATAAAACAAAAGAAAGTTTTAGCTAGTACTCAATAAAATAACATATCATGATTACCTCTGAAGTTAAAGAATAACCTGCACATCCGTACACTAAAAAGTTTACCATAAGTGGATATCCACCTGGAGAAAAAGTTGAAGCAAAACTTTGAACCTTATAGAGCATAAATTCCAGAAAGTTCAGAAATGTATTTAGAGTCAATGAATTTATAAAAGTAAACACACACACGCACACCAGAGAATTTTTAAGAATATCGGAATTGGAAAAGCCTTTCCCTGAATTACAACAAACTCAAAAGCATAAATTAAAGCATTAACAAATTTGACTAAATTAAGATATATCAAAAAATTGCATTTACACTTTGATATCTAACCCATACACCACCCTATAGTAAGAACTTTTGTTCACACGTATTTGGACAGATAAAATTTCCCAGAGTTATTACAGTTCTGTTTCACCGATAACATTCTATTTCAGTTTGACTCTTTTAACACTTTTATAGTCAGTTATAAGAATTACATTCACTAAGTCATAAACTAGACATTATACTAGTCACTCCTATATACATTCATTGATGAACTCATCTAGTTACCACAATTTTGAAAAAGAAATGTTAAAAATATAAGCAAGCTACAGGATTTTCCCCAGGACTTCTGACTCTACTTCTAGTTCTCCAACAGATCACAGTTACTTCTGTGGTGTAAATACATCAATACGAAAGAAAACTTTTATTTCAAAACACCAACAGTAAATAAGATAAAATTTATAGAGCTCTTCTTAGAATATCATGAGATTATTTGTGATTGCAATAATTTCTGTTTCCTCTTTATAATATTAGGTGCAGTAATCAATATGAAATAGGGGAAAGTACAAGGAAAAATTTTACCTGGAACAAAATTTTTATCAATAGGTTATCACTAAGTATATATTATGGCATATTATTGTTTTCAAAAGCTCTTTGTAATAAAATAATATCCTATGTGGATGCCAAGATTTATAATAAATATTAATAATTGTACCTGTAAGTGTCATCATTCATTTTTAAAAATGAGATAAAATTTCTGGTTTTAGACCTAAACAATATATATTAAATCAAGTGGACATTATAAGTAACAGTGATAAGATAAAGTTTAAAATATAGAATTTTTACCAAAGATTGATTTACCCGATTTGGAGTATTTCTTGCAGTCTTTGATTTCATCTCTAGTGACTGAACAGTTGGTTCAAGTTGTTTTGCTTCAACTTCTTTCTTATATTGTTTCTCTTTCCTTTCTAATTCTTCTCTATTTTTTTTGTACAGCATATTAACATTTGTTTTTTCTTCATTTTCTTGTTTTAAGGTGCATCTGCAGATAAAGACATTTATCTTAAAATTCATTTTGTTAAAAAATAAAGAGTTCATCCTGTGATATACCTCTGCAGATGTTTATTATCCTAATAAAATTTCTATGTTCTGGATTATTTTTCCTTTGCAGTTCTCAGATATTTAATTTCTCACTTCAACATCTTCAAAAGAATGCATATACTTGAAAAGTAGTAAGGAAAGAATATTCTGCTAAAGTTTTTGTTACTATTCACTCTAATATATATTATAAAAAAGGATACCAGAGATAATTCAGTAAAGTTACAGGTTCAAAATTACCTTTTTAAATCACACAGTCATAATTACTCCCTAATTAGAAAAGATCATTTACAATCAACTAAATTTTTAAAGTTACTATTTATTGACAAGCGTATAAGTTCACTAGAAATAAATTTTCATCTTTATGAAATATTGCGGTGTTTCTCCAAATGATTTACAGAGTGAGATGACACCTTCAGATGTCTCTCACACAAACTATATCTGCAGATGACTGTCATCCAAAACTAGGCTAAAGAGTCTAACATCTGTTTCCCCACACTTTTTATAATTATTTCTTAATACTTTCAATTCACCTTCTTATTACATATATTTTATACATTCATTAACCTATTGTTCATTATGTGTAACATATAATTAATGCCCTTAATAAGTGTGTGTATGTTTACACAAGTTATGTTTTCCTGTGAAATCTAGTCCCAGAAGTGGAGTTGTTGAGTTAAAGGGATGTCAGGCTATTTGAAATTTTGATACACAGCACTAAGTTAACCTTCAGAAATAATTTACTAATTTCCTATACCAACAGTGTATGAGAATGCCTTTTTCCTCACATTTGCCAACACTAGTAATTACTTCTTAAATATCAGCATGACTTTACAAAATATATCTTATTTTATGTTAATTTGCATTTTTCTGATTACCAGGCAGGGCTAAATACCCCTGGTAAAAATATAAAACTTGTTAATCATAAGGAATATTAGTCCAATTTTGAATTAGTTTATAGCACAATGACAATTATCTCCTGTGAAATACTACTATAGGCGGCCAGGCACGGTGGCTCACTCCTGTAAACCCAGCACTTTGAGAGGCCGAGGTGGGCAGAACACCTGAAGTCAGGAGTTCGAGACCAGCTTGGCTAACATGGTGAAATCCTATTTTTACTAAAAATACAAAAAATTAGCCAGGCATGGTGGCACATGCCTGTAATCCCAGCTACTAGGGAGACTGAGTCAGGAGAATCGCTTGAACCCACGAGGCAGAGGTTGCAGTGAGCTGAGATCACACCATTGCACTCCAGCTTGGGCAACAAGAGAGAAACTCCATCTCAAAAAAACAAAAACAAACAAAAAAACCCCAAAACCAAACAAAAAAACACACACTGCTATAGGCTTACTTATCATGCTCTTCCTTCAGCTTCTTGGGAAATTGCTGAGGATACGTTTTCCCAATCTTTCTTTGTTGGGTTAATCTGCCAGCAGCAGCAGAAGATGTACTATCACATATATTTTCTGAAAGTTGTATTTTTTCACTTTTGTTTGTATTATTTCCTTTTTTGACCTTTAATAAAAGTAAGATGAATAATAATTGTTATTATTTTATTCAATAAAAAGAACTTTTTCCCTGATTTTTTTTACTTGATTCAGGTTATCACCACTTTAATGATAAAAGTATTTTGTGCTTACTTTAATTTTATCATTATACATAATTATTATAATTATAAGATACTCTTATTTTATCATCGAAATTTTTGTCAAATCTGCTCATTTCTGTTTGAGTGAATAGAAGAATTTTCTAAAATTTCAAAAAGGGCTCTTCTCCATTTTGTGCTTTTATTCCCATCCACTCTTTGCTATCTGGTATAAATTTTTATGCTATCTGGCTGGCAGAAACAGAGAAATAAAAAGACACAGGCATAACATATGTCTTCTGTCTTTACTACCTGGATTTTACATGAAATAGCCAGATTAAGAGGATGTGACATTGTAGGCCTTCAGGAACAGTAAAGAAGTTTTCCCTTTTCTGTACTGAGCTACTCTTTTCCCCACTGCCTTTTATCTCTCTTTTTTTTTTTTTTTTTTTGAATCCTGTGATATCAAAAAAGTAAAAAAAGTAAAGGTTCTCTTTGAATTATGGGAACCAACGTTTGCCACAACACAAGAAGCAGAGTGAAACTGCTGAGTTTCTAGTGCCGAATTCTGGAAAATGAGATGCTTCCCAGATTTCACATTCAATTACCACAAAAGTTTATAGGTGGAAAACATATGGTACAGTTACCTACTTTAACTGCATTATCTACTGATAATGGGAGTCAAACCAACCAAGACATATTAAATGTTTCATCCAGAGCTCTTGAGGTGGCATTCACTAGCATTTCATGGCACCATATAACATGATACAATTCCATATTGCTGAATTACATAAATTGCCAGATAAATTTATCAAATTAGTCAGATATATTAAAAGTCTAACCTTGAGCAAAGCAATTTAATGCCTCAGAGGGTGGAAAAAGGCCTCATCTGCTTTTACTTTGAAAGAAGAAAATCTCTAGATTTTTGTCTATCTTTAGAACACAATGTACAGAACTCAACTTTCTACTAAAGAGTCAAAGGCTAAATTTTTGGCTAAGAAATTATGCTTCTTATATGATAAAAATCATACATGCCAAAACTTACCATACTTTATTAAACAACATAATGTAAGGTCTGATTCAACAGAAATATTGCAGAATGGTGATTTTTTAAAATATGTGTAAGTATATGTTTGTTTTCAAAAATATTGGAAATAACTATGATGGGACTGTAAGTTCAAACAGTTTGAGCTAAGCAGATAAACTTGCATGCATGAAAACACATTAAACAGACTCATTTGGCTGGGAATATTCGTTGCAAATCTCAAGGCTAGATGTGTTTTTGTGGCTTGTCTCAGTCATTGCTTCCCTCCCATTGTATTCCCATTCTATCATTAAATAAATGTAAATCATCTCTAAATGAATACAGAAAAAAGAATCTAGAATCTAGAGCTTGTTTCTTTAGCAATTTCTTTATGTTGATCTGGTTCAGAAGGTCACATGGTATGTGGCTGAATTAGTTTCCCAGCTCATACGCCACTTGGAAGACTGATAGTGAGACATAGGTTGATTAATGAACAAACATTATGAGAACATTCTCCAGAACCATTATTTAGATAGCAGAACTAATCTACTTTGACACATAATTACACATTTAGATAACCCCACTGTAACTGTACACATGAGATTTTCTTGAATAGAAAATTTGACTAAATCAAATAATTGATAAAGAGGAAAAAGCAGCAGCAAGTGAACCTCTATCTTTTTGAAGTTGGACTTGCTTTTCTCCAAAGCCAGGAACTCAACTTGTAACATGCCTACCTCATTCTTTTTTTATTATTATTATTATAGTTTAAGTTCTGGTACATGTGCACAACATGCAGGTTTGTTACATATGTATTCATGTGCCATGTTGGTGACCTTGGAATATATTCCCATAAGTCTTCTAGCTATATTTTTGATGTTCTCTCACTATGTGGCAAAGAATAACTCACATTTTATAATTCAAGATTCATGCTTCTGTAGTTGTTAGCACTGGGACTGCCATATAGTGGCTTCTGGAATAAACGCTGTATTGGTTTTCTGTTTTCATTAAGTATCTGTAGCAGCAGAAATACTGTGGCTTTCTATCTGAATCATATGCTTCATTTCTTTGGGGTGGGTAAACAACAAATCAAAAAGACTTTCTGGATCTCTAGACTGAAGCCAATGCCTAATGTCCAATTTCCAATTAGTGGTATCTGGGTTTACATTTTTTGCCATTTGCATGTCAAACTCTTAATCATCTTTCATTTCAATCATAATTACTGGGTTCCTTAATTTTTTGGTTTCTGTATCATTACAAAAATTTTCATCATCTGTGTTAGAAACAAGCTATGTGTCTGGTTTGCTATCACTTTTATAGTCTGATTTATTTTCATTTAAATGAAGCTTAGAAGATGACTGGTAACTGTATTTCAGGGACCTGGAGTATGAATGGAATAAAAAGACATTTGACATGGGCTTCCTCTGTTCAGGCGCTGCCTGGACTGCCACAGAGTTGGACCCTCCAGATGCATCTTCCTCCTCACAATCAGGGACCTGATTCATCAGATTAGAGGGCACTCCTTTTTTGTTCGTCCCTCTTTAGAGTTACTACATAGGAGCTCTTCCTCAGGGCAAGCAGTAATTCTGGAGTTTTCAAAACTTTCACCAATATTCAGCTCGAACTTGTTTGTAATGAATTTTAAAGAAAGTCGTGAATATACAGACAGATTATTCCCTTTATCACAATTCTTACCCAGTTCTGGTTCTTGAGACTTTTTTTTTTTTTTGGCAGGTGCAAAATGGAAAACAAATTTGCTTGTTTTGTTTCTCAGATGTCTTTTCTGTCAGAGTGCATGTTTTAAAATTAGCTTTAATCAAGCATAAACAAAAATACTAGAAAATAATTAAAATTTAACTGTGAAACTTAATCTATGTGTTGCCACTCTTAAATTATAGGATTGTAACTAAAAAGTGAAAAATAATTTGCCTTGGCTTAACATAGGACAGAAATATGAACTGGCAAGCTGAACTCTTAGCATTTGTTTGGATTAAACTTAATGCATTATGTGTAAAATCTACCAGAAATGAATTCAAAGCTGATAGGTAGTATTATAAAATCTTCCCCTCTTACAAAGATTTTACCTCAGCATACCAGCAAAAGTGAGCCCCTACAGTGCGTGTATATTTCTGAAGATTAACTAGAGACTAGGGAAACACTGAATTATTAAGAGCCAAACTGAACACCAATAAGAAAGGGAAGCAAAATTTTAAATTCTAATTCAAATAATATACTATGATAGTGTTATGTACCTAGATGGATTTTCTGCTTGTATCCACTTCTAATGTATTTTAAGTTCCACTAGTGATAGTGGATGGATTTTTTAAATTTTAGTAACATTTACTATGTATTTATGTCAAAATAAAGTTATTGTTTGTACCCTGACACCAAAGGTCCCATTCCACAAGGTACGATTCTCTTAATAGGCAACTGGGTTGATTTTTATGACACCATTCACTCCCTGAACACAGACACAGAACTCAACTGGTGACCACAAAACAGAATAAATCTTTAAACTCGGCACTGGTGACCAGCAATACAAAACTGCAACATTTGAACCACTGGCAATGATGACTCCTTTAACACTACTTTAACTCAGTGGCCACTGTTGTTAAACTGTTCATAATTTCTATTCCTTAATAATATAACCCAATATTTCATGTTACCTTCTGTATTATGAGTAAGGTTATACAAATAAAAGAGCAAGATAATTCTGAAAATGTCTTGCCTCAATTCCAAGGGTAAAGACAGCTATGAGTTACTAGAGATAGTAAGAATTACCAGAATAACTAATAGTTACTAGAGATAGTAAGAATATCTTAAGTTTCATAACTGGTTAAAATGTTTTAAAAATTAAATATAAAATTATGATCTATTGGATTCTAAAGGTATAATCTAAAAGGTCATGTCATTTGGACTATGCCTTGTTACTAAAGAAAAAAAACAAAACCCAATATTAAACAAGAAACTTAAATGTTCATATACCTGTGGTTGCTTCTTTTCACTTCTTTCATGCCTTTCTTGCTCTTCCTCTGAAGCCACTGGTAAGGCTTGTTCTGTTGAC